>NC_000014.9:52642016-52945046 GCF_000001405.40 Homo sapiens
TTACTACTAATGTGACATTTCAACATGTTATACCTGATAAGACATATGTAAAGAGGGCACGATTTTGAGGTATATAGCTTCTTTTTCTCTACAATTACCATGTGATATAAATTCCTAAACCCCTTCAAATAGCTTTATAAATGAAGAGCTTCCACTAATGAAAACCTCCCAAAATTACAGTTCAGTTTTAGGGAGACAAAGGAAATGAACTTCGGGTATAAAAAACAAAAATGAAACTGGGTATGGTGGCAGACACCTGTATTCCCAGCTACTTGGGAGGCTGAGGTGGGAAGATCACTTCAGCCCAGTCGTTCAAGTTCCAGCTTGGGCAACACAGCAAAACCTTGTCTCTAAAAAAAATTTTAATAAAATAAATAGCCTACCCTATTACTATACACATCAAGCATAAAACGGGCAACAAAACTCAAAAAGAACTTTAGATTGGAACTTGAAAGTATTATTTATTCTAAGGCTTACAGTATTATAGTTCCAGAATTGTGGGAGTTTTTTTTTCTGAGAAAATCATTTTTAGTAATTATTCAGTATTACACACTGAAGTATTTAGGGTTTAAGGGGCATGATGCCTATAACTGACTTTCAAATGATTGAGGAAAAATTTGTGTGTGTGTGTGTGTGTACAGAGAAAGCATGAAAGATAAAGCACGTATGAACAATTAGTGAATCTGGGTAAGAGAGCTCTTTGTACTATTTTTGAAACTTTTCTGTAAATTGGAAATTATATAAAAATAAAAAGTGTTCCCCAAATTTTATTTAGTATTAGTGAAAGTATTATGAGAATAAATATATAATCTATTCAACTTTTCACAATGTTTAGAAATCTCCTGTGCCTTTGAGTTGTTATTGTACGTTTCTACACACAAAAACAACCCAATCAAAATAGCAATATACTTCTAAAAGTGATTTGTTTCATACCAATGTATTTTAGGATTGCCAGATAAAATACAAGACTCCCAGTTAAATTTGAATTTCAAACAAATAATTTTTTAGTATAAGTATTTTCCAAATATTCCATGTAAAATATTAAAAAACTAATTGTTTATCTGAAATTCAAATCTAACTGGGCAATCTTTATTTTTATTTGCTAAATCCAGCAACCCTAAATGTACTGAAAAATTCTACGTTGGTAATTATGGGTCATTTATGAGGCCTCCTTAGCATTTTCCTATTAAATGCTTGTCACATTTACCATAGTTTTATTTATATTACATATTATTACATAAAACGCTAGTTTGAGAGACTTAGAACATTCACTTTTATCATATATGAATTTGATAATCCTCCTTTTATTCAATATTAAACTTTAAAATTTGTACCACATTATTAAAGTATTACTTTTACTCACAGTAGTATTATACATAGACTTAACACAATTTTTAAAAATGTGTTTACTTAAAACAATATAATTCTCCTTTACAAAAGCAACTTTATATAAAATGTTTGGCTTAAGACTGTCATTGCTATTATGCCTTTGAATGAAATTCCACTCTTTCGCCTCCATTGTCCAGAAACAGGCACATATCAGCTTGTTTTCTTTAATGAATATTCTGTAACAAGTTCCTGAAGTTTTCTAATTCTTTCACACTTGTAGAAATTCTGTAACCAAAAAATATTTCACTCAGAAACCATCTTAGATAAATTTTATCTGTAAAAGTTATTCACTTTGCATTTTAAAACATTTTTAAAGTAATTTATTTCAATAAATTTAAGGTGCATAAACCATTTAATGTATTTTAATATATTTTAGTTCTTAATTCGACAAGGTAAAACTAAGATATTAATGTCTAGAAATTAGTTATTTTAAAAGTATTTAAATACATATGCCAGGTGCAGTGATTCACTCCTGTAATCCCAGTATTTTTTGAGGCCAAGACGGGAGAACTACTTGAGGCCAGGAATTGGAGAACAGCCTGGACAACACAGGGAGACCTGGTCTCTACAAAAAAAAATTAAAAATTGCCAGGCATGGCTGTGTGTGCCATGTAGTCGTAGCTACTTGGAAACCCGAGGTAGGAGAACTGCTTGAGCCCAGAAGTTCAAGGTTACAGTGAGCTATGATCATGCCACTGCACTCCAGCCTGGGCAACATAGCCAGATCCTATCTCTAAAAAATCAAATTCTTTTAAATAAATAAAATAGCCAGGTGCAGTAGCTCATGTCTGTAATCCCAGCGCTTTGGGAGGCCAAGGCGAGCAGACCACTTGAGTCCAGGAGTTTGAGACCAGCAAGGGCAATGTGGCAAAACCTTCTCTCTATGAAAAACAAGAAAATTAGCCAGGCATGGTGGCGTGTGCCTGTATCCCAGCTACTCAGGAGACTAAGGTGGGAGAATCTATTGAGCCTGGGAGGCAGAGGTTTCCGTAAACTGAGATCACGTCGGTCAATCAATCAATCAAATACATAAGTATGAGATACATAAATATTAAAATACTTCTATATTTTAAGCATTCATAAGTATACTCCCTTAATATTAAAGTATATAGTATTTGGTATAAAATATGTAAGTATACAAATAATACAATATTTAGGTATAAGTATTCATAAAAGTATTCGTATGCTTAATATTAAAGTACGTAAGTATAAAGTATATAAACACAGAAATATCATTTTTAAATGCATAAGTATATGAATACTTAAAATACACCATATTTAGTAAATGTAGAAAGAATCAATGCTATTGGCCTATAAAGAGTAAGAGTATTAAACGTATGACTACACTGTTTTCACTAATTTTTGTAAAGTAAATTTTGTTCCTTATTTTAAGTGCACTTAGCTCTGCTCTCGATCATGAAAAAAACAGAATAATCAATGAAATATTAACTATCTAGCCCTTGGATGCTAGAGACACAATTTTGAAGGTCAATTATTTCAAGCCCAAAATTGTAATATTTTTTAAATGAGGAAATGTAGTCCTTTAAAAAATGTTAATTTTTATAAATCTCAGCATTTCTTGCATGATAGGCCAGAAGGAAATGCATCTGTACTTAAATATTTTAATGTAAGTTCCTTATTTCATGCTTTTCTTTAATCATTTTGATAGGAAATAATTATTTTTAAAAGAATTATTAACCTTTTTATATAATGGTGAGTTCACAAAGAGATTTACATGTACACCTATGTTAAACAACATGATTTTTCTACCACTATCAGAAAAATAATTGGATAAAAAAACTGCTTTTAAGCAATTTTTAATGTACAAATTCGATAAGATGAATATTAAAATTCAATGAGTAATTATAATTATGATTTTATACATACATATACACACTTTTTTTTTTTTTTTTTTGAGATGATGTCTTGCTCTGTCACCCTGGCTGGAGTGCAGTGGTATGATCTCGGCTCACTGCAACCTCTGCCTCCCGGGTTCAAGCGATTCTTCTGCCTCAGCCTCCTGAGTAGCTGGGACCACAGGCATGCTCCACCATGCCTGGCTAATTTTTTTTGATTTTAGTAGAGTTGGCCAGGCTGGTCTTGAACTCCTGGCCTCAAGTGATCCACCCACCTTGGCTTCTCAAAGTGCTAGGATTACAGGCATGAGCCACCGTGCCCGGCCCTAATTATGATTATAAAAGTCAATAGAGGAAAATAAAGACGATCATGTACTAATTGTATATGTCTACATACTGGAGGTATTTCATAATATCCCATAATTCTGTAATGAAATGATTTCTTCAAAAAAAATATTCCTGGCTGGGCACAGTGGCTCACGCCTGTAATCCAGCACTTCGGGAGGTGGAGCCTGGCAGATCACCTGAGGTCAGGAGTTCAAGACCAGCCTGGCCAACATGGTGAAACCGTGTTTCTACTAAAAATACACACACACACACACACACACACACACACACACACAAATTAGCCAGGCGTGGTGTCACGCACCTGTAATCCCAGCTACTTGGGAGGCTAAGTTGGGAGAATCGCTTGAACCCAGAAGGTGGAGGTCGCAGTGAGCCGAGATCACGCCACTGCACTCCAGCCTGGGCTACAGACCAAAACTCCGTCTCAAAAATAAATAAACAAATAAAATAAAAAGGATATTCCTTACCCAGTTTTTTCTGAGAGCATATATGTTGCATTAGACTTACTTGGCTACCAGAAGCATTTCAGTACATTCAAACTAACCTTCCAAATGCGTTGAATAATGATACTATTTCTTGTCTGGTTAGATGGAATTCATAACTAGGTCCACTTTCTGGCATATTTGCTATCAATTTCTCAGAAAATAAGATCTTCAGAGCAGTGCCCAAACCCTGAGTCTGTAATAGAAATAAGGAAAAAAGAAAAATTAGAAAATTATTCATGCAAAGGGTAAATGAGAAATAGGAATGACTAAATTTGCTTACCTGAAGCTTTCCCCACAGACGACATTTAAAACAACCAACACAATCCATAATTCTTGAAATATTTCTAAAATGCAGTCGAAAGTCCTCCTGAAAACAATTTAACAAGATTTTATTAAGATGTAATATACAGTCAATTAGTAAGTATTTTCTGAGCAGGTTCTATGTGCCTAACACTGTGCAAGGTACTATGGGGTACCAAAAATGAGAACAGCACTAATATTCATTGATTCTACATACCAGATCCTTACATACACAATCTCATTTAATCTTCACCACAAATCCAAAGGTAGTTATTATTATAATCTACACCTAATGAATGTAAAAAACAAGATTCAGAGTGTTTAGGTAACTTGCCTAAATTCCCACATCTAGTAAACAAAAAACTTAGAAACCAGGCCTGTCTGACTCCAAAGCTAAACTATCTGCAAAAATATACAAAATAACTTTGTCAAGGTGTCCATTGTAGGTGATTAACTATATGTCAATAGGTGGAGAAAGGAGGGTGAGACAGGGTTAGAGAGCATCATTTACCAGAAGGAATGGAGGGAGGGAATGAGAGAAGGCAGGAATGGAAAGGAAAAAAAAAATCCTTTGGTTTCTTTTTTTTTTTTTTTTTTTTTTTTTGAGAGTATCGCCCTGTCACCCAAGCTGGAGTGCAGTGGGGGAATCTCGCTCACTGCAAGCTCTGCCTCCCAGGTTCACACCATTCTCCTGCCTCAGCGTCCTGAGTAGCCGGGACTACAGGCACCTGCCACCACGCCCAGCTAATTTTTTTTTTTTTTTTTTTTTTTTTTTTTTTTTTTTTTTAGTAGAGGCAGGGTTTCACCATGTTAGCCAGGATGGTCTCGATCTCCTGACCTCGTGATCCGCCCACCTCGACCTCCCAAAGTGCTGGGATTACAGGCGTGAGCCACTGTGCCCAGCCCTTTGGTTTCATAATAATTCAACCACAGCCCTTCTTTCTGGTATGAATAAGGTAAACAATCAGGTCTTCCTTTGTTAATATTAAATTACTATTACTATTAAAATGCAAAAATATATAAAATATAGTGAATGCCACATACCCACTACCAAGTTTTAGAAAAATTTGTCACAAGTACAATCGAAGCCCCTCATGTTATCTCTCGAGTCCCATATCCCACCCTCTACTACTATATTGAATTTGGCATTGTTCCCTTTTTGTTTTTATGCTTTTAATACATATGTATACATCCATGAACCCTAGAATATTATATCATTTATAATAGGGCGACATGCATCCAGCTAATCTAAACATAGTATATGTCCTTAAGGAATATGGAAAAAAGAAGGGAAGCCAAGAACACATCCTTCTTTTCCTTCAATGGAAATTACCAACTGATCCTCCAAGAGACTCCTGTACTGGACTAAGAGGGGAATCTCAAGCTTACAGTATTCTTAGCAGGAAATCTGACATACATCTCAGATAGAACATCCATTATACAAATTGGCCTATAATTTAGGGAGCACACAGTATTTCTCTTATTCTAATGTGATAAACCACACACTAGGCTCAACCAGATGAAGGCAGGACCACAAATCTAAAATAGGAATAAATCAATGATTGGAACCCACTATTCAAAGGAAACCTCAATTTGCTCTGGAGACAGACTTTCCCAACATGCTTTATTCAGTTTGTGACTTTCAAACAGCTGTAACATGAAAGAAAGTTTTAATAGGATCTAAGATGTAATATCTTTATTAATTAAGACAAAGCCCAAATTGTTCATTGTTACCATATCTTAATAATATTCTCTATCTTGGTTTCAGTACCTGTACAGTAAGAGGTACTATTTTTTTTTTATTTTTATGACCACATGACATCCAAGCAACAGGTACTAATTTTAAACCTACTTAAAACTAACCGGTAATATTACTCTACAAAGATTCTGTGATCTGATTTTAGGTTGCCTTTAAACTAGAGCATTGACCAAAACTTAAAGAAAAATCACACTTTTAACAATAATAACAGAGTAAGAAAGTTACCCTAAAGAACATGTTCCCATCCTATGAGCTGTTGACTTCCAGAAGACTTAATGGTTATTATGAGGATCCACAGAATCCACATAGAGACAAGACTATATACCACAGAATAAATAGCTCACATATATGCACTATAAATTTCCAAATGGATAGAAATGTTATGATCAATAAAACACAACTTTTACTTTTAAAGTGTTACTAAATGCATGGTGGCTTTTTGGCAATCATATTTTCAAAATCAACAGATACTAAAAATACTCTGTCATGAGAAGAGGCCTTGAAAGTTCCTGAGTATAAGAGACTCCCATACTTGTGAGAGTTGGAAGCCTCTGTTCTAAAAGACTGTGCTTGCTTTTGTAGACGCTAATTTCAATGTTTGCTTCTACGTTAATTCAAATACTTGAATGTGACAGCTCTTGAGTAAGTCTTTGTATGACATGTACAGAGAGCAGGCATGGCTGCTTACAATAGCCAAATAAACATTGTAAAATTAAAACCAAGCACATCAAATAGCATGCATCTTCTGCTTAAGTGAACTTAATATGCTAGGACCAAATTAATAGGCTAGAAATTTACTAGATCAAATTAGTAAAAATTAGTAAGGATTTCACAGGAGAAAATCCTTGTGACTTAACAAATAACAATTATGTACAATAACCTGAGTATATCCCCTAATTATCTCAGGTTAGAAAAAGGTATGGTCCTTAAAATAACCAGTACCTAAATCACTTACAGATTTTCCTTGTTTAGACATACAGTTTTAGGTCATCACTTTAAATTACAGCCAGTCAATAGAATGATCAAGCATGCTGTGATTTATATTCAGTGAAACCAACTGACCAATTCTTGCCCAAATTCTCAAATACTTTACAAGTCTTCAAATGAGATCGTATTCTATTTGAATTGAATGCTAAATAATTCTCCTTCATACAAGTCCTCTATTTCTAACCATACATTGATAGGGTACTAAGGAAACAAGATGAGATTTTTAAAATTAATTTGTAAATATGACTGTTTAAATCGATGTTTACCAGAAACTGCTTTTTAAAAAAGTAAATCTTTGATAGTAGCATGTTTTGTTTTTTACATCTTTCCTGTAAAAGATTCAGAAAAATTCTGTTACATCAAGACTCTCTACCTAAACTTCATAGGACATTAAAGGTGAGTGTTTCCGAGTTTTGATCAAATTAAAACATTGTGAGAAATCTTTCTAATCTGCATGATTTAAAAAGAGCTGATGCCAGAACACTTTCCAATAAAGCAGCAAGTAAACTAAAAAAAAAAAGGAACATATTGAAAATAGTAGGAAAAAAAGAAGTCTTATTACAGCATCTTCCCCCTCACTTTCTAGTTCCTGGAAGCTGTTTAGGCAGATTATATAAGCACTGAGGTATGTATTTGTAGCAAGAATGCTTCAAGTAGGAGGTAGATGGGAAGTCAAGAATAAGTATTATCTAACAGCAAAAAAACTGAGTGCATAAAATCAGGTTCTTTCATTACAGAAAGAAAGAATGAAAAGCAGAGGAAGATTTTTGTAAATATTTTGATGAAATCAGGCTGGGTATGGTGGTGGCTCACACCTGTACTCCCAGCACTTTTCGGAGGCCAAGACAGGCAGATTGCTTGAGGCCAAGAATTCAAGACCAGCCTGGGCAACATAGTGAGACCCCAACTCAACAAAAAAATTTTAAAAGTTAGCAGGGCATAGTGGTGCCAGCCTGTAGTCCTAGCTACTCAGGAGGCTGAGGTGGGAAGATGGCTTGAACCCAGGAGTTCCAGGCTGCAGTGAGCTATGATTATGCCTCTGCACTTCAACTCTGGTGATAAAATAAGACTTTATCTCTTAAAAAAACAAAAATATATATACAATATGTATGAAATCAGACATATTTGTATAGAAATCTACCTATACATATCTACCATATCTAGTATCTATCTATATCTAGTATCTTTATTAAGACAAAGCCCAAATTATTGTTAATTGTTACCATATCTTAACAATATTCTCTATCTTGTGTTTCAGTACCTGTTCAGTAAGAGGTACTAACTTTATTTTTACTATTTTTCTATGACCAGATGACATCCAGGCAAGAGGTACTAATTTTAAACCTACTTAAAAAAAAAAAAACTACTCAATAATATTACTCTACAAAGATTCTGTGATATATATATATGATTTCATATGTACATATATATAATTTCATGTGTGTGTGTATATATATGTATGTATATATAAAATCAGATCAAACCCAGTAGTATGGAGGTCCACCTGCCTTTACTTACCAGTGGAACTTTGTAAGAGAGAAGAGAAATATAATTTTACTTGACCCCCTCTGGAAATCCCTTGAGGGTGGAAGCTCTCTTTCCTTTTAATGACAAAAAATCGTGCTGTGCACATAATGAGTGTGTAATAAATCTTCCTGGTAATGTTTGATATTTATAGTATTATGAGGCAAATACATACTCAGAGATGGTCTTGCCTGAGGTCAGACCCTATTAAGAGGCAAGGCAATGACCAGACCGCATTCCGTGGGGTATGGAATCTGTTCTTTCCCCAGCTGCACGCTGGTATTCATAACTGTCTTTAATTCCCAGTGAATAAGATGAACGGCAGGGGGTGCAATGGCTCACGCCTGTAATCCCAGCACTTTGGAAGGCTGAGGTGGGAGGACCGCTTGAGCCCAGGAGTTTGAGACCAGCCTGGGCAACATAGCAAAACCCTGTTTCTACCAAAAAAAAAAAAAAAAAAAAAAGTTAGACAGGCATGGTGATATGTGCCTGTGGTCCCAGCTACTCAAGCTACTCAGAAAGCTGAGGTGGGAGGATCGCTTGAGCACAGAATTTCAAGGTAGCAATGAGCCGTGATTGTATCACTGCACTCCAGCCTGGGTGACAGAGTGAGATCCCTTCTCAATAATAATAAAAAAAGATGAATGACAAAACATCACACTGTGCCTTCTCCCACTAATGAAGATCTTTTAATTAAACAATATCATCTTCAGAATTCTCTTCAGCAAAAGATAGACTAATACGCTACTCATGCATTGGATCCATTTCCTTTATTACCTCTATTTATTATATGAGATCATCAATGTGAAAGGCATCTAGAAAGTGTACGGCAATATACAGATATCAGTGTTACTTTGAATATAATGCAAAATAGACTTTAAGTGGCACCTGCCTTTGGACTTGATTTTTTTGAGGAAAAGAAAGATTATGACTCTGATTTTTTCTTAATTTCAAGATGTATATCAAGATATACTGTTAAGTATATATACATGTGTTTATGTTTTAATTGACAAAAATTGTATATGTTTATGGATACAATGTGATGTTTTAATGTATATTTACAATATGAAGTGATTAAATCAGGCTAATTAACAAATCCATCACCTCACATACTTAACCATTTTTTGTATAGTGGAAACCTTAAAATCTACACTTTTGGCAATTTTGCAATATATAATGCATTATTACCATAGTTACCATTCTGTGCAGTAGATCACTAAATCTTATTCTCCCTAACTGAAACTTTGTACCCATGGATCAACATCTCCGTTTTCCCCATCCACTCCCCACCCCCAGCCTGTGGTAACCATCATTCTACTCTCTACTTTTTTTTTTTTTTTTTTTAATTAAAGACAGGGTTTCACACGATGTTGCCCAAGCTGGTCTTGAACTCCAGGGCTCAAGCAATCCTCCCACCTCAGCCTCCCAAAGTGCTGGAATTACAGGCCTGAGCCACTGCCCCTGGCCTACTCTCTACTTCTATGGCCTACTCTCTACTTCTATGAGTACTATATATTCATATCTGCATAAGTGTTAATCAGTTTGTATCTAACAGTTAAGTATAAAGTAATTACCTTTAGTTTGTGTGCTTCTTTTTTATCCCCAGCAAAAAATGAATTCTCATCAAAATGCAAAGGAAATGACCTGCGTTTTAAAACAGAGAATATTCATTTTCATGTGTTATAAATATTAAAAGTCCTGCTAATACAACATTTTACTGGTCATGATAAATAAAGAGGAGAAAACATAGTAAAACCAACACTCCGATGCCCCAAATCAAATTCTTATCCTCAAACCTCAAATCTTGATTCTAACTGCGTAATACAGAAATTTGACCCCAAATCCAATTTGTTCAAATAAACATGAAAATAATACATTATCAAATACTAAAAGAATGGCTCTTAAAACTAAAAATGTGTGCCTCTCAGTACCCAAATCAAAATAAAAACAAAAGCAAAATTCAATCTGAAAAGACCTACAAGCAAAATTAACTTTTAATTATGTTCTAAATAGTTTTCCTTTCTCTAAATGAATATTAAAAATTTCAGGCAGAGCACAGTGGCCTGCACCTGTAATCCCAGCACTTTGGGAGGCCAAGGTGGGTGGATCAATCACTTAAGCCCAGGAGTTCGAGACCAGCCTGGACAACATGGCAAAACCCCATCTCTACAAAAAATACAAAAATTAGCCCGGTGTGGTGGTTTGCACATATAGTCCCAGCTTCTTGGGCTGAGATGGGAGGACTGCTTGAGCCCAGGAAATCAAGGCTGCAGTGAGCCATGACCGTGCCACTGCACTCCAGCCTGGGCAACAGAGGGAGAGCCTGTCTCAAAAAAAAAAAAATTTATCTTGTACATTAATTGTCACTCTTCTATTAATGTATAAAGTTTAATATATAATTTACTTGATTTCATGAAGTATTTCCAGAAGTAACATTTTGTTTTCCTCATCCTGAATTTTATTTCCAGTAAAGAGTTGAAAATCTGGGCGCTCGAAGAATGGTAACACTTTGGATAAAGCCCTTAGTTCTATTAAGTAGAGAAAATACAAGTTCTTAAGCCTTCTTGGACCTTCTCCTTCAGTCAAAATTCCATCAAATCGCTGTTGAAATTCTGTAATGTTGTGTCCCCATTTCTTTTCTAACCAGGTCTCTAAGAAGGAAGAAGAATTAAATATTAAAAACTGAATTTGACAATTTTTACTTTAATTATATTAGGTTATTCATGCCTATAGAAGTTAATTTCATTTTGCATTTTAAGTTATATAATAACAACCAAGAAAATGGTTTTTCACAATTTAGCCTTTAATAGTTTTATATTAATATTTTATTTTCTAGAACCCATCCTTAAAACAAATTCAATGTTTTACTGAGAAAGCAAGTCTTATTAATAATAAAAATCATTCTTAATTTTTGCAGGTGCATAGTATCTGCTTATATTGATGCCATATATGGCATCTTTTGATACAGGCATATAATTTATGTATTAATCACATCAGGGCAAATGAAATTTCTATCAACTCTACACTTTTAGTTACTTTAAAATGTACAATTAAGTTGCTATTGATTATAGGGTCATTTTTATGGGTATAATAAAAATTATTTATAAATATAAATAAAATCCTGAGTCTTAAAATTCTGAGTTCTGCTTAAACATTTAAAAAAATTTGTTATGTATTTTTCTTTGAACATGTGGTCTCTCTGCCTGCAAACATACAGAATTTTAGTTCTGATTTACATAGAGTTAGCTATGCACATATATTACTCTAAAAATAGACCTTAGGTGCAAGAAAATTATAGAGTAAGTGTGTTTGGGTGAGTATGAGTTTATACCTGTTTTCAGAAGAATAGAGCAATATTGGAACAAAACAAATATCTTAATAAGGTGACAAATTTACTAGAAAACTGAAAACCTCAAAAATGCTGAAAGCAAATCTATACTCTGCTTTTTATTAAATTCATTACTGTAAAATCTTCTGACTTATGATTCAGAATCTCCCCATGAACATTTTCTGTTTTTCTTTGCCTGGTTCTCATGCTAGACTTATAATTTTCTTGTCTCTTATAATTTTTTTCTTTTATAGTTTATGAGGTATTATGTGAGCTGGTCATGACTAATAAGAATGATTTTTATAAAATATAGTAGTGCACACAAAACAATTTTTAGATGTATTTCCAAAATTGTGTATTACATTTCATTTAATTAGGACATTCCATTTGTTCTTTTAATTAAAGAATTCTACATAAGCCTGTATTTTTTTTTACTTATTTTATTCTCATTATAATTGACATAAGTAAATTTATATGTTTATTGAGCCAATTTGTTCAGGTAAGAACTAGGGATGCTTCAGAAGTCATGAGGATGTTTTTTATATATAAATGTAGCAAACAAACACACAGTACTTGCTGTGTAACGGATGCTCCATGATAAGCCATAAATATTCCTGCTACAGTTAGTTTGTAAGTTCAAGTCAGAGAAGGAAAATATCAATAGTGAAGAAATAAGATTGATTCTTCATGTGGAGATAACATTTTTCCATGCTGCAAAGCTAAATCTTGCTGAATTTTAAGAGAAATTCTGTTTATTTCCTAGTTATCTTTAGTTTTGTTTGTCCTATTATGTGTCTTCTAACTGTGTATTCATCACAGCCCTTCTCCTTCTTTTTCTATGTGATGGCTACAGTTTTCTCACTGTTGTCTTCATGCCATGTCATTTTACATGGTACTTTGTAGGTTTTGATGAGAAAGTTGGTATTTATTTAATGCATTCAAAAATTGGTTTTAACTAGAGAGTTTGCTTATCAATATAACTTTCAAATCAGTTAAGATAAAAGGCAAACCTGTCCACAGGTGAGAGGATTAAGTAACTTAGCATTGTTTTTCTCTGTTTGTAAAAGGAAAATCTTATTAAATTCTTACACAGGCCAGGCGTGGTGGCTCACAACTGTAATCCCAGCACTTTGGGAGGCCGAGGCAGGTGGATCACGAGGTCAGGAGTTTGAGACCAGCCTTACCAACATGGTGAAACCCCACCTCTACTAAAAATACAAAAATCAGCCGGGCGTGGTGGCACATGCCTGTAATCCCAGTTACTCAGGAGGCTGAGGCAGGAGAATTGCTTGAATCCTGGAGGCAGATGTTGTAGTGAGCCAAGATTGCACCACTGCACTCCAGCCTGGGCGACAGAGCAAGACTCTGTCTCAAAAAAAAAAAAATTCTTACACAAAGTGTGACATCTATCTAATTTGCTAGAAAATATATCATAGAAATTAAAGTATTAGGAGAGTTAATGGTAAGTGAATAATTTTAAATTTAATGTTCTATGATACACTTACAGCACATGTTTCCATGTAGAATCTTTTATTTTTAAGTGTGAATGTTAAAGGCTGCAAAATAATAAAATGATCTCTGTGGATTTGAAATCTGGAATAATATTTCTTTTCCATATTGATATTACAACTCAGAGGAATTTCTCACTCTTATTTTATGTGATTTTTTTTTTTAGTGGGTGAAGGTGTCTACAGCTTATATTCTTAGTCACCTAACTGTAGTCAACTTCTTGGTCATTTTCTCTGGAAAAATTCTGAAGATCATGGCAACTTTTAGATTAAACCATTTTCTGGGTTTTTTTAATGCAAACTTGTTTATTGTGTTCACAAAGTGGCCAGTCATAAGACCATAAGCAACGCCTGCCCTTTCAGTGGCTTTCATACCATTACCATCTGTAATCAATAAATGTATATTTATTTTGTAAAACATAATGTTTGGAAGTATATATACATTGTTAAATGCTTAATTCTAGGTAATTACGCCACATAGTTAACATTTCTGTGGCAAGAGCAAGTGACATTGTCAGCATTTTTCAAAACTACAAATACATTATTTTGATCTATAGTCACTACGCTGTACAAAAATATCTCTTGAACTTCTATTAACTATAATTATGTATTTTTTGATCAACATCTTTTCAAACCCTCCTGTCTCCTAAATACCTTGGTGTCTGGTGGCCACCACTTTACTCTCTACTTCAATAAGATTAAGTTTTTTAGAATCCCTTTGTAAGTGAAATCATGAAATAATAATCTTTGTGTCTGGCTCATTTTGACAAATATAATGTCCTCCAAGTTCATTCATGTGATGGAAAATAATAAAATTTCCTTTTTTAAAGATGAAAAAAAATAATAGTCAAACTTCTGAATATAAACATATTCATAAAACCTAAACACACAATTTGAAAATGATGATCTAAAATTACTAATGAGTTTAGGCCAGGTGCAGTGGCTGAAGCCTGTAATCCCAGCACTTTGGGAGGCCAAGGCGGGTGGATCACCTGAGGTCAGGAATTCGAGACCAGCCTGGCCAACATGGTGAAACCCCGTCTCTACTAAAAATACAAAAAATTAGCTGGGTGTGGTGGCATGCACCTGTGGTCCCAGCTACTCAGGAGGCTGAGGCAGGAGAATCACTTGAACCCAGGAGGCAGAGGTCACAGTGAGCCAAGATCACACCACTGCACTCCAGCCTGGGTGACAGAACAAGACTCTGTCTCAAAAAAAAAAAAAAAAAAACAGTAAAATTACTAATGAGTTTAAACCGCCATTTAAAATCAAAGTTACGGCTAGGCACAGTAGCTCACGGCTATAATCCCAGTACTCTGGGAGGCCAAGATGGGCAAATCACTTGAGCTCAGGAGTTCAAGACCAGCCTGGGCAACATGGCCAAATCTTGTCTCTACAAAAAATATTGTGAAAAATTAGCTGGACATGGTGGCATGCTCCTGTAGTCATGAGGTAGAAGGTAGGACTTGGCTCAGGAGGTGGGACTCAGGACACTGGACCAAATTGAAAACTAGCTAAAACAGGGAGGGGGCTGAAGCAGCTTTCCATGAGGCACACCCACCAGGGTGCCATGTCAGTTTCTCATTCCCATGGCAACATGCAGAAGTTACCACCCCTTTCCATAGCAATGACCCAGAAGTTACTACCCTTTTCCTAGAAATTTCTGCATAATCTGCCTCATAATTTGCATATAATAAAAAGTGGACTATAAATATGGCTGCAGAACTGCCTCCAAGCTGCTACTCTGGGCACACTGCCTATGGGACAGCTCTCCTTCATGAGGAGAGGTTCAAACTTTTTCCTGGGCAAAGCCAAGTGCCCTCCCAGGCTAAGCCCCAGTTTTGGCCATCGCACACTAGAGTGGGCAATAGAGTGAGACCCTGTCTCAATCAATCAAGCAATCAATCAATGAATAAAATGGAAGTTTCTATATTTTGTTTCTCAGAGTGTGATACTTTAATTCCAGAAGAAATATGGTACTGATGAAAATCAACCACAGTCTCATTTTCAACAGTATTAAGGCATCAACAGCAGCAGGAAAGGCTTTTACCCATTTAAACTCCAGGCCTGATACGAGCACACAAATAAAAAGGTTCTGATACAACAATATCTATCAAATAGCAAACTGTGCTGTTAGGAACTATTTAAATTCCCACAAGAAAACAAGAATATTTCCAAAGTGATATGGACAATTTTGAGCAGCTTCTTAAAAGAAGGTGAAGAGAGCTAAGAGTATGTTAAACTGTTCAATTGTATCTACAGTTCCCACCTTTCTGATTACTACCATTTAAGAGTGAATTTTTACTGCCTAATATTCAATCAGGTCAATCTTTTCCCATTCAGGTAAATGCCAGGAAAATTTTAAGAATATCTAAAATTAAGAGTGGTAGACTGAATAAAAGTAAATGTCACATACCTTGTAAAAGATATCTTGCACTCAAATGCACATTAATGCTTGCATGTAGGCCAGATATAAGTCTGTAGAATGCTCTTTTTTCTACACAGAGACCTAAGAAAAAGCAGTGACTTAGAAATAAAATTTCATATGTGAATCTTGTAGACATAAAATTAATCTCATGAGAAAAAAACCATCATTGAAATTTATTTTAAAGTTTCTAATTACCTTCTAGCCAACTGTAAAAAGTGTTCTCTGAAATCAAAAGAAAAATAAGTCATAAGAATAGAAAAATGCCAAAATACAAGTTTTTCAAAAGTTTTAAAGCATTATAGCAAATTTGTGCCAAACAACAATGTAAAGATTATTTAACCTAACGGTCCAAGTCTTAATTGCAATTTCTCGAAAGGAAGAAGAAAGGTTATGGATTCAGTTAAGTACCAGCCTGCTGCTTGGTCTTTAAAAGGCTTTAGCATTGCCTTAGGTTGACCCAGTCTCATAACGTTCTGGTTAAAGTGTTTTACAGGAGGTCAAAATACAGAATTTAAATAGTAAATCAGTCAAGAATGGGAAAATACCTAGCCTTGATAACAATTCATGCCATGAAAACTAAGGATTCATTACATGCTTTTTAAACTAGAAAAAAATTAAAATGATAAGACAGTATTGGAGGGGTACTATTTGTATTTAGCTGATAATATTACATGCCATTCACTATTTCAAAAGAGCAATTCAGGAAAATGTTATAAACACCAAGTATCACTTATATTCTTATGACCTAATAAGATTATTGTCAATATATTTAATGCCTAGTAATTCTACAAATACGATAATGCCTAAATTAACATGATAGAACACTATCTAACTAGTGAACATGGTAAAATAACATACAACTATGAAAATAGCAAGAATGTAGAACATGGCAATACATAAAAATGTTTACTTGAAATATTATACAAAAGGCATAAGAAATAATCATACAACTCTGTAAAGATTCATGTATGCATTTGCTACAGAGATGATAAACACTGTACAGTGTTTTCTACTAAAGTTGCTTACAGTAATGTTAAAAATGAACCAAACAAGCATAAAAATAATGGAAGGAATGGCAAAGGGAATAAGCAATAAACTGGAATATATAAAAACTCAAAACATCTATTTGTCAGAACACTTCATAAACAAAAGCAAAATGCAAACAACAAACTCAGTAAAATGTATGTTGCAAATATGTCAAAGGGATTAGATCCTAAATATATAAAAAGCTCATAAACTAAATAAAAATGCTAAAGTGCCCCCTTAAAAAAGAGGTAAATAATATGAATTTAAAAATTCACAAAGGAAAAAATACATATGGTAATAACAGACAAAAATTGTTTGGTCTTACGGGCAATAAAAAATGCAAATGAAAACAAAAGATACATGACTCTACCTATCAAGTAAGATAAAAATATGATCATCTTTAATGCTGACAAGTGTTGGACAAAACTACTTATATATAGAAAACATAAATATCAAAATGTTAGCAGAGAAGCGTATCTGGTAGTAACTAAGGGTATGGTTCCTGGAGTCAAACTGCCTGATTTAAATCTTAACTCTGCTACTTACAAATCATATTATTTTAGTCAAGTTGCTGAACCTCTCTTCACCTATAACATGGAGACAGGAATAATACCCCTAGGATTGGTGAAAGAATTAAATAAAATCATATTTGTAAATTGCTTAGAAAAGTGCCTGGCACAGAGTTATTATTATTAATTATTTGGGGATGGTGGGATTATAAGGAACTTATTTCCTTATAAAAATTTTCAAGGTTCTTTTTTTCAAGTTTTTGATCATGAATTAGGGAGTTAGGGGATAATACTGCTTAGGACCTAGGCTTCCAGTGAAATTTTCAGTTCAGTGTTTGTGTGTGTGTGTGTGTGTCTGTGTGTCCTTTTTAAAAAAAAAAAAAAAGAAAAAAGACAGTCTTGCTCTGTTACCCAGGCTGGAGGGCAGTGGCTCCATCTCAGCTCACTGCAACCTCCGCCTCCCAAGCTCAAGTGATCCTCCCATCTCAGCCTCCCACACAGCTGGGATCACAGGTGTGCACCACCACGCCCAGCTAATTTTTCTATTTTTAGTAGAGACAGGGTTTCACCAGGTTAGCCAGGCTGGTCTCAAACTCCTGGCCTCAAGTGACCAGCCAGCCCTGGCCTTCCAAAGTACTGGGATTACAGGCATAAGCCACCACGCCCAGCCAAGAAATCAGTTCAATATTATAATCCTGAAGTACCTGTTCTCAAGTTGACCTGACTGTGGTCTAAACAATCACTTAATATGATAGCTCTCAGGAATAACCCTTTGATATTTGGCCAAAATCAATACTTATAATAAGACAGTTTCTCTAAGGATGGCTCCCACAGGTTAACGATCTATTTTTCTGATAATAAGGTCTTCAAATAGAATTGAAAAATCATAGTAGCCTCCTCTAATGTGGCTAACAATATAGCATAGAACTAGGTTAATACTCAAGGTAAAATAAGGTTACTTGAAACTGAAAATCATAGAATCACATGTACCAGTAGCAAATATGAGGCATCTTTGGAAAAATAATCTCACTGCTAAACAATTTCTCTTCCAAACAGTTCTGAGTCAGCATTTTATTTAGCTGCTACAGTTAATATAATATAAAGCACAATAATAAAATAGCATTGTTATCAGACTTTAGTATTCTGTTATTTAGACATAATGCAAAAGCAATTCATAAGAATTATGTTCAGAAAATAGAGGATTTTGAGGGAAAGAAAAGTGATACTTCACATTTTAGCAATTTCACCTAGATAGACTAAAGCTAAGCACCATTAAGTCTTTTCATATTGTTAAGCATATGGTCTTAAGAATAACAAATGTCATTTCATTTTCACCCTTAAAGCAAAAACACAAAGTAAACCTAATGTATGCTGAAACTGTTAGCATTAGTTAGACTTGGCAATGACACCTACATCCAACAAGTCAGCATCAACCTTAGAAGCCAGCTCTGAAATCAATACTCATCATGCCCAGAACCTTCCTACATGAAACCCAGCAGATCCTAGAGTTCAACCAGTAAAAGAGAGAGGACATTTCCCTGGCCTGAGGCAATGGGGGAGACGGGGAGTGGACATGCTTCCACATTCAGAGAGGTAAAATGTGCAAATGAATGATCAGAGGCTGAGGCACACTGTTTCTAATGCCTGAACCCAGACACAAAGTCACTTTCCCTTAATCTGTGCTAGTACCTCCAGACTTTCAGATAAATAAGTAAAACTTAAGTTCTTCTGATTTTTAGAGGTGAGAAGAAAAAAATAAACTTTGCCATAATAAACATCTGAATGTATAAACAAATTCATATATGTAATATATAATAAATTATACTTACCTTCACTTGTCCCTGAAAAGCAAAACAAAATGTTTATTAAAATAAATTCCTTCCAGTGCCCCTTTTATAATGCTACACTTTCATAAAAATAAGACTTTAATAATGGTTAGTTTTAGTCCAACAGTTCATTCACACAAGTAAAATCTGAAAGTGAGACATTCGTGACTGCAACTCTATCTGGTAGTGATATGAATTATGCCTGATTTGACTAAATGGTGTTATCTCCATGAGTGTACATAAAGAGGTTCAGCTCATGTGAGATTTAATATACCCTGACAGGAGAGAAAAAACTAATCCATCACCTGAGAGTACTCTTCAATATCTTAAGGACCTACGTTTACTTGGCTGACAGAGACTTTTCCACATTTATTTATCCTAAAGCTATAATGTAGTTTCTGTTAAATATTATTATTATTGCTTTGAAACCTCCAGCCTGGCCTTATAATATTTAACCTTAGTCGGGAATATTTTCATAGACTATTTATAAGATTCAAATTATACATAATACAGTAATTTGTGTGCAGCTGCTTATTTACTACTGAAAATTTGTCTTCAAAAATTTTGCCCACTTTTTTTAATGCCATCGGTTTATTAAAGAAATATATAATCATTGCAAATATATGTTTTTAAAAAAAAGACAAAATAAAAAATTATTCATAATTCCCCAGCTCAAAGATAAATACTATTTACATTTTAGTGAATATCTTTTTAGTTTATAGATATATTATAAATTTATTATACATATTGTTTTGATACCTGATTTTCCTCACTGTGTTATTGGTCACTTTTGATTTAAATGAATAAAAATTTACAGCAATATTTACAATGGCTATTTTCTATGTGACTATACCATAAGTCATTTAACCAGTTCCCTAATGATAAACATTTAAATTGTTCCTATGTATCTTTATGGTAAGTGACGTGGTTAATTACTTTATCAAATCATAATGTGAGATCATAATGATCACCTCTTTTCTATTAATTTGCATTTCATCTGATATTAAATCAATGGCTTCCACTGAGTCACCACATGTGACTCTGTATAAACTCAAAAGCCTTATTTAAAGATTTTTCATTCCTAATCTAAGAAAGAGAAATCTGCCAGAATTTAGGGAATGATGCAATCTCATCCCCTTCTAGGAGGAAATTTATATTTATTATTTGAGATCAGCATCTTTTCAAATAAATTTTTAAAATGAAAACCTTACACTTTTGCTAAAAGCACATTAAAGATTTTAATCAGTAAGCACATATTTGAAGAGAATAAGGATACATAATTTCTAAAGAAAAAGTCTGAACTCATACACTGAAATGGCTTA
Organism: Homo sapiens; assembly: GCF_000001405.40. NCBI lineage: Eukaryota > Metazoa > Chordata > Mammalia > Primates > Hominidae > Homo > Homo sapiens. The sequence continues at coordinate 52,662,612 of NC_000014.9, forward strand.
TTCAACAAACCATTCTTCATATTACAGATGGGGTAGGGTTTTTGTAAATTTTAATTTTACATCCCCTCTGGCATCTACACAGTGCCTAGCAGGTAGTAAATGGCGGATAATCATTTGCTGAAAGAACAACTGGCTTTCACTATTGTAGACAAGACCATTAAATGAAGAGAGCAATTTTCACTGATCATGTATCTAACAAACTACTCCATCTATTATGTGTCAGGCTCTATATAGAGAGATAAAACAGATAAATGCTACCCATATGGCAGAGTACTAGGGTAGATCGATAGATACATAAATAATAATAAAATAATGCTACACAGTGGGAAAGGCCGTAAGAGGAAAACAAGTAAAAACAAACGCATGCATCAGATTACTTCATGAGGAGGGAGAAATACTTCTGGTTACAAGGACCAGGGAAAGTTTTATGGAAAAAGCAGCATTTGAGCCAGACCTTGAGTGAAAACAGAATATTAAAAATGTTATTAAGATATAAAGACATGTAAAGTTGAAATCAGATGCCCAATATTTGCAATAATTTCAAGTTTTAGAAAAAATTTGAGAGTTTGGGATATTTATTTATCTGTGGGATTAAAAAACTGACATTTTACTATGTCTGCAAAAATATATAGAATAAATATATATCCTAATCTTTATTTTTTGATAATCTAATACCAGGAACTTCATTATAAAAATACTTTTTACTGGCCAGGGGCAGTGGCTCACACCTGAAATCCCAGCACTTTCGGAGGCCGAGGCGGGTGGATCATGAGGTCAGGAGATCGAGACCATCCTGGCTAACACGGTGAAACCTCATCTCTACTAAAAATACAAAAAAATTTGCTGGGCGTTGTGGCGGGCGCCTGTAGTCCCAGCTACTGAGGAGGCTGCGGCAGGAGAATGGCGTGAACCCGGGAGGCGAAGTTTGCAGTGAGCCAAAGTCACGCCACTGCACTCCAGCCTGGGTGACAGAGCGAGACTCCATCTCAAAAAAAAAAAAAAAATACTTTTTACTGAAGTACAAATAATTTAAGCACCAATCTCTGCAAGCGTGAGGCATAACTCTATGGAAACAGGACTGTGGATTATATGACTTCAACTGTTACTGTCATTTATCTTGCCTTCCCCTTCCTTTGAATTAAAGTTCCCTGGCTGAGAAATAATATAACAACGCAAATAAGTAATTTACCTTGACCAGAAGCCAAAGGATTTAAAGGTCTTTTAATTGTCTGTGGCCTAGAAGTAAAAAGAATTAAAAATATCAACACAAATATGTTACCAATCATGTTATATTTAAGTGATATTATCTCAGAAAACTGCTTAATATCCAAAATCAAATTGTTTTATTGAGATTATAAAACACTTAGTTTCCTCTAATTGCTTTAAGGGAGGGTGGCTATTTGTTGTAGTGATAATAGTTCCTGATCTTCTCCCATTGTGGCGGCCAGCAGGCCATTTCCTAATCACTTCTTCAAACAAAAGAAGAGAAAATATCAGCCAAGCTCTTCTCTCGGAGTCACTACTATGTTTTTATATATATTATATATACATATCTATGTATATGTGTGTGTGTATGGCACAAAGTGTACCCCTAAATGAAAGACAAATAAGCAAAAAATATTCAATATAAGCATTAAAATTTAAAAATGGAAAAAAAATAGTGTAGATTATTTTCCACTTAGGTAATCTTTAGACACATCAATTTGCCCTGTAGCTAAGTTTGTTACAATTTAAATAAAAGTTGTTTGTTCAGTAGGAAAAAACAGAAATTTTCTGGAGAGTTACTATGTCATTAAAGTGCTTTTAAATCCCAAAATAAATACGCGTTAGTATTAATAGTAAACTATAGGGATTGTTTTAACATCTATTTTAAAAATTTGCAAAACTGGAGACATTTTGAGAACAGAATATGTAAGCTGTATTTTAAAATACACAATATAATTAACTTAGCCCTTTATACATTGTTTATATTGTTAGAAATTATGGGAATCAGGACACAAATTAGTAAGAAAATGACTACAAAAGTAATACAAATCTAACAAATGCTTCATGGATTCTTTTATTATTTTTCTTTGAGACAGAGTCATTCTTTTTTTTTGAGACGGAGTCTCACTCTGTCACCCAGGCTGGAGTGCAGTGGTGCAATCTGGGCTCACTGCAAGCTCCGCCTCCCGGGTTCACGCCATTCTCCTGCCTCAGCCTCTCGAGTAGCTGGGACTACAGGTGCCCACCACTACGCCCGGCTAATTTTTTGTATTTTTAGTAGAGACGGGGTTTCACCGCGTTAGTGAGGATGGTCTCGATCTCCTGACCTCGTGATCCGCCCGCCTTGGCCTCCCATTCTTAATTCACACTAAAAATAACAACAACAGGGCCGGGCGTGGTGGCTCATGCCTGTAATCCCAGCACTTTGGGCATGGTGGCTCACCCCTGTAATCCCAGCACTTTGGGAGGCCGAGGTGGGTGGATCACCTGAGGTCAGGAGTTCAAGAACAGCCTGGACAACATGGTGAAACCCCGTCTCCACTAAAAATACAAAAATGAGCCGGGTGTGGTGGCGTGTGCCTGTAGTCCCAGCTACTCAGGAGGCTGAGGCAGGAGAATCGCTTGAACCTGGGAGGCAGAGGTTGCGGTAAGCAGAGATGACGTCACTGCAGCCTGGGCAACAGAGTGAGACTTCATCTCAAAAAAAAAAAAAAAAAACCTTTAAAGTAAATCTTTAAGTCAGTAAATCAAACATTTCTAATAATAGTCAAGATAATTTAAATAAAATACATGGCAGAAATAAGTAATTAATAAAAACTCTCTACTTTCCAAACTGGAGAAATTCTTCAAGTCAAAAAAAAAAACACCACAGTCTGACATTTTATTGGTGTAAGCACAATTACTGATCTCATACTTATATTTGACTTATAAAAAGTGAAATATATAATATTATCCCCATATTTGGGAACTCCAAAGACTTTCCCAGAACTCTCTCCATCTCTAAGACAGCATAATGTGCTCGCACATACATTGATCCCAAAACCAGTGAGTACAAAGTTTAGCACCTCAAGACTTACGTGTGAGTAACCTGAAGCATTTCTCAGATACCCAGTGATCAGCAACTGCCTCCAGCCTAATGGTTACCCCGTACAAAGCGGGCTCTTTCACTTACTAGATCTTTGACACTGAACAAATCATTTAACCTCTCTAAGTCTCAGTTTCTCTGTCTATAATACAGTGATGACTGCAACACAGGGTTATTGCAAGGACTGAAGAAGAAAATGTATATAACATGCTTACCACAATGCCTAGAATACAGTGAGTGCTCAAAAATGATACCTATTATAATTGTTCTCTGAAATCAATTTAACTGTAAAATAATTAAAGCCACAGACAAGGGTGTACAGAGCACCAAAAAGAGAATTAAGAGTTGTATATTCTTTTCTCTACACTGCCACTGTGTGATCTTGGGAAATGAAGCAAACCTCTCCAGCTCTAGGTTACCTTAACTATAAAATGAGATCCTATAATCGACTCAAGGAACATTTGTCAAGGGCCTACAATACTCCCATAAAGGTCTAAAGGAAAAATCTGTGGAAACTCACGTCTATATATTTCCCCAGAAGGAAACTGGATTAATGAATAGTCATGTTTCCTTGTACAAACACATCTTTTAACAAAGTGAATTTGATTTTTAATTTTAAATCATTATGATTTTGTTTATAAAGAGAAATCACCACATCTTATAGGAATTTTTCTAAATGAAAATGACACATACTTAAAACAGTTTTCTTCGTAGATGACATTCCATATTTTCCAAGCATCTGGTCCCTTGTAACCAGTGTAGCGCTCAGGATTAAGAAGCAAATCTACATATTCAGCTTCAGGGGACTGAATGTCTGTAAAATAAAATGTCTTATTAAACCTTTCTTATCCTCAGTTACCTTAAAAAGCTACTACACAAGACTGTATTCCATTGATTCTAACGCACCACAAATATAACAATGTGTCAGGAATTTTAAAACAACTTTTCAGGAGAAACAAAGGAAGGAGGCCGGGTGTGGTGCCTCACACCTGTAATCCCAGCACTTTGGGAGGCCAAGGTGGGCGGATCACTTGAGGTCAGGAGTTCGAATCCAGCCTGGCCAACATAGTGAAACCCTGTCTCTACTAAAAATACAAAAATTAGCCGGGCGTGGTGGTGCACGCCTGTAGTCCCAGCTACTCGAGAGGCTGCAACAGGAGAATCACTTGAACCCGGGAGGCGGAGGTTGCAGTGAGCCGAGATTGCGCCACTGTGCTCCAGCTTGGGTGACAGAGCGAGACTCCGTCTCAGAAAAGAAAGGAAGGAAAAGAGAGAGAAACACACACAGCCACATTAATTGTACACACTGGCTACAAAAACATTATGATTTAGGAATTGTAAAAATAGGAATACGTGAATTTTAGAATCAAAGAAACATGGTAATTCAATTATCATAAGCTATTCAGACAAAGAATATAACATACATTTCCCTCCACATTAACCACAGCAGTTCATCAATAACTACAGTAAATGAAGGAGTGTTAGTATTGTACACTGCGTGTTACCAAATACTTTCTTCTTAGATGACCACCAGCAGATCCAATCTGGCCAAAAGCAAAAGTTACAATGCAGCATGATTCTGTGTCAACATTATTTATAAAAGGGAAAATTGGAAGCAACCTAAACATCCAACATCACAGAACAGCCAGAGCATGGGCTCTGGAGCCAGAACACCCAGGCTAGAATCCAGACCCTGTTACTTATTTATCATTTATAATGTGTTATAACTTCAAAACAAAAAAGATGGTCGGTCCCAGGGTGGGCACGATGGTTCATGCCTGTAATCCCAGCATTCTCGGAGGCCTGGGGGCAGACTGCTTGAGCCCAGGAGTGATTCTAAAATTCACAGGCAACCTGGTGAAACACCAGGCATCAATAAAAAATACAAAAATTAGCCAGGCATCATGGCACGTGCCTGTGGTCCCAGCTACCCAGGAGGCTGAGGTGGGAAAGTCACTTGAGCCCAGGAGGTCCAGGCTGCAGTGAGCCGTGATTGCACCACGGCACTCCAGCCTGGGCAACACAGTGAGACTGTGTCTCAAAAAAAGATGGGCCATAGTCCTCCAGTGGCTTTGGGAAATTATTTGGTACTATAATAATACTTTATTCATATATAAAGCTTAACAGTATGAGCCAACAAAGAATTAAAAAGTGGACAAAAACGGTCTCAATGCAACCAAAGTCAATAACAAAAATATGAGCACAAAAGTGCTTAGAGTCCATCAAGCTCTCAACTATACCTATTTTTATTATTAAAAAAAAACCACAAAAACAAAAAAAAACCCTAAGCTTGGTTATTTTTTACTCCAATTCACAGTATATTAGAAGCATAAATTAGGGGGAAATTTGCTTCTAGAAGCAGTACAATGACGGCATCTTAAAATAGCAGAGTTCAATGCAGAAGTGGCAATTAAAATAACTAGAAAAACAAAATATAAGGACTTAAAAAACAAATTAGCATGGAATCATCTAGTTCAGGAATGGATAACTGTTCATTTCAATTAATACTAAAGGCAAGTGCCACATATAAATTATAATAAATTCATTTTTTAAACCCTGATGTTTAAAATATATAAACAGCAGGCCAGGCATGGTGGCTCACGCCTGTAATCCCAGAACTTTGGGAGGCTGAGGCGGGTGGATCACATGAAGTCAGGAGTTCGAGACCAGCCTGACCAACATGGAGAAACCCCATCTCTACTAAAAATACAAAATTAGCCGGGCATGGTGATGCATGCCTGTAATCCCAGCTACTCGGGAGGCTGAGGCAGGAGAATCGCTTGAACCCGGGAGACAGAGGTTACAGTGAGCTGAGATCACACCATTGCACTCCAGCCTGGGCAACGAGAATGAAACTCTGCCTCGGAAAAAAAATAAAAATAAAAATGAAATAAAATAAAATACATAAACAACGGTCAGTATCCAGGACTTTGAGAAAACTAACCACCAAGAAATGATTAAATTTTTAAATATTCTACCTAGAGATAAACATTTGTTGCCTCATAATTCTACTTATTATAAATACTTCATTCTTCTTCAAGCTTATAAAAAATAAATATTACTATATTATTATATTACAAATCTTATAATTATACTATAATTATAATTATAATTATACAATTATATTTGAAGTAATACTATAATTATATTAAATATTACTATAATTATATTTGTGCCAAGAATTTTTATGATGCGCTGGTTCCTATCACTGAATAGAACCTGAAGTTTTTCATAGAAAACTAGTCAAACATGTTTTGTAAAATCTAAGAAAAGACATTTAAGAGCCCATTTGGCCCTTATAGGAAAATGCCAATATCCAGCCCTAGAAGCAGAAAACATGCGTTCTGCAAAACCTATATGATATGCTGTTTTCTATCACTGAATAGAACCTGTTTTTGACAAAAGCTCAAATTTCCAATTAGGATTTTAAAAATACTTTCTATATTTCACGTACCATTTACATCCATTATTTATTCCTGCTAAAGCTTTCTTTAAAATATTCAGCTTTTTTTAACAGAAGACACTAATACAAATGGGCAAGTGATTCACCAAACTCTACCATATAAGAAATGAATCATTGATTCTCACCTGGTGCTGCACATTGTAGTCACAAAAGGATGTTAATTAAGGTTAAAATATTACCATCCTTTTTCTAACAGTGGAGGACTAAAAAAAATTATAGCTGCATACTATAAATTTAGTTTTATCTCACAACAATATTTAAGGTAAAAAAAAAATCCTTGTAGAAAAGATGGCAAAATAAGGGAGTTGGGAGAACATCTTATCCCCTTCCTTCACTAGTCCAAATCTTGATATAGGTCTATACCCCTCATCCAACATGCCTGGGACCATGCGTGTCTCGGCTGGAATGAACTTTCCAGATTTTACAAAGGTAATACAGTACATGCAACATATATCGCATATTACTCCAGCTGGACCTGGGGGAGCAATCTTTATTCAAACACGTAAATATTTCTACAGTGAAACATATACTCACACTAAATGAGCCTCTGCTAAACGCAGGGGGAGAAATGTTCAGTTTTCAGAGTTTCCAGATTTTAGAATTGGAAATAAGGAATTATAACTAAGTATATACCAAAACATGGCTACGGTTTCCATTAAGGAAAGCAATTTTCCCCAAAAAGAAGCCACAAAATTAAAAATACTTTCTCTTTTATGGAGATTGTAGGCTGCATCTTTGGCTTATAATTAAAAGAATTTATATCACTGTTTTCACTAATTTTTTGTTGTGTTGTTTTGAGAAAGGGTCTCACTCTGTCCTAGGCTTGGAGTACAGTGGTGCAATCAGAGCTCACTCCAGCCTCAACCCCCTGGATCAAGCAATCCTCCCACTCCCCGAGTAGCTGGGACTACTGGCACACACCACCAGGCCTGGCTAATTTTTGTATTGTTTGTAGAGACAGAGTTTTGCCATGTTGCCCAGGCTAGGCTCAGCAATCTTCCCTCCTTGGCCTCCCAAAGTGCTGGGATTATAGGCATAAGCCAACAAGCCAGGCCCGTTTTCACTAATTTTTGAAAGAGCGTTAGTCCACTAGAAAAGAGCCACAGAAGAATACCAAGACTCAATTTGATTTATTTTTTTTAGTGAATTAAGAGGCTAACAATTCAACTTAGAAAAAGGAAATACTAGAAAAAGGAAGAATTGGAAAATCTATACATCTTGATCAGAGTTGTTTTTTTGGTCTTTTGTTTTTTTGAGACGGAGTCTCGCTCTGTCACCAGGTTGGAGTGCAATGGCACAATCTCAGCTCACTGCAACCTCTGCCTCCTGGGTTCAAGTGATTCTCCTGCCTCAGCCTCCTGAGTAGCTGGGATTACAGGCATGAACCACTGTGCCACGATCAGAGTTTTAATGAATCTGGGGCTCCTAGCTTTTAACAGCAGCAGCACTCTGGCTTAACTTCAGACATCACAGACTCGACTAACGGTTCAATATTCACTTCTCCAAAAGCAACACGGACCATCATTAAGGAATATACATAACAATCCAACAGCAATGTAACTGAAGCAGATTTTTGTAATCCCTAAATTTTAGCTATTTATACAAAATGTATATACAAAATTATATAAACCACAAGCTACATAGAACTGCAAAACTTAAGAGGTACATTTTTTCTAGAAACTGAGTTTTTTTAACTGTAATAAAATTGATATAATAAAATTTACAGTTTAACCACATTTAAGTATACAATTCAGTGGGATTCATTATATTCACAGTGTTGTGAAACCATCACCACTATCTGTTGCCAGAACTTTTCCAGCACCTCAAACAGAAACTCTGTAACCTTTTAGCAATAACGCCTACCCACCCCAACCTCTGATAATCTTTAATCTACTTTCTGTCTCCATGAATTTGCCCATTGTTTACATTTCATATAAGTGAAATCATTTATACTTGTCCTTTGGTGCCTGACCTATTTCACTTAGCATGTTGTCAAGATCCATCCGTGTTGTAGTATGTACCAGAACTTCATTCCTTTTTCTGGCTGAATAGTATTCCATTGTGTGTTTTATATACCACATTTTGTTTATCCATTCAAACAGTACTGGACAATTGGGTTGTTACCACCTTTTGGCTATAATGAACATTGCTTTGCCATCTGTTTGAGTCCCTGTCTTTAATTTTTTTGAGTATATACCTAGAAAAGGAACTGTTATGTCATATGGTAATTCTACGTTTAGGTTTTTGAAGAACCGCCAAACCGTTAGAAACTGAGTTTTTTTCTTTAATAACTTTTTTCTGAGATGGGTCTTACTATGTTGCCCAGTCTGGATTCAAATACCTGGGCTCCAGTGATTCTCCTGCCTCAGCCTCCAGATAAGCTGGGACTACAGGCACACCACCATGCCCAGATTAAAATAATTAAAAACTTTTTTTTTCTTAGGTATAATTTTAAACACAATGCATACTATCAAAAATATTATACCATCAGCTTCACAGAAGTTATCTGAAGAATCATCATGCTTGGTCCACTGAAGAACAGCCTTCTGTGTTTCCTCACTTCAAACAAAGAAAAAAAATAACATTATTATTTTTAAGTTAATATGTAACATAAAGAAACATGAAATACTGCTGAAAAATAAAATCAAACCTCAGAGATTCATCCACTGCTCCAAGTCGTTCAGCTTGTTCACATTCTTCAATGAGATTATTGGCTTCTTCAGAATACTAAAATGAAAAAGGGAATAAATAGATAATAACTTATTGCATTTTTAAAACTTGTTTAAAATTTAGAAGTTATCTGAAGCTCTTTTTATTTTTTTTATTTTTCCAATATGTTCTTATTGCTTTTAATTTTTCATAAAATTGCCCATAATCAGGCCAGGTACGGTGGCTCACGCCTATAATCCCGGCACTGTGGGAGCCCGAGGCAGGTGGATCACCTGAAGTCAGGAGTTTGAGACCAGGCTGGCCAACATGGTGAAACCCTGTCTCTACTAAAAATACAAAAAATTAGCAGGGCGTGGTGGCAGGCGCCTGTAGTCCCAGCTACTCGGGAGGCTGAGGCAGGAGAATGGAGTGAACCCAGGAGGCAGAGCTTGCAGTGAGCCGAGATCACGCCACTGCGCTCCAGCCTGGGCGACAGAGTAAGACTCCGTCTCAAAAAAAAAGAAAAAACATTCTCTCTTTAGGTAAATATGTGGAAATACTTTAGCCCAAATATTTTCACAAGTTCTATTCTTTTGCCCCTAAAGTACATTTCTACAATAAATATTTTAAGACAAAACATCAAATAAGTTGTCTCTATGTTTTCATTATTTTAAATGTTTTGACAAATTTAAAGCCTGGGTGTGGTGGCTCATGCCTGAAATCCCAGCACTTTGGAAGGCCAAAGTGGAAAGTTTGCTTGAGGCCTGGAATTAAAGACCAGCCTGGGTAATACAGCAAGACCCCATCTCTACAAAAAAAAATTTTAATTAGCTGGACATGGTGGCATGTGCCTATAATACTAGCTACTCAGGAAGTTGAGGTGGCAGGATTGCTTGAGCCCAGGAGTTCGAGGTTACAGTGAACTATATAATCTTACCACTGCATTCCAGCCTGGGCAACAGAGACAGACCCTGTCTCTGACCAAAAAAAAAAAAAAAAACAAAAAACAAACAAACAAAAAAAATTTGGTCAAACTTAGATACTATGAAATTGTAATCCTCAATTTCATTACATCTCAGATCAGAATATAAATGTATCCAATTCAAAGCAGAGTTCTATCAAGAAGATATTCTTGCCACAAATGGAGATACTCCCAAACACATTTATAACATTTCAGAATACAATTTCTGAATCATATTAAACACCATTTGGACTTTCCTCATTTAATGTGTTTGATTTCTCTCTACTTTTTGTAGGTATAAATTTAAAGGCCTTTGTTTACAAGCTTTGTTATAATGATTTTTTTTTTTCTTTGAGAAAGGGTCTCGCTCTGTCGCCCAGGCTGGAGTGCAATGGCATGACCACAGCTCACTCCAGCCTCAACCTCCCAGGCTCAAGCAATCTTCCCCTCTCAGTCTCCTGAGTAGCTAGGACTACAGGTGCACACTACCATGTATGGCTAATTTTTTAAATTTTTTTAGATACAGGGTTTCACCATGTTGCCCAGGCTGGTCTTGAACTCCTGGTCTCAAGCAGTCTGTCTGCCTTGGCCTCCAAAAGTGCTGGGATTACAGGCATGAGCCACCACATCTAGCCATTTTGCCATAATTGCAATTTGCTAAACCTTAACAGCTAAACTTTGTTTCTTCTTTATGCATTCCATTCATTGATACTTATTTTTCACTGATTTAGAACAAATTGCAATAAAAACTTAGAGGGTTCATTTATTAAAAACCAATCAATACTACTGAGAAGCTCTTGGGTTGTTTTACAAATTAGTTCTTCGAAGCCTCAAAACATTTATAAAATCTGATTGATAATAGACAGCAAAGTAAGTACTATCATACTAAAACCATACCAAAGTAAATTTTTTCAGCATCAGCTTCATCTCAAAAATTTCACAATCATAACTTAGTATATATATAAATCACATACTAATTTTAACAATTACTCCTTTTTTTTGAGACAGGATCTGGTTCTGTCACCCAAGCTTAAGTGCAGTGGCACAGACTTGGCTCATTGCAATCTCTACCTCCAGGACTCAAGCAACCCTCCCACCTCAGCCTCCTGAGTAGCGAGGACTACAGGTGCATGCCACACACTCAGCTTATTACCACTTCTATCTTAACTGGTAAAATATCACAGCTTGTGTGGACACAATTATGAATTATTTGTATATTTTTATTACAAATGCCATTTGTTTCATAGATTTCTTGATTTATTAAGGACACTGGTTTTTACCCAGAACATTGCTGTTATAAAAATTTATATGTGTACTACCACAAACAAATATTTTATCTTCAATTTTGAGCTTTAACTGAATTTACACTAGCATTCACAATAGTGACAAATGTTTTCCTTCAACAGAATGAACTTCCAAAAGTTTTACTTTCAGTCTATCGATTAAATGAAATAAATCGAACAATTTTTTTTTCTCTGTCTCCCAAGCTGGAGTGCAGTGACATAATCATAGGTCACTGTAACCTGGACATTGGGGCTCAGCCTCCTCCTGTCTCAACCTCCTGAGGAGCTAGGACTATGGGCATGCACCACCACACTTGGCTAATTTTTTTTTAGTTTTTATTTGTAGAGATGGGGTCTCACAATGTTGCCCAGACTGGTCTTGAACTCCAGGCTTCAAGCAATCCTCACATGGTGGCCTCCAAAAGCACTGGGATTACACAGGCATGAGCCACTATGTGCCCAGCCTCAAGCAATTTGTTAAATGAAATTATTTTCTATTTGAAATAGTTGATAATGACACCATTTAACTATGTGCAAAGTTCTTCTGCCACTGGAACCAAGTGAAAAGCTATTAATTCATTCTTTGACTCTGTGTGTGTACAAGAAAACATGGAATTAAAAATGAGCAAAATTAGTTTAGAATCTATGATGGAAAATGTTCAAAACAGTGGTTGCCTCTGAAGAAGGAGTGTGGTTTGAATGGAATGGGTATGAGGAAACTTTGCAGGATAATGCTAACATTCTATCTCTTAATAGAAGCCTAGGTTACACAGGTATATGCATTTGTCAACATTCAGCAAATGCACACTTAAGATTTGCACATTTCATTGTATGGTAATACTTTTATTAAAAGCACATATAAACAAATATTGGACTCTAGTTAATAATATACTTCTACTTACATAAATCCATCTAGCTAATGACTTATTTAGGAGGAGGTATACTGATGCCAGCAATTTACTTTGAAATGCATCCGAAAAATAAGATGTTCTAATGGATGGCTACAAGGATGGACAGATGAACAGACATGTGGTAAAGTGAGTTTATTAAAATGGTGGAATCTAGGCCGGGCACGGTGGCTCACACCTGTAATCCCAGCATTCTGGGAGGCCGAGACAGGTGGATCACTTGAGGTCAGAGGTTTGAGACCAGCTTGGCCAACATGGTGAAACCCCGTCTCTACTAAAAATACAAAATTAGCTGGGCATGGTGGCGCATGCCTGTAATCCCAGCTACTCGGGAGGCTGAGGCAGGAGAATTGCTTGAACCCGGGAGGCAGAGGTTGCAGTGAGCCAAGATCGCGCCATTGCACTCCAGACTGTGGACAACAAGAGCAAAACTCCGTCTCAAAAAAAAAAAAGGTGGTGGAATCTAGGTTACGGGTATAAGAATGTTCAAGGGAAAATTCCTTTAACTCTGCTATATTTTTAATTTTTCATAATAAAATAATGGGAAATTTTAATTTAAAAGTTATTTAGTCTAAATGAAAAGTCACATATCACAGAATGATATGTAAATGTACTCTCTGCAGCTGCACGTTAAATTGTTATCTTTAGACACAGTCTTCTTAAAATAAGTAGTAATAATTGCAATTTGCTAAATCCCCTTTTTTTTTGAGACAGGGTCTCACTCTGTCTCCCAGGCTGGAGTACAGTGGTGAAATCACAGCTCTCTGTAGCCTCGACCTCCCAGACTCAAGGGATCCTCCCACCTCAGCCACTTGGGCAGCTGGGACTACAGGCACACATCCTCATGGCTGGCTAATTTTTGTAGAGATGGGGTTTTGCTATTTTGAGAACAGGCATGTGCCACCACAACTGTATTTTTTGTAGACACGGGGTTTCACCATGTTGCCGAGGCTGGTCTCGAACTCCTGGGCTCAAGTGATCCTCCCACCTCACCCTCCCAAAGTGCTGGGATTGTAAGCATGAACTACCATGTCCATCCTTGCTAAACCTTTAAAAGCTGACATTTTTTACAAATTTGTTGCAAAGTAGACACTGAGGCTTTATCAGCAGATTTCTGTGTTTTGATTTTCATATGGCCAGTGTTATTTTTATGGCCTTTAGGAATAGTGAATGATGATCTTTTGTGCAAGTTACATATCATGATGAACTATCAGGAGAAATGGAAATTCAATATTTTACTTTTCATAAAACATGCACTTCCTTTTTCCTTTTTATTTCAGCCAAAAGGATTCATTGCAAAATAAAAAGAGCATTACCAAACCATAAAATAACTACACAGTTATCAATTTATCAATAAAGGATAAAACTACCACAGCAAGACTATTCTCTCTATGTAGGATTGCTCGGTTTCTATTTATTTACCATGTAATTTCACAGGTTTCCCATTAACTAGTCAAAAGGCAGACTGGCAGCTTAGTAATATTGTGGGTATGATACAGGCCACAGCACAAATGGCTACTAAGTCCAAGAGACCAAGAGGGGCAGCAGTATGCAACACCTTCCCCGTGCTTCCCAAGGCTGTAAGGAGGCAGCTGTCCCTAGTCATTTGTGTCTGAGTGTAATTATTTTTCAGCAAGCACCTAGTATACTGTGCTTGAGACAAAGATTTAGTTTCTTTGCATCTAGAAAATCAGAAGAAGGATACGTTCTTGTTGGTCATCTTTGTATTAAAGTCAGAACTCTATTTAGCATACACATATCAAATAAGAGAGAAGACAACAGAGGAAGATGGAAATACAAAGTATTTGGCTGAGTGTCGTGGCTCACACCTGTAATCCCAACCCTTTGAGAGGCCGAGGTGGGTGAACAGCTTGAGTCCAGGAGTTCGAGACCAGCCTGGGCAACATGGTAGAACCCCCCTATCTACCCCAAAAAAAAAAAAAAAAGTATTTGTCTACCAATTCCATCCCAACCTATTTTAATGCAACTGTTAATAATATTTTATTTAAAACCAAGAAACTCAGAAAAAATGATAAATCAGAAAGGATGTCAGGACAACAGGTATAAGCCAGTTCTGTTCCAGACAAACCCTGGCATATGGTCACTCTATTTACTTCTTGTTGCTTTATAGGGGCTTTGGCCTTTTCTCAGGAGAAATGGGCACGAAGGAGGATTTTAAACAGAGAAGACAGATAATCTCATGTTTTAAAAAAAATCACTTTGGCTAATGCAACCAGGTAATAATCATCAAGGCTGCTAAAACTTTTCAGTGAAAAGCTATTAGGGAGCTTTAAGATGAATGTATAATGAAGCTAGTGATCAATCTTAACATCAAGAAAAAAGAGAAAGGCAGAGATTATATGTTGGTATAACACAATAGTAAGTACACAGTAACTCCTATATATATAATATATATCAAAAAAATGAATCTGAATCTGATAAATCCCCACTGACGGACAGTCTACAAAATGCACCTGACTAGTACTACTCAAAAACACCTTATCAGAAACAAAGAAAGACTGGGAAACTGTTACGGCTAAGAGAAGCCTAAGAACACATGACTACTAAATATAACATGGTGTCTTGGGTGGGATCCTAGAACAGGTAAAGGATATTAGGTAAAAATTAAAGAAATCTGGCCTGGTGTGGAGGCTCATGCCTGTAATCCCAGCACTTTGGGAGGCTGAGGGAGGAGGATCACTTGGTCAGGAGTTTCCACCCTGGGCAACATGGCAAGACTCTATCTCTACAGAATTTTTTTCTTAAAATTATCTATGCATGGAGGCATTTGCCTACACTCTCAGCTACTCGGAAAGCTGAGGGGAGAGAATCACTTTAGCCCAGGAGTTCAAGGTTACAGTGAGCTATGATCATGCCACTGCACTCCAGCCTGGACAACAGAGCCAGACCTTTTATCTTAAAAAAAAAAAAAAAAAAAAAAAAAATTAAAGAACTCTGAATAACATATGGACTTTCAGATACATTTTTTCCTCTATTTTTATTTATCTTTGATATTTTCTATAATAAAATGCTAAACAGGCCGGACGCGGTGGCTCACGCCTATAATCCCAGCACTTTGGGAGGCCAAGACGGGCGGATCACCAGAGGTCGGCAATTCGAGACCAGCCTGACCAACATGGAGAAAACCCGTCTCTACTAAAAATATAAAAATTAGCCAGGCATGGTGGTGAGTGCCTGTAATCCCAGCTACTCTGGAGGCTGAGACAAGAATCGCTTGAACCGGGGAGGCGGAGGTTGCAGTGAGCCAAGATCACGCCACTGCTCCATCTCAAAAAAATAAATAAAATAAAATACATAAAAAATAAAATGTTAAACAAAAACAAACAGAAAGAGAGCCATTCAGCATAAATACCTCTCAAGGGGTTTCACCACTGGAAGCAGATAAATGGGATAGTAGGTACAACGGAAATGGGTTTTTCAAGTTTTTCATTAAGATACTGGACACATCAATAGGTATACGTACACACCTTGTAGCTCGCAGATTTAATTCCATCAGGAACTTCATCCTGAAAAAGAAAAAAATATGTTTTTAGTTGGCATTTATTCTATCTTCTTAAAACATATCTTAAATTTCTGTGATTTATGAGAAAAATTCATATAACAAATTATCGAAGTTGGATTTTTTAACAGAATAGGTAGTATTCATATGATTGCTTAAAAGTAAATAAAAATTCAAGAACAAATTATTCTATGGATTGCTGAGCATACATTATGTATATTACAGCAAGGAGATGTAAAAATAATCATTTAGCCATTATCCCTTTTGATGTTCAAATTGTCCCGTATTTGGCCACTAGGAGATCCACTGAGTGCTGACTTGATATTGACACCTGTGTCCTTTTGCTATTACTCCAGTGGTCCTTAGTAGAATTGTTTTTGTTTTCTGTGATGGCCAGATATTCTAGATTCTTGGAACCTAGGGGTTTGGGTCATGGAGACAGATCTCTCATGAACCGCTTGGTGCCATCTCTGAGGTAATGAATTAATCTACTGGTTCTATTATCTAGAAGTAATAAGTTCTATTATCTAGAACAAATCTATTAGTTCACTCCATACCTGGCACCTCCTTGCTCTCTTGCTGTCTCTTGCCATGTGATATGACAGCTCCCTTTTTGCCTTCTGCCATGATTGTAAGCTTTAGGCCTCACCAGAAGCCAAGCAGACGCTGGCACCATGCTTCTTCCCCCTGCAGAACTGTGAGCCAAATAAGCCTCTTTTCTTTATAAATTACCCAGTCTCAGGTGTTCCCTCATAGCAATGCAAAATGGACTAACACATTTATGTTACTTTACCAGTCTCTTCCCCATCTCCTCATCTGCTATTCCACACTCCCCACAATACTGCCAGTTAACATTCTAACTCTGATCTAATCGTGGCATTTCTCTGCTAAGCTAACATTATCTGTATTTATAAACTAAGAATATTTTTAGATGGATAAATACCTTCCAATGATTTTTTTTTTTTTCAGATAGGGTCTCACTCTGTTGCCCAGGCTGGAGTGCAGTGGCAGATCTTGGCTCACTGCAACCTCCGCCTCCTGGGTTCAAATGATTCTTGTACCTCAGCCTCCCGAGTGGCACCCTGCTATGTCCAGCTCATTTTTGTATTTTTAGTAGAGACAGGGTTTCACCATGTTGGCCAAGCTGACCTCAAACTCCTGACCTCAAGTGATCTGCCTGCCTTGGCCTCCCAAAGTGATGGGATTATAGGCATAAGCCACCATGCCTGGCCTTCCAATGATCTTTTAAAGAAAAAAGCTTTTCTCCATCATAACATCAGTTCAAGAAAAAAACAAGTATTGCTGCCAGGTACAGCGGCTTATGCCCATAATCCCAGCACTTTGGGATGCCAAGGCGGGTGGATCATCTGAGCTCAGGAGTTAAAGACCCCAGTGGACAACATGGTGAAACCTTGTCTCTACCAAAAATACAAAAAATTAGCTGGGCATGATGTGTGCCTGTAGTCCGCCTGTAGTCCCAGGTACTCAGGAGGCTGAGGTGAGAGGACTGCTTAGGCCCAGGAGGCAGAGGTTGCAGTGAGCCAAGATCATGCCACTGCACTCCAGCCTGGGCAACAGAGTGAGACCCTGTCTCAAAAACAAGCAAAAAACACAAACAAAAAAAAAAAAAAAAAAAAACAAAGTATTGGCATGAAAGGCATTCTGCCTTTCACTTCTTCCCAGCTCTGCAGAAGCTTAAAATTACTGGATCCTGACTCAATATTTCAGTGCAAATTGATAACTTCCACCTGATTCTTTTATAGCACTTCAATACATTCAAATCAAACAATAAATATATATTTAACATTTCTCAAATGCTAAAATTGGTTGTTTTCTCTTGGATTTACAATGAAATACATCTCATTCATCAGTCTGTCAACTGATGGAATCAATAAGCTATTATTTTATGCTACAGTATTTTCAGGGTTTCTGCTCCCTCCAATCTTCTTTTCCAAATGGTGTCCCCTAGTTCTACACTTCATCAATAATAATCAGAAATAATTGGTATCTCAAGATGAGATTTGACTTTGCAATAACTGTAAAGTATTTGTATTTTCTAATATTAATAAAAAGCTCATTTAATGAACAAGTATAATTAAACGCCTTTATTAAGCATCTACCATATTTCAGCATTTTTACTAATTCATATAATTAGGATATTGGTAAATGTCCCCAACTAATTTTTTCTATTACTAAATTACAAACGCAAAACTTAGAATACAAAATGTTTACACTGTTAATATCACTTTAATGATATGCTCATGCTTTAATAGTGACAAGGTGTTTCATAAATTAATCCTTTAATTTTCAATAAGTTGTATCTATATGAGGATTAATGTAACAAAAAACATGCTTCTCATTCTCATGGTAAAATGCCCATAAATAGTATATGACATTGGCCTTAATTCCACATGCTAGATAAGTCTGTGTAACAATATTTACATATGTAAAATTAAACCACCCAAAACCACAATACCACTTCACACCTATTAGGATAACTATTATCCAAAAGAATAGAAAGTAAAAGTATTGTCAAGAATGTGAAGAAACTGGAACTCTTGTACATTGCTGGTAGGAATGTAAAACGGTACAGCCACTGTTGAAGACAGTATGGCAGATCCTCAGAAAAAAACAAACGGAACTAACACATGATCCAGCAATTCCACTTCTAAGTATATACCCCAAAAAACTAAAGTAGGGACTCAAATAAATATTTGTGCATAGCAGCATTATTCACAATAGCAAAAAGGTAGAAATAACCCAAAAGTCCATCAACAGGTGACTATATAAACAAAACATAGTATAGGCATACAGTGGAATGTTATTCAGCGTTAAAAAGGAATCGAAGCTGGGCATGGTGGCTCACACCTGTAATCCCAGCACTTTGGGAGGCTGAGGCAGGCAGATCACCTGAGGTTACCAGTTCGAGACCAGCCTGACCAGCATGGACCAACATGGAGAAACCCCATCTCCACTAAAAATACAAAATTAGCTGGGCGTGGTGGCACACACCTGTAATCCCAGCTACTTGGGAGGCTGGGGCAGGAGAATCGCTTGAACCCAGGAGGCGGAGGTTGCAGTGACCTGAGATCATGCCACTGCACTCCAGCCTGGGCAACAGGGTGAGACATCATGTCAAAAAAAAAGGTCAACTTTATTTTAAAAGTAAAATAAAAAGATGTACTTAAAAAGGGAATAAATTGTCATTCAAAAATATTTTTAAAACTCTATTTTCACAGTAGGATACTTCAAATTTTAATGCTCCAAAAATTCCTAAGTAAAACCAGGTGTTTTGTCCACTCACACCCCAGGAAATCCAAGGCAAAAACACACCCGAAAAAAGAGGGGGGGAATTTTGTTTATACTTCGATTAATTTCATTTTATTATGCTATATATATAACTTGGTTCAGAAAAGATGTAAGAGGAAAATCAAATATCAGGCCAAAAGAATTATTATCAATCTCCCTAATAAGTCAAAGGATTATATTAACCACAAAATGTTAATTCTATTATTATGAAGGCAGTGTAATTCAAAATAGGTTTTATAAGTTTGGGTTTTTAACATATAAATATTGAATGTTATATTTAAACTAAGGACTGCACGATTATTTTAGTTTTATTGGCTGCCTTTAAAAAGTTGTAATGGGCTGGGTGCAGTGGCTCACACCTGTAATCCCAGCACTCTGGGAGGCTAAGGCAGATGGATTGTTTGAGCCCAGAAATTCAAGACCAACCTGGGCAACATAGTGAAACCTCATCTCTATTTTTTCAAAAAAAAATTCTTAAATAAAACAAAACAAAAAGTTATAATGAATGAAAAAACATGTAACAGTTTTTAAATGTATACATGGTTCTTACAGATTGACATGGTTTGACAGCACAGTCCCTTCTTCCACACTGGCTGATGTCATTCCAGAAAGGACACGGCCTCTTCAGGTTTACCTGTAAAATAATAATAGAAAAAAAATTATAAAAATCAGAATCCCAAAATTATAATTGACAGTTACAAATTATGGTGCTATAACTTGGTCATGTTATCAGGTGCAAATACAGTATTTCTTCCACCTATCTGTTGCCAGTTTATAACAACTGCATAAATGTGAGGCTGGTATAAGTAAATTGGTAGACTTGGTTAGAAAGACACAGACTGGGCCGGGCACAGTGGCTTATGCCTGTAATCCCAGCACTTTGGGAGGCCGAGGGGGGCGGATCACCTGAGGTCAGGAGTTTGAGACCAGCCTGGCCAACGTGGCGAAACCCCGTCTCTACTAAAAATACAAAAATTAGCGAGGCCTGGTGGCAGGTGCCTGTAATCCTAGCTACTCGGGAGGCTGAGGCAGGAGAATCACTTGAACCCAGGAGTCGAAGGGCGCAGTGAGCCAAGGTCATGCCACCACACTCCAGCCTAGATGACAAGAGCAAGACTTTGTCTCAAAAAAGAAAAAAAAGACACAGATTGGGCTGGGCAAGGTGGCTGGCGCCTGTAATCCCAATACTTTGGGAGGCCAAGGCAGGTGGGTTACCTGAGGTCAGGAGTTCAAGACCAGCCTGGCCAGCACGGCAAAACCCCATCTCCACTAAAAATACAAAAATTAGCCAGGTGTGGTGGCAGGTGCCTGTAATCCCAGTTACTTGGGAGGCTGAGGCAGGAGAATTGCCTGAACCCAGGAGGCGGAAGTTGGCAGTGAGCAGAGATCATGCCACTGCACTCCAGCCTGGGTGACAAAGCAAGATTCTGTCTCAAAAAAAAAAAGACACAGACTGCCACTAAATAGACCCTGAACAGATGGCAACTAGGAGCCAAAGTAGCTCGACTCACATTCTTTTCAAACAAGAAAGAGTTAACAGGTAGAGGATAGACAATTGTAAACTGACTACAACTAAATACTCCATTGATCAGGTTTTCTAAACTCTTCTAGTAGATATCTCAAGATAAAACAGCACAAGTGATTTGTTTAAATAATATAGGTCAGGATAAAGTCATGATTCTACAAAAAATATTTAATTATTTTAATTAATTGGAGCCAATCTGATGTTTTAGAAAATTATGATCTCACCATTTTGATAACAATATATAATAATTTCTGTCCTAACTTCAATTTAACCAACTAGATTCTAACTCTAGAGTGTAAAATTCAGTTATTAAAATTATCCAATGGATGGTTTCAGAATCACATGCTTCACTCTTATGAACTGAATTTTCTTAATAAAGCCTATATCAATTTTAAATAACAACTACAATTTTGAAGCTCAGTAATTCTTAAGAAAATCTAATTATCCATTTAAAGTATTCATATATAAAAAATTAAAATTAAAAATACCTTGTAATACCTAAAGTAGTCACTTTCAAGAAGTTTTTGTAGTCTTGGGAAAAGCCTGTAGTTATTAAATCTATCAATGGTTTCAACATCACAGGTACAATCATCCAAGTAACCACTAACCTGTTACAAAGAAAATGAAATATTAAATTGAAATGTCCTAAATGCAACAGGGTTCTTTTTCCTCACATGGTTGTTAGGAAACAGCCCCCTACTCAACCAGTCCTTATCCTCCCTCCTCCCACATAGTTTCTTGAGATGGGGTATGACAATAATCTAGTAATACTGCTGCTCTTGCTATATACCGAGGAATGGAAGGTGTGCAGAGCTCATGACACACACACACACACACACACACACACACACAGAGAGAGTTGGCCCCCTGGCAACCTTTATTTTGTAACTCTGCCCTCCAGGCCATAGTTGACCTGACCAAGGGTAGGCATCCAACTCAAACCAGGTCATGGTCCCCTCTCCAGGATCCTAGAATTGAGAATAACAGGGAAAGATGTCTCCCTGTGGCTAGACCAGTAAAACAAATACTCCATCATGTGAACTGAGGAGCACATGATCCAGTTGGCAAAGAGAGGAAAAGTTTTTAAAAGATACACAAAGCTTGATTGTCCTCGGAATTCTTGGGGGGCAAAAAAAGATACACAAAGAAGCAGAGGTAGGAGATAGAGTATATGCTACTTGGGTATCTGAGGGGTTTCCAGCTCCCACTTCCACTGTCCTTCCTGAGGCACAGCTGCATTCCCATCCTTAGCTTTCAGTAAGGATCTAACAATCCTCAAATATTGGGCTGTAACAATTTCTTAAAGGTTTGGAATGGTGCTTAGAAACCATTTATCATTAGTAACAATGAAACAGCAAACTGACCTCAAAGTCAATCCTGCTCTTCAAATGTTTAAAGCTAATGTCTTAATGGTATGTACTAAATCAAGCTACTAAATGCACATATCCTAGGATACAATGGTAATGATAATAAATATTATCAATTATGAAACTAGAATTCTTTTTTTTTCTTTTTTCACCAGTGTTACTTGCCAAATTAAACTAAAATTCTTAGATGTTTATTTGAGCTAGAAAAACATCTAATAGAACTAAAGATTGCTTTAAGAAACAAATATATCATGATTCCAAAAACAAAAACAAACTTAGGAAAAAACTGTTAAATATAGCATGCTCCAGAAAAGAGATCTTTATACTTTGGTCTAGATATCTGCATTTTAAACTACTTTGGATTATATTTTAGGAAGATCTATAGCCTAGAAATAAATAATTTAAAAATCTACTGATAAGGAAGCAAATCAATAATACTCTATTGAAATACTGAATTAAGATTCAGTATTTCAGAACACTGTAAAATCCTAAACTTTCTTTTGAGAATATCACAAAAGAGTAATGGAAATTTTTCACCTAAAAGAAATAAGAATACTTTGGATGACAACAGCAATATTCAAGAAGAACTTTTTACTGCTTTTCCCACTCTTACTTGTTTTGGACTAATTCAGTTTCTAGAAATCAGATCTACATATTTTGTCATGTAATAACTATTTTCATTTCATATGCAAATTTGTCCTTGTTTCCTACTAAAAATTCTCTGAATACACAAGAATCTCAGAGTCCTAATTTTGGATACCAACAACACAAAGTACTTCTAACCTAAATGATATGATTTTTCAAACTTTCTTTTCAACCTTAAGAGCAGAACTTCTAGGGACAAAAAATAGCTGTTTCTCCCCTTTGATATGAATTATTATGCAAAGAATGACAGACATAGAGACTGCAAAGGCCAAAGGGACATATGCAAAGTAGAGACATTAAGTTACAAAAAGAAACACATGAAAAACTTGAGAGCAAGTTTCAAGGCATCCATTCTTCCCCCTGAGGAATTCATTTTTAAGGTTAAAATATATCTTCAAGCCTCAGCTCAGTATCACCTTTTTCAGGAAGCTGTCCTTCCAGTACTCCTTACCACCCGCTGGGTTAAATGCCTCTCCCAGCTGCTCCCAAGACACTCCACACACTATTATCTAAGTATTACTGTACCTCACAGCAGTGAATTTATCTATTTTACCCCTGCCCACTAAAGTATAAAATCCTTGAGTGAAAAATCATATACTTCCAGAAAGCACACAGTAGATGCTCAATAATTATTTGTGGCCTGTAATCCCAGCACCCTGGGAGGCCAAGGCGGGAGGATCACTTGAGGTCAGGAGTTGAAGACCAGCCTGACCAACATGGTGAAGCCCCATCCCTACCAGAAACATAAAAATTAGCCGGGCATGGTGGCCCATGCCTGTTGTCCCAGCTACTTGGGCGCCTGAGGCAGGAGAATCGCTTGAACCCAAAACGCAGAGGTTGCAGGGAACCAAGATCACACCACTGCACTGCACTCCAGCCTCGGCAACAAAGTGAGATTCTGTCACAAATAAATTATTACTATTTGTGGAAGAGGTGGGTGAATGAATGAATGTTGTCCATTGTCACTCATCACTGGAGACCAGCACCATACTGTCTCATTAAACATATCTAGCACCATGTCACCTATGGTGTGCTCAGTGCCCCAGAGTACACAAGCACAGGAGGCAGAAACACACATAGCAAGTAAAGCAAGCAGCAAAGGTAAACACCTTTTGTGTCTATCATTCTTCCTATCTCTATCCTAATTACAAAGGAAGCTCTAAGAAGCCCCAAACCAGAAAGAAATGCAAAAATCCTCCAGAGCAGAGGTGGCATATAGCCAAGAGACCTCAAAGGGAAAGAAGGCAGGATAAATGGTAGATTGGTAGATTTTAAAATGTTCTTGGCCGGGCACAGTGGCTCACGCCTGTAATCCCAGCACTTTGGGTGGCCGAGGCAGGCGGATCACAAGGTCAAGAGATTGAGACCATCCTAGCCAACATGGTGAAACCCTGTCTCCACTAAAAATTCAAAATTAGCTGGGCATGGTGGCACATGTCTGTAGTCCCAGCTGCTCAGGAGGCTGAGGCCGGAGAATCGCTTGAACCGGGGAGGCAGAGATTGCAGTGAGCCAAGATCACACCACTGCACTCCAGCCTGGGTGACAGAGCGAGACTCCATCTCAAAAAAAAAAAAATGTCCTGCCCCTTCCTGAAATATGGAGTAGGAGATATTCTTAACTACAACCACAGGTAGCAGGGCTGCTAAGGGAGTATAAGGGTGGCAGGAGTTTCAATGGATGAAGACAGCTCAGTAAAGGAAAGACAAGAAGATTCTCGGAAATCCATGCCATCTGACAACTCAGATAAGCCTGCCAACCTGATCCCTGGGAGAGAGTCTGGCAAAGATGGTGGCAGGACCAGTTCTAGAAACCAGAGAACAAAGCATGTTACTAGAATAGAATCTCAGGCTCATGCCTGTAATCAGCACTTTGGGAGGCCAAGGTTGGTAGGTCTCTTGAGCCTGGGAGTCCCAGATCAGCCTGAGCAACATGGTAAAACCCTGTCTCAACTAAAACTACAAAAAAAAATTAGCCAGGCATGGTGGCATACGCCTGCAGTCCCCGCTGCTTAGGAGGCTGAGGTGGGAGGATGGCTTGAGCCTGGGAAGTCGAAGCTGTGGTGAGCTGAGATTGCACCACTGCACTCCAGCCTGGGCAATGGGAGTGAGACCCTGTCTCAAAAAACAAAAAAGAATAGAGCCTCAGGAAAGGGCTAAGGTAAAATACAGTTAATAGACACAGAACAGGATCCGGGAAACAAAGCAAAATCCTATTACCTCAACTAAGACCAAAGACAGGTGGCAACCTGGAACAGGGAGGACTGGATGTTGTTTCAGGATGTGCTAAGGCTGCCTAAATAACTACTACATGGAACAATGCGGGTAAGGGGGAAAATTACTACGCTATATCCCAAAGTAAAACAGAACTCTGACCTACCACAGGAATCTAAATTTTTTTAAATGCTAATGTGTTTTAAAGGTTAGTATCCTAACATTTGAGGCTAACTGCTCTAGGCTTCAAGTAATGATAGCTTTTGGTAGAGGGCCAATCTAATAAGCAGAGATAAGAAGGCCCCAGTTGAGGAACAGTAAATAGGAGGACCAAGGTAGGCCTGACAAGTAACATGGACCACTTCAAAATTCCAGCCTTCTGTTCCAGCATGGTGGCTCACACGTGTAATTCCAGCACTTTGAGAGGTGAAGGCAGGAGGGTTGCTTGAGAACAGGAATTTGACACCAACCTGGGCAACACAGTGAGGCCCTATCTCTACAAAAAAATAAAATAACTAGCCAGGCATTGGGTGCACATCTGTAGTCCCAGCCACTTAGGAGGCTAAGGTGGGAGAATCGCTTGAGCCAGGGAGGTTGAGGCTGCAGTGAGCCATAATCATGCCAATGTACTCCAGCCTAAATGACAGAGCAAGACCTTGCCTCAAAAAAATAGAAAAGAAAAAAAAAAAGTCCTAGTCTTTTAAGAGTTAGAAAGCCTTGGAAGGCTTTCTATTACAATCTCCCAAGCAAAACAGCAAATCCCTCCATTCACATCCCTCAAGGAACAGGTAGTGTGTAACAATAGTTAGCGTGTATGTTCTAACATCAGACCTCCTTAGGTTTGAATCCCATCTCTGCCAGTCATTAGTTTTTCACTTTATCCCAGCTATTTAACCTCTCTAGGCCTTGGTTTCTCATCTTAATAGAAAATAGTAATAGTTCTCATCTCAAAGAGTTGATACCAAGATAAATAGTACAAAGTAAATTGTCAGTACATGTTAATCATTATTATTACCCTACTTCTACTTAAATGCTTCCAATGAAAGGGAAGCATGTATTACTTCCCAAAGCAGCACATGGCATTTTCATAATGAATAAGAAAAATACAGCCGAATTTGCAGCTAAAATTTCCCAAAAATTTGACATCTGTAGCCCCAATGGAACAAAGAACTAGATAACCAACAGTTAGCTGTGGAGGGAGCCTCAATTACCTTCTCTGTTGACTCTGTTTGATTTGACCAAATGCAAAAGGCAGGATAAAGGAAAATTACCACGTACCGCTTGTTCACTACTCTCATGTCAGAGGTATCCTTTAATTTGCAATGAAAGACAAAACAACACTTTCTAAAGTTTTCTTGTATACCAATATATTCTAGTCTTATTATACATTACCATTTTATTTTTTCACACAAAGCACTATAAGAATATATTCCTCATATACTTTTTTTTTGAGACGGAGTTTTATTCTTATTGCCCAGGCTGGAGTGCAATGGTGCAATCTCAGGTCACTGCAACCTCTGCCTCCCAGGTGCAAGAGACTCTCCTGCCTCAGCCTCCCAAGTAGCTGGGATTACAGGTGCCTGCCACCATGCCCGGCTAATTTTGTATTTTAGCAGACACAGGGTTTCACCATGTTGGTCAGGCTGGTCTCAAACTCCTGACCTCAGGTGATCCACCCGCCTCAGCCTCCCAGAGTGCTGGGATTACAGGCATGAGCCACTGCGCCCGGCCCTCATATACATTTTTTATGAAATACCTTTTAAACATGCTCAAAGTGTGAATTAGGAAAGTGAAAGAAATAAAAGGTATCCAAATAAAAAATACGTAAAATTGTCTCTTTTTGCAGATGACATGATCTTATATATAGAAAATCCTAAAGACTCCACCAGAAAACCATTAGAATAAATTCAGCAAAATTACAAGATACAAAATCAACATACAAAAATCAATTGTGCTTCTATACACTAACAATGAACTATCCAAAAAAAAATTAAGAAAACAATTCTATTTAGAATAGAATGAAAAAGAATAAACTACTTAGGAATAAATTTAACAAGGAGAGGAACGATCAGTATGCTGAAAACTATAAAGCAGTGATTAAAAAAACTGAAGATTACACAAATAAATGGAAAGATATCCCATGTTCATAAATTGAGAGAATTAATATTGTTAAAAAGCCCATACCACCCAAAGTGTTCTGCAGATTCAATGCAATTTCTATCAAAACTCCAATGGCATTTTTCACAAAAATAGAAAAAAAAATTGTAAAATTTGGATGGAACAGCAAAAGACCCCAAGTAGCTACAGCAATTTTGCAAGAACAAACCTGGAAGCAGCCTACTTTGTAATTTCAAATTATATTACAAAGCTACAGTCATCACAACAGTGTTGTATCAGCATAGAAACACATACATAGACCAATGGAAAACAATAGAAAGCCCAGAAATAAACCCACACATGTCTGGCCAACTAATCTTTGACCAAGACCAAACAATGGGAAAGCACAGTCTTGTCAATAAATGGTGGTGGGAAAACTGGATATCCATGTGCAAAAAAATGAAATTGGATCTTTATCTTACAACACACACAAAAGTCAACTAAAAGCTGATTAAAGACTTAAATGTTAGCCCTGAAACACCAAGACTCCTAGAAAAAAACATAGGAGAAAAGCTCCATGACATTAGTCTTGGCAATGATTTTTTATGTGACACCAAGAAGACCAGCAATAAAAGCAAAAATAAGTAAGTGGGACTACATGCAACTAAAATGTTTCTATGTAACAAAGAAACAAGCAACAAAATGAAAAGGCAACCTACAGAATGGGAGAAAATATTTGCAGACCATCTGTCTGACAAGATGTTATTATCCAAAATATAAAAGGAACTCATACAACTCAACAACAAAAAAACAAATAACCCAATTAAAAAATGGGCAAGGGCCGGGCACAGTGGCTCATGTCTATAATCCCAGCACTTTGGGAGGCCAAGGAGGGCAGATCACCTGAGGTCAGGAGTTCAAAATCAGCCTGGCCAACAGGGCAAGGTGGCGGGTGCCTGTAGTCCCAGCTACTTGGGAGGCTGAGGCAGGAGAATCACTTGAACCCAGGAGGCAGAGTTTGCAGTGAGCCAAGATCACGCCACTGCACTCCAGCCTGAGTGACAAAGTGAGACTCTGTCTCAAAAGAAAAAAAAAGGATAAGGACCTTTTATATATCAAAACATTATGTGGTACACCTTAAATATATGCATTTCTTTTTTCTTCTGACACGCAGTTTTGCTCTTGTCATCCAGGCTGGAGTGTGATGGTGCGATCTCACCTCACCACAACCTCTGCCTCCCGGATTCAAGCAATTCTCCTGCCTCAGCCTCCTGAGTAGCTGGGATTACAGGCATGTGCCACCACGCCCAGCTAATTTTGTATTTTTAGTAGAGATGGGGTTTCTTCATGTTGGTCAGACTGGTCTCGAACCCCCAACCTCAGGTGATCCACGTGCCTCAGCCTCCCAAAGTGTTGGAATTACAGGCGTAAGCCACCACACCCAGCCAATATATGCAATTTTTATGTGTCAATAAAGGTGGAGAGAAATACATAAATAAATCAATGTGCTCAAAGTGTGCTTTATTTGGCAAAGAACTTCAGGTGTATTTAATTTTACTGTGTTTTATCACCATAAAAAAATAACATAAAAAGTACTCATCTGTTGACAGAAGTACACTGGGACAAGTCTGTCAATGGAAGCAGGGAAATACCAAAGATTCCACACCAGGTAGTAGGCACCATCCTAAGGACCTAGAACGCTACAGGTCATTTTGGCTTTAAAGACTTAGTCTTGCCGAAACTTTAAATTGTCAAATGACTGGCAACCATCAGGAAAATATTTCTTCCACACAGTTTATTCAGAAAAGCCTGGAATGCAGCACACACATAGAGTCAGTGGACACCTCTCCAGTGTAACCTGTTTCAAAGATCCCTCTGACTAAGTTATAATCCTGGGCTTATTTCCATCCACCACTCAACATATTAGCAAGTGTCTCTCCCACGGCCCAGCCACCAGGCTAACAATTAAAACCATTGTTTCAACTGACCTAACAAGACACTTGACAGGTTAAATCTACTAAATGCGCTCCAAGCTAAAAAAGATCCATTTTTGGAGTATTTATTTTGGACTCTGAGCTACTCTCCCCTTTCATTAGCCTGACAGAGATTTACTGTGCTCAAATAAGCTATCCTGAGTGTTACTAGCACTAGCCATATTAAGATTGATAAAACATCATGAGCAAGTAAGAGTTTACAAACATCGTGAGCCACCATGCCTGGCCTAGGTTGTATATACAATTCTTACATGAGGTTACATATACAGATTTACAAGTCTAAGGCAATTAATCATTCATTTTGAGCAACTAACACTTAAGCACTATTATCAAAGGAACTTACAACATACAGTGAAAATAATTTTAGCAGGATTTGATATCAACTAACAGGCATATGTAGCAACTGACCAAATTCAAAGACTCAGTTGGAGCTATCAACCAATCTGAAAGATCAGTTCCAGAAAACATGCAAATGGCTTGCTAAGCAGAATAATTTTTAAAATATACTCCTGTTGGCATAGTGCTTGCATCTTATAATTTCCCTAGGACTTGTTGAGCACCAATTATTCACCAGGCTCACTTCTTGGAAGTGTCACACCTTTAATTCATTTTTTGATCTCCCAAAAATTGTTCACAGTAGGTTTCAACATATGCTTGATGAATTTAATCTGATTACTTGTAGAGCTCTACACATTTTAATTCAGTGACTTTCTAAGGTCACTGCTCTAGCTCAAATCAGAGCGGACATTCTGTGAACTGAACCCTACTATAAGCCAGGCACCATGCAGCAGTGTGATGATGGATGGGGATGTGGTAACCCAAGGCAGATGTGGTAAGAGGGACAGGCAACAGGAAGAAAAGATAAAACTATTACCAAAACAATCAACGGGACTGTGCAGCTCACTGGATATTGTAAACAGAACCAGAGAAGATTTTAACTTGTATTTCCAAACATCTGGTGGAAATTTAGTTTTTAACTTAGTTTCTAGCAATATTTCCTAACTTGTTTTTTAAGTGCTTAGGATCTGTGCCTCCCACGAATCCCCAATGAACATTATTCACTAAACTATAGCTCTTCAGGGCAGGGATAATGCCATAGTTATTTCTGTGTCCCAAACACTCTGGTCAACGTGCAGAGTGGTTACACTTGTTGAATGAATGATTTGCACCATTTATCTCCCCTTTTCTTTCTCCATTTTTTTTCTTTTCCCTCTCATGCTGTTTCTCTGTGTATGTCTGTCTATATGCTTGCCTCTAATTTTCTCTGCATGTCTATTCATCAGTGCCACCTCTCCTCCCTTCTCCCCCGATCCTCATCCCTTCCACTACTGGCCCTATTGTTTCACTTATAGAATTGGAATTGATAGTCTCTGTTCTTAAATAGACAACTTTTTTTTTTTTTTTTTTTTTTTTGCTTAGGCTCCCTCAAATCATGAAATAAGTAGACCATTCTAAATTTCTAAATTTCTGTTAAAACTGTTTTTTTAACTATATGATCCTCAATTTACTTTTTTATTATTATTATTATTTTGAGGCAGACTCTCACTTTGTCACACAGGCTAGAGTGCACTGATGCAATCATGGCTTACTGCAGCCTCGATCACTGAAGCAGTGGGCTGGGAAAGGCAGACCCACCCTTAATCTGGGTAGGCACAATCTAATCACCTGCCAGCATGGCTAGAATATAAGCAGGCAGAAAAACGTGAGAGACTGGCCTAGCCTTCCAGCCTACATCTTTCTCCCATGCTGGATGCTTCCTGCCCTCAAATACCAAACTCCAAGTTCTTCAGTTTCGGAACTCAGACTGGCTCTCCTTGCTCCTCAGCCTGCAGACAGCCTATTGCGGGACCTTGTGATCATGTGAATTAATACTTAATAAACTCCCTTTATATATATATTCCATTGGTTCTATCCCTCTAGAGAACCCGGACTAATACAGACCGGGTCTCCAAGCTGGTCTCGAACTCCTGGGCTCACTCCATCCTGCCACCTCAGTGTCCCAAGTAGCTGAGACCACAGGCGCACACCATCACACCCAGCTTTTTTCTTTTTTTAATTTTTTTTGTAGAGACGGGGGTTTCACTATGTTGCCCGTGCTGGTCTTGAACTCCTGGACTCAAGAGATCCTCCCACCTCAGCCTCCCAAAGTGCTGGGATTACAGGCTGGAGCCACCACACCCAGCCCAATTTACTATTTTTCAAGGTTGAGTCTGAAAAGAAACACAGATAGCCACTCTCGTTCTAAAAGAAAAAGAAAGGGGTTTAACAGAATTTTATGTTAGGGAAGTATTTGAATATGAGGGTATTGTGAAAGAGGAAAAGTTTAATCACTAGTTAGAAGAAAAAGAAAATAAATGCAAAGAATTTAAAGTTCTATTTTAAGCAGAACTCCAAAAAGGTTATTAAGGAAAAAAAAAGTAAAAGTTGAAGAGTTCAACATGTACTTTTATTCCAGTATCCAAATCTCCAGAATGTAGCTGAAAATGTTACATTGGACATCTTCTTTCCGTAAAGAATATTTTATTTTAAAGTCACTTATTTCTATCTTATTTTTTAAATGTTTAATCTCGGTGTTGCGTTATATTTCTAATCAGAAGAAAAATGACCCTTTTCCTTTTAAGTACTTGATTGTGTGTCCTTTGTAATGATTGAAGGTAAAGGACTTTTCAATGTCTCAGTTGTAAAGTAGCAATTTTCTTTCAACTTCCCTTAGTTTCCTAGATAACACTCACCTCAACTCCCAAATCACTCAGCAAAACAACAAAATCCAAGAATGTAAAGTAGTGAAAGAGAAACCTTTCATAATATTTAAATGCATCTTTCCTTTGACATGGTATCATGCCCCTAAACACATAAAATGGTATTTCTGATAATAAATTAATAGCAAAATCCACTTAGGAATAACATGGATGCCTAACCCTTAATTTTGTATAAAACGTAATTTTTATCAACAGAGTCAACCAAAAAGTGGCTTTGACAAGAGTAATCACATTGAAATACTAGATACTGAAGATAATGGAAAACTGTAAGTTTCTCTCAATTTTTTGCTCAAGAAACCACATCTCTTACAGAAGGAAATGATCATAATCCGCTTGTAATTAAACTTGTGCACTGAAGAATAAGGACCTTCCTCCCAATTCGTACCAGCTTAACGGGTGTCACGATAAGAGAATCTCATTACATTCGAGAAAAAGAGCACACAGGACCAGAAACCAGAGGGCAACTGCAGTCCCAAAGACATCAGGTAGTTGGGCTTACACACAGAAAAACCGCAAGCAGCCATTCTTCCGCCTAACATCGAAATCTGAGATCAGCCCACAAACGTCTTAGCCAGAAAGGCTGGCGAAATGCACGCAGCACAGGTACTGGGTACACAAGTTCCTGGTCAAGAGAGAAGTGAGAAAGATCCAGGTTCTGTGAAAATAGCAAATACTGGCAGGGCATTATACACTGTGCACACTCTCCCCGGGCAGATAAGACCAACAAAGATGCATAAACCCACTCAACCGCGTGCACCCAACCCCTCTCCTGGTCCGAGGCACCGGAGGGCGCGGCGACGTCCAGGCTGCCGTGGAGGCCCGGTCCACGCCAAGCCAGACTCAGTCCCGGCCACCGGGCAGCAGCACCGGAGTCTCATTCCCGGTGGGAAGAGATGCAAGGACGCACCCCCAGCCGCTCACCCGCCAGGGCGTGCGGGACAGTGCACGCCGCGGAGGGCGCCGGGACCCTCAGCACCAACGCGCACATCGCTCACCTGGCAGAAGCACCTCTGTGCCGCTGTCTCCGGGGGCTGCTCCTCTCCGTGGCCCGAGCTGAGCAGCCACACGGCGCCCAGGAGGCCAAACAAGAATCCCCAGCCGCGGCCCATTGCAGCTCCGGCAGCTTGTCGCCCCACGCTTGGGAGGCCAGTCCGCACGCTCGGTCGCGGGCCGTGCGCCCTCAGATGAAGCCCGTGCGGGCCGGCCCCAGCGGCGCCCCACCTCCGGGCCGCCTCCCAGGCCCGCCTCGGCCCTCCTGCCTCTCAGCGATCGCCACCTCGCGACCCAGCCTGTGGACGTGCCGCGGCGCCCGCGCCGGCAGCCCGGGGCCTCGGACCGGTTCCTTCCCGCCGCGTGAGGCTGACGCACCGACCAGCTTCCCGGCTCGGCCCCGCCCGGTCCGCTGCGCCCGCGCCCGTCCCCGCCCCCGGCTCCCTGACGCCCCCGGCCTGGAGACGCAACCCGACGCGCACAACCCCAGACCCTGCGCGGGAGTCGGGGGTCCTTCCAGTTCCCAGAGCGAGAGCGAAAGCCGGAGGGGCCTGTGTTTTCCTGCGGGGTTGGGGGGCGGGGGGTGCCCGCCCCGCGCCGCCCCGCCCAGCCCCAGCCCGCTCACTCCCGGCCAATCCTTCCGTATCTCAATGCGAGACAATCAAATCGTACGAATTACGTGTCCACCGTGTTCCCGGCGGAGTCTTAAAGCTGAAAGGGATATTAGAGAGCATCTAGACCAGGGCAGCATATGTCATTTATATTTTTAGTAGCCACAGCAAAAGAGTAAAAATAACAGGTACATTTTATTTTTAAAATATTTTTATTTAACCCCGAATGTGCAAAATATTATTTCAAAATATAACCAACATTAAATTTATTCATAAGATATTTGACTTTTTTTGTCTTTGAAATCCAGTGTGTATTCGATGCGAACTAGACCCATTTCATAGTCAAATGTGGCTGGCTAGTGCCCACTGTATTAGACAGCGAGGGTGGAAGCCACCCGCTCATATCATAGGAAGAAACAGGCCTAGAGAAGTGAGGTAAGGTGAGCAAGGATTGGAGGTCCTCTGATACCCAGTCCTGGTCTTTTAACATTCAGAGTTGGGACTAGTCTATCCGCTTTTTTTTTTTCCAGACAGGGTCTCCCTGGGTCACCCAGGCTGGCCTGCAATGATGCGATCGCAGCTCACTGCAACCTCGAACTCCTGGGCTCAAGCGATCCTCCCACCTAAGCCTCCTGAGTAGCATGAACTACAGGCGTGCGCCACCACGCCTGGCTAATTTTATTTTTAGTAGAAACGAGGTTTCACCATGTTGCCCAGGCTGGTCTCAAACTCCTCAAGAGCGATTCTCCCGCCTCAGCCTCCCAAAGTGCTGGGATTACTTTTTTTTTTTTTTTCGAGGCGGAGTCTCGCTCTGTCGCCCAGGCTGGAGTGCAGTGGCGTCATCTTGGCTTACTGCAATCTCTGCCTCCCAGGTTCAAGAGATTCTCCTGCCTGAGCTTCCCCAGTAGCTGGGATTACAGGCGTAAGCCACCACACACTCGGCTAATTTTTGTATTTTCAGTAGAGAAGGGGTTTTGCCATGTTGGCCAGGCTGGTCTCTAGCTCTGAGCTCAGGTGACCCACCCATCTCAGCCTCCCAAAGTGCTAGAATTGCAGACATGAGCCACCGCACCTGGCCTTACTTTTTGTTTTTTGTTTGTTTGTTTGTTTGTTGTTTTAAGAAGACTTTTTTTTGAGACACTCTCACTTCCTCACCCAGGCTGGAGTGCAGTGGCGCAATCTCGGGTCACTGCAACCTCCGCTTCCCGGGTTTAAGTGATTCTTACGCCTCAGCTACCCGAGTAGCTGGGATTACAGGCCTGCGCCACCATACCCAGCTAACTTTTGTATTTTTAGTAGACATGTGGTTTCACCATGTTGGCCAGGCTGGTCTCGAACTCCTGACCTTAAGTGATCTGCCTGCCTCTGCCTCCCAAAGTGCTGGGATTACAGGTGTGAGCCACTTCACCAAGCCTAAGAAGGTAGTTTCTAGGTGAAACTGGCAGCTTTCCGACATCTTGCATGCACATTAAAAGTTGAAATAGTTCAAATGACTTAAACTCATGTATTTTACTGCAAACCCTAGAGCTCTGCCTATCACTGCCAAGTAGACATGTAGTAAAAGTCAACAACCCATCTGAGATCCTGATGGACCTGAGAAGCTCTAATTCTAGTATCTACAACATGTCACATGTACATATTAATACAATCTCCCTCCTAACCTGAAAGCTTTTTTTTTTTTTTTTCTTTTTCTTTTTTTTTTTTTTTTTGAGATAGATTCTCACTCTGTCGCCAGGCTGGAGTGCAGTGGCGCAATCTTGGCTCACTGCAAATCCAGCTCCTGGGTTCAAGTGATTCTCCTGCCTCAGCCTCCTGAGCAGCTGGGACTACAGGCGCGTGCCACTACGCCCAGCTAAGTTGTTTGCATTTTTAGTAGAGACAGGGTTTCACCATGTTAGCCAGGATGGTCTCAACCTCCTGACCTCGTGATTCGCCTGCCTTGGACTCCCAAAGTGCTGAGATTACAGGCGTGAGCCACCGCACCTGGCCAAAAGCTCTTTTTCATATTCCTATATACAGGCCCCAGTTATCCTTTTTAGGGCCAGACCCAGGTCATGTTCTCCCTGTCTTAAGTCGTCTTCCTGGTTTCCTCCTAACCCAGTTCCAGTCTCTCAATGATTTCAATTCAGTAAACTTACTCTGTGACAAGCTGAGCTTGACATTTGGGATACAAAGATGTATAAGGTCCAGTTCCTACACTTGGAGAGACATCCATGGAACTTAGTATGTACTTTTTAAAAAATATTTAATTGACAAATAATAATTGTGTATATTTATAGGATACAATGGGATGTTTTGATCTATGCATACATTGTAGAAAGATTAAATAAAGCTTATTAACAGATACATTGCCTCACCAACTTTTCATTTTTCATTGATGAGAACATTAAAAAATTATTCTTTTAGCAATTTTGCAATTCTTATTAACTGTGGTCACCATGCAGTGCATTAGATCACTAAAACTTATTCCTGCAGTCTAACTGAAACTTTGCACTTTGACCAACATCTCCCCTTTCCCCATCCTCCCTGCCCACCGGCCTCTGGTGACTACCTTTCTACTGTTTCTATGAGATAAACTTTTTTAGATTCCACATGTAAGTGAGATTATGTGGTAATTGTTTTCTTGTGCCTGGCTTATTTCACTTGGTATCATGGCCTCTAGGTTAATCCATATTGTCACAAATTACAGAATTTCCTTTTTTTTTTTTTTTTTGAGACGGAGTCTCGCTCTGTCACCCAGCCTGGAGTGCAGTGGCACGATCTCGCTCACTGCAAGCTCCGCCTCCCGGGTTCACGCCATTCTCCTGCCTCAGCCTCCCAAGTAGCTGGGACTACAGGCGCGCCCGCCACCACTCCCGGCTAATTTTTTTGTATTTTTAGTAGACACGGGATTTCACCATGTTAGCCAGGATGGTCTCGATCTCCTGACCTCGTGATCCGCCCGCCTCGGCCTCCCAAAGTACTGGGAATAATTTCCTTCTTTATGGCTGTATAGTAGGCATATATATACAAGATTCTCTTTATCCATTCATCTGTCGATGAACACTTAGGTTGTTCCTATATCTTGGCTATTGTAAATAATGCAGAAATGAACATGGGAGTATAAGAAACAAATCAATGTTATGAAAATAGTCTGATTTTTAAAAAGCAGCAAAGGTTCTGAACAGTTATTTTTCAAAAAAAGACATACAAATAGCCAACAGGTATAGGAAAAAAATGCTTAATATCTCTAATCATCAGGGAAATGCAAATTAAAGACACAATGAGATGTCACCTTACACCTGTTAGAATGGCTATTGCCAAAATGATGAATGATAACAGGTGCTGGAAAGGATGTGGAAAAATGGAAACACTTGTACACTGTTGGTGGGAATGTAAATTAGTACAGCCATTTTGAAAAATAGTATGGAGGTTCCTCAAAAAACTAAAAATAGGCCGGGCACGGTGGCTCACACCTGTAATCCCAGCACTTTGGGAGGCCGAGGCAGGCAGATCATGAGGCCAGGAGATGGAGACCATCCTGGCTAACACGGTGAAACCCCGTCCCTACTAAAAATACAAAAATTAGCTGGGCGTGGCAGCACGTGCCTGTAGTCCCAGCTACTCTGGAGGCTAAGGCAGGAGAATTGCTTGCACCTGGAAGACAGAGGTTACAGTGAACCGAGATCGCGCCACTGCACTCCAGCCTGGGCAACAGAGCGAGACTCCATCTCACAAAACAAAGCAGACAAAAAAAAAACACACACACAACTAAAAATAGAATTACCATATGATCCAGCAATCCCACTTCTGGGTGTATATACAAAGGTATTAAAATTGGCGTGTCAGACTGGGCATGGTGGCTCACGCCTGACCCAGCACTTTGGGAAGCTGAGGCGGGCAGATCATTTGAGGTCAGGAGTTCAAGACCAGCCGGACCAACATGGTGAAACCCCGTCTACACTAAAAATACAAAAAATTAGCCAGGCATGGTGGTGTGTGCCTGTAGTCTCAGCTACACGGGAGGCTGAGGTGAGAGAATTTCTAGAACCTGGGAGGCGGAGGTTGCAGTGAGCTGAGATCATGCCATTGTACTCCAGCCTGGGTGACAGAGCGAGACTCTGTCTTAAAAATAAAAATAAAATTTGTATGTCAAAGAAATATCTGCACTCCCATGTTCATTTCAGCATTAGTATATAATCTTTTATGATATTTTCTACTTCATATTTCTTCACTGAATTGTAACATCTTTAAACTTCTTGAGCAGGGATTGTGTTTCAAATGTCCCTGAGACTCCCAGAGATCCTTAACAAGGATCTTGTCTTTGTACATGTTCGTGGAATAAATGAAAATCTTTCACTGGCCACAGTACTAATAAATGAAGATTAGGCCATCAAAAATGAGAAACACAATAAGAAAAGAGGAAATTAATAAAGCCTATGATTTTAGAAGGAAGCAATCTGAATATGAATCAGCTTAACATTTTACCCTAATGCAATGACCTGTAACCTGGGGGAGCTTAAAAATGTCAGTGTTCTCATGATAGAAATTATTTTCCATAAAACTCAAACTCTTTCCCAGAATAAATTTCTAGCAAACTTAGAAAAAGTATCCACTTTTTTTACCTTATTGTCTAGATAATTATAATGTTTTGTTTCAGATTTGTAAGCGATTTTAGAATAAGTAAATACAGTTTTATGTGTGTGATGTGAATATCACTGAAGTGTCCATGAGAATCTTTCAGGCCAGAAGGAAACTCCCTTTGCATGAGTTTGCTTCTTCAAATATACCTGCTCAGGCAATCGTCTCACCTGTGTTAGAGGCCATGAAATCACTGATTAGTCATTCATTAACTATTTAAAGAGCACCCACAGGGTACATAGATCAACCTTTGATTTCTGAAAGCCCAACTTCCCATTCATTACAACTTTGCTAAACAACATTAAATTTTTTAGAGATGAACAAGGTCACAAACTTGTTTTTCTAATACTAGTGATTATAACAATAACATGACTTAGATTTAATGCACACAGCATTTCCTGATGGAATTCTGATTACTGTGTAAATAACAGCGACTATTTTTTTTTTTATGACCAAAGCAGGAAATGGCTTGAGTCCAGTGTCTCAAAATGGTATGTGGGGATTTCTGTGGGAAGCTTCTCAGTACCCATACAATTTCTGTCATTGAATAGACTGGAAGAAAACAATTTAAAGGAAATAAATTAGTACAAAGAAAGGCTAAGTAAAAACCTAATGGGTTTAGTGCTGATATTTTTATTAGAATCATTCCTGTCATTAATATTTACTGAATATGGTTGCACACGTGGTACATTACTAGACATTTGTCTCAAGGTGCTTAGAATCATCTGAAGGGGGAAGACATGACACGTAACATCTTCACCTTCTTTACCTCAAATTCCTGAAAGCAAGCTGTATGCAGTCACTGACTTCACTTATCATTCACTCCTCAACTTCCCACTCACATTTTAACCCATGATGCAGTCTGGTTTCCAGCTCTACTCCCCTGAAACTCCTCTTTACATGGCCTTCCTATTGCCCAACCCAATGACCAATTTTCATGAAATCTCTGCTGCATTCTGACAATGCTGATTCCTCTCTCCTTCAATTCGATTTCCTGCACTCCAGCCTGGACAACAAGAGCAAGACTCTGTCTCAAAAAAAAAATGTGTTTTTTTTTTTTTTGAGACAGAGTCTCGCTCTGTCACCCAGGTTGGAGTGCAGTGGCGTGATCTCGGCTCACTGTAAGCTACGCCTCCTGGGTTCATGCCATTCTCCTGCCTCAGCCTCCCGAGTAGCTGGGACTACAGGCGCCTGCCACCACACCCGGCTAATTTTTTGTATTTTTAGTAGAGATGGGGTTTCACCGTGTTAGCCAGGATGGTCTCAATCTCCTGACCTCGTGATCCGCCTGCCTCAGCCTCCCGAAGTGCTGGGATTACAGGTGTGAGCCACCGTGCCCGGCCAAAAAAAAATTTTTTAATAAAGCAAATAGTATACTGCTTGACATACATAGCCCCACAATGACACAAATATTGGATAGCAATTTAACCAAAATTTACATATATTGCATTCATGGAGGATGCAAGTAGGAAAAGTGGGAGTCTGGAGTAAGGGTGCTAAATCTTTATCTTCCTAATTTGGTCAGAAGATAAATCCCAAAATTTATATATCAAGAAATAGCAGCATAAGGATATTATTTAGAAATACAAAGGTAAGTATAGTAGAAACACATTTAAAAATTAAGGGAGTGGAACTCGGGATTAGAGAAAAGTGAGACAATAGGCACCTCTTTTTCAATTTAATCTTTAGTACTTTTTTTAAAAGCTCTCTTTATGGTATTACTTTATTAAAAGCACACCCCAGAAGCCTAGAAACTCTAACTTCTTCATTTATTTTTTTATTTTATTTTTATTATTATTTGAGTTGGAATCTTGCAGTGTCTCCCAGGCTGGAGTATAGTGGCAAGATCTTGGCTCCAGAGACTGCAACCTCTGTCTCCCAGGTTCAAGCAATTATCCTACCTCAGCCTCCTGAGTAGCTGGGATTACAGGCATGTGCCACCACTTCTGGCTAATTTTTTTGTATTTTTAGTAGAGACGGGGTTTCACCATGTTGGTCAGACTGGTCTTGAACTCCTGACCTCAAATGATCCACCTGCCTCGGCCTCCCAAAGTGCTGGGATTACAGGCATGAGCCACCATGCCCGGCCTGAACTCTAACTTCTATTCCTACCTCAACATCTCACTGCTTAGACACAGACACATTAATTTAAGTGCATTTTCTTTCTTTTTTTCTTTTCTTTTCTTTTTTTTTTTTTTTTTTTTGAGATAGAGTTTCACTCTGTCGCCCAGGCTGGAGTGCAGTTGCGCAAACTCGGCTCACTGCAACCTCCACCTCCTGGGTTCACGCCATTCTCCTGCCTCAGCCTCCAGAGTAGCTGGGACTACAGGCGCCCGCTATCACACCCGGCTAATTTTTTTGTATTTTTTAGTAGAGACGGGGTTTCACCACGTTAGCCAGGATGGTCTTGATCTCCTGACCTTGTGATCCACCCGCCTCAGCCTCCCAAAGTGCTAGGATTATAGGTGTGAGCCACTGCGCCTGGCCTAATTTAAGTGCATTTTCATAGGTATTTGGAAGTAGA
This sequence comes from Homo sapiens, assembly GCF_000001405.40. Classification (NCBI taxonomy): domain Eukaryota; kingdom Metazoa; phylum Chordata; class Mammalia; order Primates; family Hominidae; genus Homo; species Homo sapiens. The sequence goes on from NC_000014.9 coordinate 52,703,118, forward strand.
CATTTGGGATGAAAAATTTCTAAAAACTTAAGTGTTGTGGCCAATGTGGGAGCAAAAGTAGTTGCTACTTGCCTATTTGACACTGTTTCCCAATTTTTCTCTTAAAAATAAATCTGTTCTTGTTGTATTTGTTATCGATCACTGTGTAACAAATTACCCCAAAACTAAGTGGCTTCAAACAACAAACATTTATCATCTCATGGTTTTTAGGGACCAGCAATTCAGGAGCAGCTGAACTGAGTTGTGTGACTCAGTCTCTCATGGTGTTGCAATCAATACTAGGGCTGCAGTAATAAAGGCTTGCCTAGAGCCGGAGGATCTCTGCCAGGAACTGCTCACTCATATGGCTGTTGGCAGGAGGCCTTAAGTTCCTGGATGGCTGTTCCTTGCTATGTAGGTCTCTCCATAGATCTGTTGATGTGTCCTCATGCCATGACAACTGGCTCTCCCACAGGGAGTTATCCAAGCGAGAGTCAAAAGGAAGGCTCAACACTTTTTGTGATCTAGTCTCCATCGTTGCGCACTGTCACTTCCACTTTATTTATCAAGAGCAAGTCACTAGGTCCAAGGAAGGGGAATTATGCTCCACCTCTTGAAGTGGAAAGTGTCAAATAATTTGTGTACATATTTTAAAATGACCACACTCATCTGTGCCAAGTTATAGGAAAATAGATTGAGAAACTATCCTTACATGATTTTTGAAGGTCTACATCAATCTCATTACCGTTTGTTATGACATCACTTTTAATGACTCCGAAATAAACTAAGATATGCCCTACCTTCTTTTATCTCTTCCACCCTATATGTTCTAATTTTCATTTTTTGGTCACATTTGTATTTTTCTGTTTTCACTTTATGATATTTTAAGTTCCTTGAGTACTGGTCACATTTCTTAGCCTCTTTATAACTCTGCTTACCTATCTTAGTGCCTGAGATATTCATTCATTCAATATACATATATCTCTTTTATTTCAGACACTGTGCTAGACACTGGGGATCCAATCAGGGGAAATAAATAGTCATAGTCCTTGTTTTCCGAGGGGTTACAGTCCACTGCAGAGAAAAGACTCTAAACATTTAATCACGTTTAAGAATATATAATTACAAGTTGAGCTACGTTTTCAGATGGAGAGGAATACAGTCTTATAGGCATGTATAAAAACGTAACGGCCAGGCGCGGTGGCTCACACCTGTAATCCCAGCACTTTGGGAGGCTAAGGCGGGTGGATCACCTGAGCTCAGGAATTTAAGACCAGCCTGACCAACATGGTGAAACCCCATCTCTACCAAAAATACAAAAATTAGTCGGGTGTGGTGGCGCATACCTGTAGTCCCAGCTACTCTGGAAGCTGAAGCAGGAGAATCCCTTGATCCCGGGAGGCGGAGGTTGCAGCAAGCCGAGATCGCACCACTGCACTCCAGCCTGGGCGACAGAGCGAGACTCCTGCTCAAAACAAAAAACAAACAAACAAACAAAAAAGTAACAGGGCTAGTGTAGGCATGGGGAAAATAGAAGATTCTTCTGAAGTTGAAATGCTGCCAGATGGGTAAAAGAAAAAGAACAAGGGTTAAGGGACTTTAAAATATTGATGTGATTAATGTTAAAATAACCTATCAGTATGTGCTCATAAATATTTTAAATTGAGCCATACTGAGCTTTCTTTCTCTGCCTTGTCCTCTCTTCTTTACTTCTTGATGTCAGAGGTGACATGTTTTGGTATGGATGGACTAGTTTGACCAGAGTAGTTGCAACTGAGTGGGAGAAGGGACTATCCCTGCCCCATACAGCTTCCTTGTTCATTGTATACTGCAAGAACCCAGTCACATTTAGAAAAATTGGCCGAACGCGGTGGCTCATGCCTGTAATCCCAGCACTTTGGGAGGCCGAGGCGGGCGGATCACGAGGTCAGGAGATCGAGACCAGCCTGACCAACATGGTGAAACCCTGTCTCTACTAAAAATACAAAAATTAGCTGGGCGTGGTGGTGTGCGCCTGTAATCCCAGCTGTTCGGGAGGCTGAGGCAGGAGAATCACTTGAACCCGGGAGGTGGAGGTTGCAGTGAGCCGAGATCGCGCCACTGCACTCCAGCCTGGCGACAGAGCAAGACTCCAACTCAAAAAAAAAAAAAAAAAAAAAAAAAAAAAAGAAAAATAGAATGGAATATTCACACAATACCCATGAGAATTGTTCCTAATAAATTTGAAGGCATCCTTTATGTGACTTTGGGTCATTAATTTACAAAAATTTGTACTTTATTTGTATATTTAGGATGTATATATTTAAACTCAAACATTCATGGCCATTGGATAAGGTGAGACCAAATGGAATCTATTTGGAGAATTTTACTCATGTTTTTTGGACAACAATTAATTGTCCCCAGGAACAATGATAGCAAGAGGTATAGCAATGAGGACCTGTAATGCAAAAATTGGAGTCATTACTACCCTTAAAATAAATATCTATTCAAAAGAACACTATTGAGTACATGCCATGTGGCAGATGTTGTGTTTAGGCACATTATCCTATTTAATACTCATGACAACCCCATTAGATAAGTGCAATTATTATGATCATTTTACAGAGATATTGAGGGAGTATGTAATTTTCCCCAAATCACAAAAATCTGAAAGTTGGCCAGGCGTCGTGGCTCACGCCTGTAATCCCAACACTTTGGGAGGCTGAGGCGGGCGGATCACTTGAGGTCAGTAGTTGGAGACCAGCCTGGCCAACATGGTGAAACCCCATTCCTACTGAAAATACAAAAATGAGCCGGGCGTGGTGGCGGGCGCCTGTAATCCCAGCTTCTCAGGAGGGTGAGGCACGACAATCGCTTGAACCCGGGAGGCAGAGGTTGCAGTGAGCCAAGATCGCACCACTACACTGCAGCCTGGGTGACAGAGTGAGACACAGACTCAAAAAAAAAAAAAAAAAAAAAAAAATCTGGCCGGGCGCAGTGCCTCACACCTGTAATCCTAGCACTTTGGGAGGCTGAGGAGGGTGGATCACCTGAAGTCAGCAGTTCGAGACCAGCATGGCCAACATGGCGAAACCCCGTCTCTACTAAAAATACAAAAATTAGCCGGTTGTGGTGGCGCACACCTGTAATGCCAGCTACTCCGGAGGCTGAGGAAGGAGAATTGCTTGAACCCGGGAGGTGGAGGTTGCAGTGAGCTGAGATCGCGTCACCGCTCCAGCCTGTGCGGCAGGAGCAAGACTCCATCTCAAAAGTAAATAAATAAATACATAAATCTGAAGGTTCTATCAGACTTCAAAGTTCCTGCCTCAGCCTACTTCAGCATCTTTATCTTGTACCCCACATCTCTACAACCCACCCCCTACTGGTCTCATTGGCCTCCTTTCTGTTCCTGGAAGTGAGTCAAGCTTTCTACCCACAACCCCCACCCCACTCCACTCCAGGACTTGCACTGTTTGTTTAGGTTTTCTTCAGTTGTTGCAAGGCTGGCTCCTTCTCATCTCAGATATCTGTTCTAGATTAATTCTTCCCACCATACTTCTCACCGTGTTTTAATTCCTTCACAGTATTTGTTAAACTCTGAAGTTTTTTTTATTATTATTTCCTATCAAATGATAAGCAGATCTACCTTTAATACCTCATTCACTGACTGAATGGATGAATAAAACTGTCTACTTCTCCAGCACGTGGAGGTCTTGGACAGTACTGTGTTATAACAAAGGCCATCTGTGTTGTGTCGACAGGCCATCGGAACTCCTTTGAGGTATTACACATTTCCTACTTCACTTCCATCTCAGTTTATTACAGAGCCTTTTATACTTCCGGGACAGCAGTGACTTAATACTGAGGCCTCTCAGGGGAAGACCGGGATAACTGAGTCCTGCTTTACCTATCTCGGCTTGCAAGAAACGGTATAGGTGGAGGCCTCTTTCAGTGTATGCCGGCGCTCTAGGTGAACCGAGACATAGAGGTGGAAGTGGAGTAGAAAGACGGGGCCAACCGGAAGGGGAGGGCTCATGGGCGAACCCACCCCTCCAGGCAGGGTTTCGCCCCTCGCCCCGCCCCTTCCCCCGCCCGGACGGCCATGGCCATTCCCGGCATCCCCTATGAGAGACGGCTTCTCATCATGGCGGACCCTAGAGATAAGGCGCTTCAGGACTACCGCAAGAAGTTGCTTGAACACAAGGAGATCGACGGCCGTCTTAAGGAGTGTGAGTGCACCTTTCTTTCCATTTAATCAAGTGCCTCGACTCGCTTCTGCCTCTGACAAAGCAGAAGCCTTTCGCCGAGCCCGGCAACCGAGCCTTAGAGATGACCAGGCCTAGGGCCAGGGACAAGGCGCTTTGTCATCCGGCCCTGAGCTTGTGGAGCAGCACTCCTTCGGGTGTAGAAATGGCCCAGTCCAGCCCGGGTGACAGAACATCGGCGGCCTTGAGGTGAAAATGAAAAAGAAGTAGAGGAGGAGTGGGGAAGTGGGCCGAGGATGTTTCCCAGGTTAGGGTGCAAGAAGGGCAGTCTTGGTGGAGTCCCGGGACTTGGAGAGGGGAAGGCGCTTGAGTCAAGTAAGCTCAAACAAGAGATGAGACTCAGGGAGTCGGCTTGTTCTTGGAGTCGAAAGACGGCCGCGGAGCTTAAGAGAGAAGTGTTCCAGTTGTCATAATAACCCATATCGTCTTGTGTTTCGTGTTGTACTGTATCAGGCATACAAATTTCCCTTACCTCCTGAGTGCTTAACTTTTTTTTCCAGTGCATTTTCATTGAAAAGCATGAGTAGTTTAATTAAATGGAGGACCATAATTACATGATTCTGTGGAGAACTGCATTTGTTGACTTTATTTAGGGTAGAATGTCAGAGAACAATCCACGTGGGTAGGTGAAGAGGTGAGGAAGGGTCTAAGTGATTATCATTCGGATTTGTAGTCGCAAATCCTAAGTGTCAGGGTGTCAATATCTTCTAAGACTATAACTTAAGATGTGCTTAAACAAGTATTGCCGATCAACAAAGTAAAAGTATGGTGCTTTCTCTGTAACATTTTGTTGTTATACATGCCACCTACTCATTACAAACAGCATTATTTCTTTTATGGTTTGAAACAGTGGATGTGAAACTTAGGTAAAGTGAAGTAGACTTACGTAAACAGTAAAGTGAGACGTAGCGACTTAAACACACTAAGATTACTGTTCAATTAAAAATGTTCAAATTGTATTATTTCAGTAAGGGAACAATTAAAAGAACTTACCAAGCAGTATGAAAAGTCTGAAAATGATCTGAAGGCCCTACAGAGTGTTGGGCAGGTAGGTGATGGAGTTTGGGGAATAGGGGGTGATGGTAATTTGCTTTTTTATTTAGCTGTTGCCAAAAAGTAATGCTTTTTATTTTCTTCCTTAGATCGTGGGTGAAGTGCTTAAACAGTTAACTGAAGAAAAATGTGAGTGATGAATTAGCTTATTAATTAGTAAAGAAACAGTCCACCTCTCTCTCACTTTTGAAATGCTTATTATTTTAATGACAATAATGCAGAGAGAGAGAGTATTTTTGAATAGACTTAAGTTTTCCTTCAACTAATGTCTCCTTGGAGGACAGAAATACAACTAAACCCTCTGTCAACGTGGGTATGTATTTTTTTACTTTCTATTTTTCAATTAGTTCTTTTATGTTTTTTCTTCTAGTCATTGTTAAAGCTACCAATGGACCAAGATATGTTGTGGGTTGTCGTCGACAGGTAATACTTTATATTTGTATAGTGCCTGATGATTGACAAAGCAGTTTCATGTAAGTTATTGTCTCTAATTCTTGAGGCAAGCAGGTGGAGCATTTATGCCCATAACTCACAAGGATGATTTGTTCAGACATAGCTAGTTATTAACAAAGCCTGAATTCAAACCATGGGCTTTGACTCCTGGCATTCCGTACTTTCTACTGTATTACATTGTCTCAGTCAGATCTGTTAATAGCCACTTAGAAATAAAAGTATTTTAGAACTGGAAAACAGACATTTTATTTTAATGTCATTTTTAAAGAGGACTTAAAAGTGTTAGATATCATCAGTTACCTGTGTTTATATTTAGACATTCAGAACTGTTACTTATGGACTGTACCATGGCCTAAGTTAATTTTGTATGAGGTCATTTAGATTAGGGTAGGGCAAGTTGAAATAATTCTAAATTTTATTTTACAGTTATCAAAGATGCCAACAAATGACCTCAAGTCATTCAGTAGTGTCTGAAATCAATTTATGTATTATTCTTTAGGAAGTGTCCTTAGATAATTCTTTTAAATTCATTGGAAGAGTTTTCTCTGTTTAATTGTCATTTCAGGTTCAGGTTTTAAAACATTCACAGAACATGGCTGTAAGGGAGAATTTAATCCAGGAACTATAAATCTCCTATTAGGATTTTGCCTAGTATATAAGCGGTTGACATTTTCTAAGTCAAAATATTAGATACCTAAACTGACAAGGGATTTTCATGTCCCTTTCAGGGCTCTGTGGATGCCGAAAGTTGGCATTTCTAAGATATTTCAGGTTGCATGAGGACAAGACTGTATTTGAAGACTAAAAAACATTAGAAAAGCCGAAGTATATATAAGTTGAGTATCCCTTATCCAAAATGCTTGAGCCAGAAATGTGTTTTAGATTTTGGCTTTTTTTTTTTCAGGTTTTAGAATATTTGTGTTGTACTGGTTGAGCATCCCTAATTAAAAAAAATCAAAAGTTTGAAATGCTCCGATGAGCATTTTCTTTGAGCATCATGTCAGCATTCAAAAAATTTCACATTGTGGAGCATTTTGGATTTTCAGATTAAGAATACTCAGCCTGTATTTCCTATAGATGTAAACATTGAAATAGCTTCATATTGATTTCTCCTCTTATTTTTTCAAGTAACCTCACTTCTTAGCCGTTTTTTCCTTAATTGTTATATTAATCCTAGTGTTTTGCCTATCTTCCTAAATTTGAAGCTCTTTGTAAAATCCTGTGACAAGTGGTCAGTAATTTATATGATTCCGAAATTGTATTGGCACGCAGTTTTTTAAACTATTAAAAAGTAACTTGGGTCGGGCGGGGTGGCTCATGCCTGTAATCCCAGCACTTTGGGAGGCTGAGGTGGGCAGATCACGAGGTCAGGAGATCAAGACCAGCCTGACCAACATGGTGAAACCCCGTCTTTACTAAAAAATACAAAAAAAAATTAGCCGGGCATGGTGGCACACACCTGTAATCCCAGCTACTTGAGGCTGAGGCAGGAGAATTGCCTAAACCAGGGAGGCAGAGGTTGCTGTGAGCCAAGATGGCGCCACTGCACTCCAGCCTGGGCGACAGAGTGAGACTCCGTACTCCATCTCAAAAAAAAAAGTAACTTTATCTTTGAAAAGTAACAACATCCTGAGAGTGAGGCAGATCTAGTAGATTCTAATTTTAGCCAGATAAGCCAAGAAATTATTTAGTATGATTCAACCTAATGTGTAATGTGTTCAGCATGTGCCTGTCATGTAGCAAAGGCATGAGTGATGGTTGCTGGGTTTTGGGGCTTTAAATTTAAAGCATTTTAATAAAAATCTCTAAGGGGAAACCGTGCATTTTTCTCTACTCTCATGAGCATTTAACACATTCTTCCCAGAAGCTGTACATTTCAAAATAAATCTGATGAGCACACCTTTAAAATGCTTCCCTTTCCTTTCCCTAAAATGTTCACTAAGGGATTTTTCTATAAATGCTTTGGTAGCAATTCCCAAAGTCACTGTACCATTGCTGCCTCAAGCTTTGTGTGTTAGTCATTTCACATTTTACACTGAGATTACACAAAGGGGCATGCTTTTAAGGAGCAGGTGGAAATCACTTTGAATTACTTATTTTATAAGCCATTTTGTTAGCATAGAGTTTATAATCTGATATTTGTGTTCTCTCTGGAGGGTAAAAATGAGTGTTTGGCTTCTAAATATTAAACTCTCGTTAGAGTGTTATTCCGTTTTTAAGTGTTGATGTAATATCTTTTGTTTTACAAAACTAGCTTGACAAAAGTAAGCTGAAGCCAGGAACAAGAGTTGCTTTGGATATGACTACACTAACTATCATGAGGTGGGTTTCTTATTCTATTTAGTTCACCTTTTATTTTCACAAAGGGTGGTTTTTATCTGAGATATATGCTTCTTGAGATCACTGAATATTTTGGCACTTTTTCCCTTTTACTAGTTTCTAATTAAGCACATCTTTATGAGATCAGCTACAGGTGCTTGCTTGAGCAAGTTATTTATATGCTATCTGTAGGCTAAGAGAAAATATATCTTTCAAAAGAAAAATACATACCTTTTCATTCTAGATATTTGCCGAGAGAGGTGGATCCACTGGTTTATAACATGTCTCATGAGGACCCTGGGAATGTTTCTTATTCTGAGATTGGAGGGCTATCAGAACAGATCCGGGAATTAAGAGAGGTTGGTACTGTGTGCCTTGTTCTCTGAACTTAGCTAATAAATACTACTAGTTTTAGGATTCTTAACAGGAGAAACAGGATGAAAAAGTACTTTTTGTCTAAATGGTAGTTAAGAATATTATGTATTTACTATTCTTGCTAAGAAGAATAGCACTGAATTTCTAGCTGTGAAAATTACTGTTTTTTTTTATTTGGAGATAATTTGGTGTTAGAAAAATCCTGCTCTTTTTGTGGCAAAGGAACGGAGAAAAAGCTAAAAATAATTGATGTAATCTGATATCCTGTGGTTTTGATTATCATAATAAGTTACTTGGGTCAGAGCATATTTGGATAATGTGTGTGATGAGTTTTTTCCATAACCTCATTAATACTAGCTTCCCACTCTTACAGAAGAGTAGGGTACCTGTTCCTTAAATATTTTATTTTGTTAAAGCTGTTTGCTGCCATTCCAGAAAACCACTGGCTTTAGGATTGTCTTAAATCTTGTAAGCTTTTAGGTGAACAGTCAAATCAGGATTGCCTTACTTCATAGCACAGACAGCTTCTTAACTGTTATCTGTAAAGCAAATTACATTGTCCTATGGATTTTATCCTAAATTAGGCTGTGAATATTTAGGAATTAATGGGAATAATTGGAATGTCTTACACAATCTGATTTAAGCTTTAAGCCAGTTCTCATACTTCAGTACATTAATTTTTTTTGGAACACTTATTAAAAATACACATTACTAGGCCCTCTGAGTGGTTTTGATGGACTAGATTGGGGGTAGGCACAGGAATTAGCATTTAAACAAGCATTCCAAGTGATTATGAAACCAAATTTTTCTTTGACAATACTTGAGGAAGCACTGGTCTAAGTGTAAAAAAAAAAGGCAGTTCTCACCTGTATTAATGAAAGGGCAACAGAGGAAGAACAGGTGCTTCATAAAACGGTGAAAACTTGCTTTCAACAGTGATTTGCTGCATTAGCCATAGGAGCAGAAAGAATCCCATGTATACATGCAGTATCCTTTACTGTCTGCAGATACTTTACACTTTAGAGTATTGATTTCTCTCACTTCTGGCTTTTCCCAGTCACGCTTTATGCACATATGGACACAACTTTTTTTTTTCTTTTGAGACAGGGTCTGGTTCTTTTGCCCAGGCTGGAATGCAGTGGTGCAGTCTCAGCTCACTGCAACCTCTACCTCCCAGGCTGAAGTCATCCTCTCACCTCACCCTCCCAAGTAGCTGAAGGCATGCGCCACCACATGTGACTAATTTTTTTATTTTTTGTAGAGATGGGGTTTCACCATGTTGTCCAGGCTCTTCTCGAACTCCTGAACTCAAGCCATCCTCCAGCCTTGGCCTCCCAAAGTGTTGGGATTTACAGGCGTGAGCCACCGCACCTAGCCCAACACAACTATTCAATAGAAATTTCTCTCTCGGTCAGGCATGGTGGCTCACGCCTGTAATCCCAGCACTCTGGGAGGCTGAGGTGGGTGGATCATCTGAGGTCAGGAGTTCAAGACCAGCCTGCCAATACAGTGAAACCCCATCTCTTCTAAAAGTACAAAAATTAGCCAGGTGTGGTGGTGGCGCCTGTAGTCCCAGCTACTCAGGAGGCTGAGACAGGAGAATCTCTTGTACCCGGGAGGCAGAGGTTGCAATGAGCCAAGATCATGCCATTGCACTCCAGCCTGGGCAACAGACTCTGTCTCAAAAAAAAAGAAATTTCTCTCTTAAGTTACTGGTACTATAAGTAATTTAAATTGGACTTTCAGATCTTCAATTTCTCTAGTCTCTACTTTTCTTCCTTGAATCAGTCTTGAGAGCAGAACATACTGTTCTTTAAAAGCTGCCGTGGCAAAATGCCAACAGATAAAAATTGTATATACCTTTTCTCTTGGTATGTTGTCAAATCCATCCCCCATTTTAGAATTATTTTGTGTTGTATTTTCAAATGCAAACTAGTATAGATCTTTTGAGTTGTGTTTTTTGTTTATATGTTCATTTGACTTAACTGATTTTTTTGTGGTATAATTTTTCATTGAGGTATAATTACATTAAAAAAATGTAGATTCTTAAGTGTACATTTCAAATATGTTTGGACAAGTTATATATCTGTGTAACCATCACCCCAATCAAGTGTGTGGTTTATTTAAAAAACATTATTTGAAATTTTTTAGATTTAAGAGATCTTAAATCTACCTGGAGCAAAACCTCTTAATATAAATGGTTTTACCTAGCATGGAAGTCTAGGTCTATTAAGAATTATGATGTGTACACCTAACTAAGGTGATATTTGACTTAGAGTATTTGAAAGTACATTAAAAATCTTGACTAACTTTTTAAGAAAGATTTAACTTCTTTTCTAGGTGATAGAATTACCTCTTACAAACCCAGAGTTATTTCAGCGTGTAGGAATAATACCTCCAAAAGGCTGTTTGTTATATGGACCACCAGGTTGGTATTGAATTATTTCTACTCCACCAATAAGATAAATGAATTAAGGAATTAAAAAAAAAAAGACAATTTTTTTATTTTTATTTTTTTGAGACACGGTCTCACTCTGTTGCCCAGGCTGTAGTGCAGTGGCACAATCTGGGCTAACTGCAACCTCTGCCTTCCGGGCTCAAGTGATTCTCCCACCTCAGTCTCCCACGTAGCTGGGACTGCAGGCGTGCATCACCATGTCTGGTTAATTTTTGTATGTTTTGTAGAGAAGCAATTTTGCCATATTGCTCAGGCTATCTCAAACTCCTGGACTCAAGCGATCTGCCCACCTTAGCCTCCCAAAATGTTGGGATTACAAGCATAAACCACTGCGCCTGGCCATAAGGTGGAAATTTGATGTGGGCAGTTCCAACTTCTCCTCTCTTCAGAGTGAGAATGAGATAGGATATTTATGTCTACTGTTCTTTGAGGCATGCTTAGTGCATTTGTGCCTCACAGTACATTTATCTTAACAGGCCATGTGATTCTAGTGCAACAGTCCTCAAATTGTGGTTCACAGACCCAGAGGTGCTTTCATGGACTCTGTAAGGTCAAAACTACTTTATAATACTGAAATGTTAAGCCAGGCGCAGTGGCTCACACCTGTAATCCCAGCACTTCGGGAGGCCGAGGCAGGCAGATCACCAGAGGTCAGGAGTTTGAGAGCAGCCTGGCCAACCAACATGATGAAACCCTGTCTCTACTAAAAATACAAAAATGAGCCAGGCGTGGTGGCGTGCACCTGTAATCCCAGCTACTCGGGAAGCTGAGGCAGGAGAATTGCTTGAACCTGGGAGGCAGAGGTTGCAGTGAGCCGAGATTGCCCCACTGCACTCCAGCCTGGCTGACAGAGTGAGACTCCTTCTCAAAAAAAAAAAAAAAAAAAAAAATTTTTTTATATAAAGCAAATGTACCTATAGCATACTGCTTGACATATGTAGCCCCACAATGACACAAAACAAAAAACTAAAATGTTGTTTGGCTCTTCCACTGTGTTGACATTTGTGCTGATGGTGCAAGAGCACCATGGGTAAAATTAAATTACTTGCACTGTAGTGTGAATCAGCATTAGTGGCATGAAACGGTGCTAGTTAGTAGCCATTGCGTTCTTGACTGCCACATACTTGCAGTGTAAAAAAAAAAAAAGTCAGTTTCACTATAAAGTCCTTGGTGAAACAGTAAAAATTATTAATTTTGTTAAATCTTCATCTTTGGGTAATATTTTGTGTTCTTCATGATAAAAGGGAAAATAAATATAAAGTACTGCTGCATATTGAATAAGATAGTTGTCTTTAGGAAAAGCACTTGTGCAGTTATTTAAGTTGCCAGCTGAATTCATTGCTTTTTATGGAATACTATTTTTGCTTGAATGGACCATTTACAGATATGCTGTGATTATCAGACTGGTTATTGGTTATTAGTTATTGATTACTCAAGACTGGTTTTTGGTTATTTGGCGCACATTTTTTCCAAAGCGAACAAATTAAGCCTGTCATGTTAAACAACTGACACCATCTATTGCCATTGATAAAATATGAAATGTCAAGTGAAAATTAGAATTTTTAGAAACATATATCTGGCACTATGTGGTTGAAGCTTTTTCTTTTTTTCTTTTCTTTTCTTTTTTTTTTTTTTGATAAGGTGTTACTCTGTTACCCAGGCTGGAGTGCAGTGGCGTGATCATCCTGGCTCGCTGCAACTTCTGCCTCTTGGGCTCAGGTGATTCTTCCACCTCAGCCTCCTGAGTAGCTGGTACTACAGGTGTGTGCCACCATGCCAGGCTAATTTTTGTGTTTTTAGTAGAGGCAGGGTTTTGCCATGTTGCCCAGGCTGGTCTTGAATTCCTGGGCTCAAGCAACCCGCCCACCTCAGCCTCCCAAAGTGCTGGGATTACAGGCATGAGCCACAATGTCCAGCCACGGCAGCTTTCTAATATATTAATACTTAAAGACTTTTCTGATGAGATAAGTGGTGAGAATAACAAAAATTTTTTATAATGTGTGGTGGAAAATGTCAACATTTGGAAGATTTGCATAACTCAACCAGTAGTTTCCAAATAATCAATGCTTGATATTAAAATATTCATAAGTAAAAGATCCAGTCAGTGCACAGGATAGACCAATGTATTTTAATGTAACAGAAGTTTCTGTCATAGTCCATGTTGTAAGTAGATAGCTATTATAAAAAAGACAAAAGTGTTTGCAAGATGTAGAGAAAAGAGAAAGAACCCTTGTACACTACTGGTGGGAATGTAAATTAGCACAGCCATTTTTGAAAACATGGAGGTTCCTCAAAAAACTAAAAATAGAATTACCATATGATTCAGCAATCCCACTTCTGGGTTTATATCTAAAGGAATTGAAATCAGTGTGTCAGAGATAGCTGCACTCCCATGATTATTTCACAATAGCCAAGATATAGAAACAGCCTAAAAATTGCCCATCAATGGATGAATGGATAAAGAAAATGTGGTAGCCGGGTGCAGTGGCTCATACCTGTAGTGCCAACACTTTGGGAGGCCGAGGCGGGCGGATCACCTGAGGTCGGGAGTTCGAGACCAGCCTGACCAACATGGAGAAACCCCGTCTCTGCTGAAAATACAAAATTAGCTGGGTGTAGTAGTTCATGCCTGTAATCCCAGCTACTCGGGAGGCAGAGGCAGGAGAATCACTTGAACCTGGGAGGCAGAGGTTGCAGTGAGCTGAGATCATGCCATTGCACTCCAGCCTGGGCAACAAGAGTGAAACTCCATCTCAAAAAAAAAAGAAAAAGAAATGTGGTAAATACACACATTGGAATACTATTCAGCCTTAAAAAAGGAAACTCTGTCATTTGTGACAATATGGATGAATCTAGAGGATGTTATACTAAGTGAAATAAGCCAGACACAGAAAGACAGTTACCACATAATCTCATTTTCATGTGGAATCTTAAAAAATTGAACTCGTAGAAACCAAGAGTAGAATGGTGGTTACCAGAAGTTGTGGTGGTGTATGGGGATAGGGGAGATGTTGGTCAAAGGATATAAAGTTCACTTAGACAGGAGGAATAAGTTCTAGGTGACATATTGCATAGCATGGTGACTATAATTAATAATGTATTAGCTATTTCAAAATTGCTAAAAGTAGATTTTAAATGTTCTAACCACAAAGTAATGCTAAGCATGTGAGGTGATGGATATGTTGATTTGCCTGATTTAATCATTCTTCAATATATACATGTATCATAATTTAACCCATAAATATACAATTTATTTGTCAATTTAAAATAGATTTTAAAAATTATAACATTTTGATTAAAATTTTAATGTTGACAGCAGAAGTACTTTGGAATTTTTTTTTTTTTTTTTTTTTTGAGACAGAGTCTTGCTCTGTCACCCAGGCTGGAGTGCAGTGGCGAGATTATAAGCTCACTGCAACCCCCACCTCCCGGATTCAAGCGATTCTCCTGCCTCAGCCTCCCCAGTAGGTGGGACTACAGGCATGTGCCACCACGCTCAGCTAATTTTTTGTATTTTTAGTAGAGACGGGGTTTCACTGTGTTTCGATCTCCTGACCCTGTGATCTGCCCGCCTCAGCCTCCCAAAGTGCTGGGATTACAGGTGTGAGCCACCACACCTGGCCAAGTACTTTGGAATTTTAAATGAAAATTCTATTTAGGATTTAGCTTTCATTTTGGAAAATTTACTTGCCAAACGATTATATTCTTAAAAGGATTTTAAAAATTTGTTTCACATAGGCCGGGTGCGGTGGCTCCTGCCTGTAATCCCAGCACTTTGGGAGGCTGAAGTGGCAGGATCACCTGAGCCCAAGAGTTCAAGACCAGCCTGCGCAACACAGAGAGACCCCGTCTCTGAAAAACAAACAGACAAACAAAAAACTTAGCTGTGCGTGATGGCACATGCCTGTCATCCCAGCTACTTGGGAGGCTGAGGTGGGAAAATCGCTTAGGTCTGGGAGGTCAAGGTTGCAGTGAGCTGTGATCTCGCCACACTCCAGCCTAGGTGACAGAGTGATTGCCTGTCTCAAAACAAATTTTTTTCTACCTTACCATCTAATTAAGACTTCTTTTGTCATTCTTAGGTACGGGAAAAACACTCTTGGCACGAGCCGTTGCTAGCCAGCTGGACTGCAATTTCTTAAAGGTAAAGGGAAGATTATTTTGTACTTATTGAAATTTAATTTTACTTGAATTATCTTATATTTACCTTACTGTTTTTCCTTTAATCAGGTTGTATCTAGTTCTATTGTAGACAAGTACATTGGTGAAAGTGCTCGTTTGATCAGAGAAATGTTTAATTATGCTAGAGATCATCAACCATGCATCATTTTTATGGATGAAATAGATGCTATTGGTAAGAATAACACCCTTGTTGAAAGTTTTAGGACTTTTTTTTAAATGTAAAAGAACCTTTTTCCCTCTCTTAATCTGTAATTGTGACTTGTATGAAGTAGATACCACAATGAATCAGATGTTAGTTTAACCAATTTTAATAAATAACCTTTCATGGCCGGGTGTGGTGGCTCATGCCTGTAATCCCAGCACTTTGAGAGGCCAAGGTGGGCAGATCACCAGGTCAGGAGATCGAGACCATCTGGCCAACATGGTGAAACCCTGTCTCTACTAAAAATACAAAAATTAGCTGGATGTGGTGGCACATGCCTGTAATCCCAGCTACTGAGGAGGCTGAGGCACGAGAATCGCTTGAACCCAGGAGACGTAGGTTGCAGTGAGCCGAGATCACACCACTGCACTCCAGCCTGGCGACAGAGCGAGACTCCGTCTCAATAAATAACCTTTCACTTTAACAAAATGAGAAATGTTACACCAAAATCAAGTCTAACTTTGTCAGCATAATTCTTGCTCTTTAATTTTCATCTTAATGTTTTAAGCCACAGACTGTTATGTTCTGTTTTCTTAAATGATGGTTGTAGAGGAAAAGAGTAATGCATATAAATTTCCAAATCTACTATCTTAGGTGGTCGTCGGTTTTCTGAGGGTACTTCAGCTGACAGAGAGATTCAGAGAACGTTAATGGAGGTAATATTTGGTAAAGGGGGTTTATAAAGAAACCAATGTTTATTAAATGAAGAACTGAACATTGCATATTTGATAGTCAAAATATATAGAACATTTTAAATGAAATATGAAATTTGAAAATATTGTCAGGAACAAACATGTTTCTCTATCACAAACTCTAAGAAAATGACTACTGGAAAATAAGGCTATCTGCCAAATTCCATTTGGTATACACCTGTACTATTCTGTGTTTTTTTGAGTAGATCAGTCATTCATATATTTAAATTCTTATGAATGTGATCTTGCGGTAGTTTTATGAAGACATTTTTTGTAATGGTCATATTAAGACTGTTGGCAATAAATGAGCTATAATTATGTATGAAGCTGCTCTAAAAATTATTTTTTTCTCTCACTTTATTGCTGAGACTGAGGCAACTAAAATAGTTTTGATAATTGAAGAGGATAGATGACAGAATGAAAGAATGCACATAAAGCCTTCCTCCAGTTTTACCTTTCCCCACTCCAAATTCTGTGAAAGTGATATCAAGAGTCCAAATACATTTTCCACTTCAAATAGAAACTAGGTAGCATGGGTAATGCAGTGTCAAATTCTTTCTCCTTAGAAGTATTTGAAAAATCTTTTTTCATAAATTATACAGATCCGCTCAGAAGATAACATAGCATTTGGAAATTATAAAATCTCTTAGAAACCTTAAATTGAGATATTTTTAAATAACACAAATACTCATTTTATTCAAGTAACTAATATATCATCAACTAACACATTGTCAGACTAGCTATATTTTAGAGAGTTTGTTAAATGCAGTAAGGTTTTTCATTTATTCAAGAAAACTTTAGAAATTGAGGACAATATTTTTTATGTCTTTTAGTATTTCTGTGTACAGTAGAATTATTTGAAAAAATAGGCCAGGCATGGTGGCTTCTGCCTGTAATCCCAGCACTTTGGGAGGCCCAGCTGGGCAGATCATGAGGTCTGAGCATTGAGACCAGCCTGACCAACGTAGCGAAACACCATCTCTAGTAAAGATACAAAAATTAGCTGGGCGTGGTGGCGTGTGCCTGTAATCCCAGTTACTCAGGAGGCTGAGGCAGGAGAATTGCTTGAACCCAGGAGGTGAGGTTGCAGTGGGCTGAGATCGCCCCATTGCACTCCAGCCTGGGTGACAGAGCGAGAGTCTGTCTCCAAAAAAAAAAAAAAAAAAAAAAGCAGTCCCAGCTACTCAGGAGGTTGAGGTGGGAGGACTGGTCGAGCCCAGGAGGTGAAGGTTGCAGTGAGCGATGATCAGGCCACAGTACTCCAGCCTGGGTGACAGAGTGAAACTCTGTCTCAAAAAAAAAAAAAAAAAAAAAAAAAAAAAATTATCAGTTTATTATCAAATTTGTAGAAAAATCTTTGTATCCATTTATCCTAATATAAATGTTATGTCTGACATATCATAAGCACTTTATATATTGGATTTTATTATTAGCTTTTCCTTTAAAAAATAATTGATGAAATTTTGGACATTGGAAATTAGATCCACATAGTTTAATTTCATAATTCTTGACATGATGGAAGCCTTCAGATTTATTAAAACTACCTGGTAGCTATAGAAAGATACATAGCTATTAAAAGGTACATAATCTAGCTTAGAACTTTGAGGCTAGAAAGTATATCCCTTTATATAAGAGAGAGAAAAAGAATTCTATCAAATGACCATTCTGAAGATAGAACATATCTATCTGTAGACAATACATTTCATGGCATTAGACATATAAAAGGTGTGTGCTATTTTTTTTAATGGTTAGAATTTTTGTAAAATCTGATTCTTAATATTCTTAGTTACTGAATCAAATGGATGGATTTGATACTCTGCATAGAGTTAAAATGATCATGGCTACAAACAGACCAGATACACTGGATCCTGCTTTGCTGCGTCCAGGAAGATTAGATAGAAAAATACGTGAGTTAAGATTCTTTACCTACTGTCCATTTCCCTTTGTGCCCATTTCTTTTTCCATACTTCACTTCACCTTCCACTGTATTTTAAAAAAGATAAAACTGGACTATAAAATAATTTTTTATTTTCAGATATTGATTTGCCAAATGAACAAGCAAGATTAGACATACTGAAAATCCATGCAGGTCCCATTACAAAGCATGGTGAAATAGGTAAGGAAGTCATCTATTTTATATGTATTTACATTTGGTAAATGAAGAAAAATACTTTTAGAAATTACTGATAGTTTCCTAAATCTGGTTTTAAATTCAGCAAATGTGGTGGTTTTAAATTCAGCAAATAGTTATTGAGCATCTACTATAAGCTAGGAACCATTGTAAGTGTTTTGTAAGGGCTGACAATATAGCAAGGAACAAAACAGACAAATTTCTGCCATTAGAGAACTTATATTCTTGTTAGGAAAAAACAGATAAAGTTAGTAAAACAAAGTATAATAGATGATGATAAGTGCTATGGAGAAAAATAAAGCAAGAAAGTGGGGGGCGGGCATGGTGGCTCACTCCTGTAATCCTAATGGTTTTGGAGGCCGAGGCAGAAGGACCGCTTGAGGCCAGGAGTTTGAGGTTGCAGGGAGCTATGATCATGTGACTGCACTCCAGTTTGGCAAGACGCTGTTTCAGGGGAAAAAAAAAGAAAAGGGGGATAGGAAATTAGGGAAGTGCCAGGACCAGGCATGAGGATATGTTTTTAAATGACAGGGAGGATTAGCACAGGGAAGGCCTTACCAAGAAGGTAATTTATTTTTTAGAGACAGGGTCTCACTCTTGCCCAGGCTGGAGTGCAATGGTGTGATCCCAGCTCACTGCAACTTCTGCCTCCCAAGTTCAAATGATCCTCACACCTCAGCCTCCTGATTAGCTGGGACTACAGGCACACACCACCAACCCTGGCTTGTTTTTTTGTAGGGATGGGGTTTCACCATGTTGCCCAGGCTGATCTTGAACTACTGGGCTCAAGCAATCTGCCCACCTCGGCCACCCAAAGTTCTGGGATAACAGGCGTGTGCCACTGCACCCGGCCTGGTTGTTTGTTTGTTTGTTTTTTAAATTGATTCCTGTTAAATGCTGACAATAGGTCAGATAAAGAGTTCTCAGAGTAGACCTTTGGATTTAACTATATGGAGGTCATTGGTAATCTTGTCAAAAGTAGCTTCTTGGGAGTGGTGGAGGTGAAAGCCTATTTCAGATGGGTTTCAGAGAGATTGGGAGGAGAGGCATTGAGTTTAGACATTTCTTTTAAGAGTTCTACAGAGGGGGCAGAAGAAGTAGAAGGGGAATGCCGATGAGGAGTTGGCAGAGTTTTCTATAAGATGGAAGAGTTTATGACCCCCCTGCCCTTTTTTTTTTTTTTTTAATAATGCTACTGGGAATGACCTAGGAGAAAGAGAAATTGGCAATGTTCTTTCCTTGAAGAGGGATTGGCCCTATATATATGTGTACTTTTATGAGACTGGAGGAAAGGCAGAGTACATAGATGCTTATGATGACAGGTTCTTAGATAGTGCAGGAACTTGTGGAAGTGTTTTTTTCTGAATGCTTCTGTTTTCTCAGTGAAGTAGAATGCACGTTCAGAATGAAGATAGGGAAGTGTTCTTAGAGATTTGAGGACAAAGGAGAAGGTATAAAGTCATTATCTATGGAAGTGAGGGATTGGACTAGGGTGCAGGCCAGTAAAACATGGCTTGTGAACCAAATTCTGCCTGCCCTGTGTTTTTGGAAACACACAAAGTTTTGTTGTAACCCAAGCATGCTCATTTATCTGTTGTCTATGGCTGCTTTCCTACTGGAATAGCTGAGTTGAATAGTTACAACAGAAACCATATGGCTTGCAAAGCATACAGTATTTACTCTCTGGCCCTTTACATAAAAAGTTTGCTGACCTCCAGACTAGGGAAATCTAGTATAATTTCCAGGCAGCCTTAAAAACTCTTTAGAAGTTAATGGTCCAGAATAATGACAAATAGCTGATTGTTGAATTTCACTATCTTCATTGCCCCTGTTAGAGAGTTTTGAGCTGGAAAGACCGAACTGAACAAAGGATGTCAATGTATAGGTTTCTTCCACAAATACTGAGCTCTTGCTAGATGCCAGATACTGTGCTAGCCTTGGGAATTCTTGCTCTCAGGAAGCTTACAATGAACTTAAACCTGATTAAAGACAATTCATGAATATATGTGTGATTTCAAATAGAGAACGACATGCCCTATATTGCCTGACCAAACGGTGCATCATCAAAGTTATTCAAACTGTAGTAGCCTGTGCTGTCTTACTTCTCTTCCTATTCTGTATCAGATCCATTGTTGCTACCCCAATCCTATAGCTCTTTGATTCATGTCTGTTATGTGGGTGGATGGAGAACTCACTTTATTACTGCTACCATAGATCTGATACTTCACCACTTGAATCTTGCACAGAAACCAGAGAAGCTAGCTAATGCATGCTGTAGCATTTAAAAATTCCATGTGATACAATTATGTATGATTACATTTCAGTTTTGCTATACTTTATATTTGGCTTGTATGATTAAAGTAAACAAAGTAAATTCCATTGTTATAATTGGTTTTGAGTGTTATAGGTTTATTCAAATCCAAGATTTGATTACAGTTTTGATAAGAGTCACAGCTTAACAGGTATCTGGAGTTCACATGTGCATAGCTATTTCACTGTATAAAAATAGATTAAGATATTTTGAGATTTTGGTGATATTTCCTGTTTTTAAAGTTTCAGGGGTGTGTCTAATTCTTCTTGGTGCTGGTTTATTTAACAGAAGTCTTAGTTTTTGGATATTAATATTGTGGAAAGTTAACAGAGCTGATGTCTAGCTGATCAAACTCAAAGTAAGCTCTTCAGTTTAAATTTTCGATGTGGGCATAAATCAAGTAAAGGTCTAATTTTTAAAACTAATTTCCAGTATTTTTTCTAAACAGATTATGAAGCAATTGTGAAGCTTTCGGATGGCTTTAATGGAGCAGATCTGAGAAATGTTTGTACTGAAGCAGGTAAGGGTTTAAAGTACAGTTTTACTATTGATTTTGATTTTTAAAATTTGCTGAAACTGTTTTGAGTTTATCTGAAAGCGGAGCATAGACTTTGCAAGGATTTGGGTTCATGCTGTTCTTTTAGGAATCGATTCCAGGAAATAGGAGAAGCAGGGCAAGTGAGATGGAAAGAGGGAAAGCTAATATGAGGGTGCACCATTGAGGTAGGTGCTGTAGGAAAGGGAGGTTAGATCTCAGAGAAGCATACAGAATGCCTTCCAGGATCACCCAGCTGAAAGTTGGGAGACTAGAACATTGATTTACCAGTACTCATCCCCCATTGGATGAGATTTGTCCTTGGTAGTGTTGACTCCTTTGCACTTCTACCTGCCTTAGGGCAGAATGTGGAAGGAGAGGCATGTAATAGAACACTGGCCCCCTAAAGTAAGTCTGAGGTGCTACAGAATTGCCTACCACACCTGTGGCTGGAATTAGAATGGGCCAGCACCAGAGGTATCTGCTGCAAAATGAATTGTGTATGTTGTCTAATACTAGTCTGTGAGCAGTGTTTTGAAAGATTGATTTATGAATTATGTGATCATGCCATTTGTGTAAAATGTAGTATTTAAATATAATTCTCTGTGGATTGTGTGATACTATTTTTTTCACTTCTACATGGTATGTAAAAATTGTGTGATGCTATTTTTATTTCCAGTACCAAGTAGCTTTAATACCCTACCTAGAATCATTTAGTTTTTGTCTTCCATACAGAATCTTTAAATAGAAAAAATAAACTTCTACAGTATAGTTACTGACTTTATAGGTTATAGATTTTCTTAAGTATTAGAATATGTGATTTCCTCTTGCTTTTCATATCATGTTTAGCCTTAGTAAATTCAACACAGTGTTTAAAGTGGCTGCTCAGGGAGGGCTTCTCAGTACAGGTATCTTCATGGGTATTGGGTATGCTGTGAGTCAGTATCTGCATCAGATATGCAGGTCAGATACTTCTGTTCACGTCTAGAAATGCTGTCAATGCAAATTAGGGTAAATCATGCTCACAGAGCGTTATCAATAAACTAAACTATTTAGAGGTAAACTGTCATATAGCTTGAACAAGTTAGAGTAATTTATGACATTCTCTTTCCAAAATGTAAACCAGACCAAATTATTATCAGAAGATTGCTTTGGTTAGATTGTAATCCAAATGCAAGCTGTGCAGTGAACCTAAAGGCTGTTGCTATCAAAATATACGCTTTTTTTCCTTACATATTCTTACAAATTTACCTTTAGTTATTGCAAATGAGCTATAACTTCTGTGTGGATTAAAATTGTAGTTCTTTTTTAACTAGGTGGGACATTCACATCTGGAAACATACTGAAATTTTTATCTTCTTTTTAGACTTGAAGGCTTTTTTGTTAACATTTTTCGTAAGTTAAAATACACTTGATTCAACTACAGTTGCCCTTCCTGTTCAGGTCCTGACATTATCTCTTTTGGATTATAATACATCTCTATTTTATTTTTTCTTTTGAGACGGAGTCTCACTCTGGCCCAGGCTGGAGTGCAGTGGCATGATCACTGCTCCCTGTAGCCCAGACCTGATCATTTCTCCTTTATCTTCCAGTAGCTGGGACTATAGGCGTGCGCCACCACACCCAGCTAATTTTTGTATTTTTTGTAGAGACGGGTTTCACCATGTTGTCCAGGCTGGTCTCAAATTCCTGGGCCCAAGTAATCCACCCACCTGGGCCTCCCAAAATGCTGGGATTACAGGCACAAGCTACCAGGCCTGGCCAGGCATCTCTTGTGCAGATTTACTTATTCACTAAAGTGATTTGGAAAATAGCCATGTGTGCAAGGTTTACAAAAATAACTTACCTAGTTTCACTGTAGCTTTCTAAACAAGTTTTGAAACTTTGTTATTTTTTAAAAATCAGTCATTTCCATTCACCCGGTTTCTAGGACAACATAGATTGTTTCCTTATGTAGAAATCTAGAAAGGAAGTAATCCTTGAAATCTTCTATATTAACTCCCTCATTTTATGTAAGTGAAAATTCAATACAGGCAGATCCTCAGTGGAAATTTTAGAATTCATTTAATTAGTAGATAGCAATAAACTTACCTGCTTTAGTTTATCATGAGTTAGGATTATCTCAAAATCTGGGACCCATATCCATAACACAACTAATGTTTAAAAAACTGCATACAAGGAAACTTTTACCCCTTTGTCAAATACTGTTTGAGAAGGTACTTGTCAAAAAGTTGAAGGAAAAAATTGAGTTGTGATACTCAAATATGAATCAAATAAAAATACCAATTTGTACATAAATTAGGTAAATTTTAACACATGAATAATGACTCCGAGTTTTGCTAAAACCCGCTGTTGGCTTTCTATATGATTCCCTATTCTCAACGTTTTTGATTATTAACAAAGAATGGCTATCAAACTTACTCAAGATTTTTTTTCCCCCATAAATGTGTGCCTTCCAGCAAATTGCTTCCTGTCAAGTTAAGTTACGCTTAAAATGTGTATGTGTTGGTAGTTTTGATTGCTTCGGTTTTTTATGCTTGTTTTTATTAAGAGCTACAATCAGATACAGGGACCATTTAAGCCTGATTTTATTTTATTTTATTTTTTTGAGACAGAGCCTCACTCTGTCACCCAGACTGGAGTGCAGTGGTGCGATCTTGGCTCACTGCAACCTCTGCCTCCCGGGTTCAAGCGATTCTCCTGCCTCAGCCTCCCAAGTAGCTGGGGTTACAGATGCCCACTACTACGCCCAGCTAATTTTTGTGTTTTTAGTAGAAACGGGGTTTTACCATGTTGGCTAGGCTGGTCTCGAACTCCCGACCCCAGGTAATCCGTCCACCTTGGCCTCCCAAAGTGTTGGGATTACAGGTGTGAGCCACCGTGCCCAGCCTTGAACCGGATGTTAAATATTCATATAATGGTCATACCTGTTTTTGTTTTAGAACATAATCACAACACCGCTATGGATTTTTTTTTTTTTTTTTTTTTGAGATGGGGTCTCGCTCTGTTGCCAGGCTGGAGTGCAGTGCCACTATCTCAGCTCACTGCAACCTCCGCCTCCTGGGTTCAAGCCATTCTCCTGCCTTAGCCTCCCGAGTAGCTGGGACTACAGGCGCGCGCCACCATGCCCAGCTAATTTTTTTTTTTTTTTGTATTTTTAGTAGAGATGGGGTTTCACCGTGTTGGCCAGGATGGTCTTAATCTCTTGACATTGCAATCTGCCCATCTTGGCCTCCCAAAGTGTTGGGATTACAGGCGTGAGCCACCGCACCCGGCCTGTGGATTTTAATTGAAAAAAGATAGTGGTTTTTAGCAAATTACAACTACTGGCTCAGAAGTAATAAATCTAAGCTTCACATTTATTCCATAGAATTATATTGTTTTTCTTATAATGAACATATAATTCATATGTGATATATAGCAGTCATGTTGTTTTATTCTCTACAGGTATGTTCGCAATTCGTGCTGATCATGATTTTGTAGTACAGGAAGACTTCATGAAAGCAGTCAGAAAAGTGGCTGATTCTAAGAAGCTGGAGTCTAAATTGGACTACAAACCTGTGTAATTTACTGTAAGATTTTTGATGGCTGCATGACAGATGTTGGCTTATTGTAAAAATAAAGTTAAAGAAAATAATGTATGTATTGGTAATGATGTCATTAAAAGTATATGAATAAAAATATGAGTAACATCATAAAAATTAGTAATTCAACTTTTAAGATACAGAAGAAATTTGTATGTTTGTTAAAGTTGCATTTATTGCAGCAAGTTACAAAGGGAAAGTGTTGAAGCTTTTCATATTTGCTGCGTGAGCATTTTGTAAAATATTGAAAGTGGTTTGAGATAGTGGTATAAGAAAGCATTTCTTATGACTTATTTTGTATCATTTGTTTTCCTCATCTAAAAAGTTGAATAAAATCTGTTTGATTCAGTTCTCCTACATATATATTCTTGTCTTTTCTGAGTATATTTACTGTGGTCCTTTAGGTTCTTTAGCAAGTAAACTATTTGATAACCCAGATGGATTGTGGATTTTTGAATATTATTTTAAAATAGTACACATACTTAATGTTCATAAGATCATCTTCTTAAATAAAACATGGATGTGTGGGTATGTCTGTACTCCTCCTTTCAGAAAGTGTTTACATATTCTTCATCTACTGTGATTAAGCTCATTGTTGGTTAATTGAAAATATACATGCACATCCATAACTTTTTAAAGAGTATGATTCAACGTAATATTTGCTAATATGTGACTGGGTTTTCTTGGTTTATGTAAGACGATAGGTCCCTGTTGAGGATGTGGAGGTCTGGACCCTCTTCCAGGAAAAATTCTAACATACAATTTTGCGTATACTATAATTTCAGGAAATTTATTGTTTCCCAAGCTCATCCAAGGACTCTTTAGGTATGTATGGATACCTGGCTAAGAGTGTATGATGTAGGGGATGTAGGAGTGTCAGAAATGTTCAAAACATGATTTCTGTTACCTATACATGATTCTTATATCATCTGGCAATAAAAGCTATAACAAAGTACACAAAGGAATCATCATTGGGCATCAATAATTATTAAAGATGCTGGTGAAAAGAAAAGACAACTTCAGTTTCATAAACACTAAAGAACCAAAAATACATGACCTAGCTAATTATACAATAATTCTTCAAATTAAAAACTTCCTAGCAGGATATTATGTGCCTTTTTATAATTTTAGAAGATGAACAGTTAAAATAGAAAATGGAGTGGTCAAGTTAGCCATCTCATACTCAAATTATTGTACAGTTCTATTTCTATGTGTTGGCAGTGCATTTTATGTGACAAAAAGTAGAATGTAGGGGGAGGTTTAAGTCAAATATCTATGTGATCTTTTCACTTATAATTTGCATTTAGTTAAGGAGTGACTATCTTGCCTTTTACCTTTGTGCTGGCGGTGGTTTTTTAAAGAATCAATTTGGTGTACAAATCCTTTCTTTCTTTTTTTATTTTTGATTTTTTTTGAGATGGAGTTTCGCTCTTGTTGCCCAGGCTGTAGTGCCATTGCACTATCTCAGCTCATTGCAACCTCCGCCTCCCGGATTTAAGCGGTTCTCCTGCCTCAGCCTTCTAAGTAGCTGCGATTACTGGCATGCGCCACCACACCCAGCTAATTTTTGTATTTTTAGTAGAGACGGGGTTTCTCCATGTTGGTCAGGCTGGTCTCAAACTCCCGACCTCAGGTGATCCACACGCCTCAGCCGCCCAAAGTGCTGGGATTACAGGCGTGAGCCTCCGCGCCCGGCCCAAATCTTTTCACCATGGGTTTACAGGCATAACGCCACCACACCCAGGGAATTTTAAAATTGTTTTTTAGAGAGGGGGGTCTTACTATTTTGCTCAGGCTGGCAAACTCCTTTTAAAAGATATTGAAAGCCATCTGGTTTATTATTTTTATTTCAAAATATAATAATGGAAGAAATTTTACAGTATTATATACAATTTACTGAGTCAGCTATCAGTTCCTTTTTCTGATTTTTTTCTAGTTGCCATTCTTGATATTTTCTAGGTAATCTAAACTGAGTTGTATTTTCAAGTACTCTTAAAATACTTTAAAAAATTTTAAATTGAGCCGTTTAATTCTTTGCTTAAAGGTGATGGGTATTTTATTTTCTGTATGGCACCACGTGATTTTAAATTGAACTCTTCATTTATTAGTCATTTGGTTATAAACTCAGCATAGATTGCGCAGAATTTTGAGAGGGGAGAAACTATAGCTTTCCTTTCGGATGCCACTGGTGGGTAGCCTGTTTTGCCTGTTTGTTCTTATGTTAAAGAAGGGCTCTACGTCCTGTCTGGAAAGGGCGGAGCTGGCTCGGACCGCCCCACTGCCTTTCCCAGGACCTTCACTCGTCCTGTCCCACCGCAGCCCCGCCTCCTCCACGCCGGGTGAGCTGTGGCCTAGCAGCATCCGAGGCTCCGCCCCCCCCACCCCCAAGCGTCTGCGCTCTAGCGAAGGGGCGGAGCAGGGCGGTGGCGCGCTGACACCTGGCGGCGGCGGAGGGCGGGCAGAAGGCGAGCGTGGGCTGGGATTGGCTGAGGCGACGCGGGTGGAGGGGGCGGGAAGGAGGCGGGGAGACGGTTGTCGGGCTGGTTCCTGTGCTGGATCCTGGGCGGCCTGAGGGGTACGGAGACTCTGGGGGAGGGAGACGGCAGCGGCATGGCGGCCGGGTGTAAGACGCCCGACCCTCCTCTTCCCTGTCTTCGCCGCCGCCGCTGCTGGAGTCACTGGGACCCTGTAGTCTGCGTGTGTTAGTTGTAATCCCGCCGCCCTCCTGTCAGCCCTCCGCTCCGCCGGCCCTCCTTCCTTCCGCCGCCGCAGCCAGCCCGAGGGTCGGCCGGCTGTGTAACACTCTCCCACCCCACCCACCAGCCCGCGGGCCAGCACCATGGAGGACGTGAAGCTGGAGTTCCCTTCCCTTCCACAGTGCAAGGAAGACGCCGAGGTGAGTCGCTCCCGTGGCTGCCACGCACAGGCCTCTCCCTGTGGCTCCGGCCGAGGGGCGACCCCAGTCCCCAACCGTCTTAGCCGCCACCTGTACGGGCGCCCTGCCTCCTAAGGGCGTCCCGGGACCTCTGAAGCCGAGCGGTCGGCTCCAATCCCCACTGAGTTGCTCGTCCTCTCCAGACCCCGCGGAGGGGCAGCGTCTGGTGTACTTACATTTGAGAAGAGGAAAAGCAATCCCTTAGTCCCTAGGCTTGGCATCCAGGACTGACCTGGAGTAAGGTTCCTCTTTTATTGTCAAAGTAACAAGAGAGCGAAGTTGGTTTAGTCTCCTTTTGAGGAATATCTGTGGTGTAAACGATTCACTTGTGGGACACATGGCCCCACATGTGAAATAGACTCGGCGCCTGAAGTTTGGAAGCGCGCCTTCGAAAAGTTTCCCAAAGTTTTTTGTTTGTTTTTAGACAAAGCTATGACCCGCACAACAAAGTGTCTCAAAGCTAGCTCATCTTAATCTGAGAACTCTTAATCAGAAATCTTGACCTTTGGAGGAAAATTAATATTGAAAGTAAAATACTATATACCTTTTCTCCTGGTTTCTAATTTGTGGCTATTTTTACTCCACCTTAGATCCCTGCCTGCTGTTTCTACTCGGATTTTTTTTCATCTGTTGCTAGTTTAACATTTTACGGCATTGCAGACTACTAAATTAGAATTTTCTGGAGGCTAAATTAACAAGACGAAGATACTCAGCTATACTTTAGTAGGATTAAGAAAGAAAATCTAACATCGCTAGTTAAAAATACCTTTAAAGTAGTTGGGAAAAATAAAGCCCTATTTTTAGGAGACCATTCAATTTATTCCGAATATTTATTCTATTGAATATCTTCATTGGAGGTTCACTTTTTTTTTTTTTTTTTTTTTGAGACGGAGTCTTGCTCTGTCGCCAGGCTGGAGTGCAATGTGGCGCGATCTCGGCTCACTGCAACCTCCGCCTTCCGGGTTCAAGCGATTCTCCTGCCTCAGCCTCCTGAGTAGCTGGAACTACAGGCGCGCACCACCACGCCCAGCTAATTTTTGTGTTTTTAGGGGAGACGGGTTTCACCATTTTGGCCAGGGTGGTCTCGATCTCCTGACCTTGTGATCCGCCCGACTCGGCCTCCCAAAGTGCTGAAATTGCAGGTATGAGCCACCGCGCCCGGCCTAGGTTCACATTTTTGTTTGGAGGGCTCTCTTGTGGTATTGATGCTTGACAATTACATTTGTTTTAAGAGTAGAGACTTTGTTTGTGACTATCACTGTTGCAAAATGTAGTGCAGTGGTGTGATCTCGGTTCACTGCAGTCTCGAACTCCCATGCTCAAGCCATCCTTTCACCTCAGCCTCTGGAGTAGCTGGGACCATGCCGGGCTAATTTTTCTTTTTTTTTTTTTTTGTAGCGATGGGTTTTTTCTCCAGGCTGGTCTCGAACTCTTGGCCTCAAGATCCTCCCGCCTTGTCCTCCGAAAGTGTTGGGATTACAGGTGTGAGCCACTGCACCTGGCCCAAGAATATACTCATGGTTTTTTTTTTTTTTTTTTTTTTGACACAGAGTTTCACTCTTGTTGCCCCAGGCTGGAGTGCAGTGGCGCTGTCTCAGCCCACCGCAGCCTCTGCCTCGGGTCCCGGTTCAAACAGTTCTCCTGCCTAAGCCTCCTGAGTAGCTGGGGATTACAGGCGCGCACCGCCAGGCCCAGCTTTTTTTTTTTTTTTTTTGAGACAGAGTCTCACTCTGTCGCCCAGGCTGGAATGATCTTGCAGTGGTGCGATCTGGGCTCACTGCAAGCTCTGCCTCCCGTGTTCACGCCATTCTCCCGCCTCAGCCTCCCGAGTAGCTGGGACTGCAGGCACCCGCTACCACACCGGGCTAATTTTTTTGTATTTTTAGTAGAGACGGGGTTTCACCATGTTGGCCAGGATGGTCTCAAACTCCTGACCTTGTGATCCGCCTGGCTTGGCCTCCCAAAGTGCAGGGATTACAGGCGTGAGCTACCGCGCCCGGCCAATATACTCTTAGAAAACAGGAGGTCATATTTAGGCTAGTTATAAAAATGAATTTATACTTAACATACAATAATGTGAATGAAGAGTATGCTTTTATTTATTTATTTATTTTTTTGAGACGGAGTTTCACTCTTGTTGCCCAGGCTGGAATGCAGTGGCGTGATCTCCGCTCACTGCAACCTCCGCCTCCCACGTTCAAAAGATTCTCCTGCCTCAGCCGCCTGAGTAGCTGGGATTACAGGCGCCCGCCACCACTCCCGTCTAATTTTTGTACTTTTAGTAGAGACGGGGTTTCACCATGTTGGCCCTGCTGGTCTGGAACGCCAGACCTCAAGTGATCCGCCTGCCTCGGCCTCCCAAAGTGCTGGGATTACAGGCTTGAGCCACCGCGAAGGAGTATGCTTTCATATCCTCAAAATGATTCAGTAATTTCAGCACTTAACTGCAAGCAACCTTACAAATAATGTAGAGGAGTCCCACATTCCAGGTGAAGAAATTGTACCTTACTGAAAATAAGTGATGTGCCAAATTAACAACACAGTAGCACAAGACACAGAAGGACCTCGGCCTCCTAATTCATTGTTCTTTTTAATACACTTCAATTCTTCCCTGCCCTAATCTTAAAAATTCTAGTTTAAAATTTTCCCGGACTTTGCATTTAATCTGTTACTGTGTATATCATTATGTATGCCTTATTCCTGCAAAACTGATAAATTCTTGCTGGGAATATATACCTGTCTTTTCTGTGTGGGACTTGAAAACACACTCTTTTTTTTATGCTACCAGATGTGTGGGGGTTTTTCCATACCAAGCAGTTTTCCAGCAGGCATGAACTGAATGTCCCATAATTCAATTCTGACACATATGTACCTGAAGTTAGTCAGATCCCACAGGTTAATGGCTCAGTCCCGCAAGGCTGCCCCCAACCTCAGATGGTAATCACAAGTAGTAGGTTGTCACCTATACACTCCTGACTGACTGTAAATCAGGGTTCCCGTTACTCCCTCCTTGGTTCAGTTAACTTGCTAGAGTGACTTACAGGACTCAGGGAAGTACATTTACGGGTTTATTATAAAGGATACTACAAAAGATCAGTGAACAGCCAGTAGGAAGAGATGAATAGGGCAAGGTATGGGGGAAGGGGCACACCACCATCCCAGTGTCACCAGTAGAGTCATGATTGCAAGCTGTCCAGGTTCTTGGCGTTTTGAACAAAGAATTGGACAAAACTCCAAGCAAAGAAAGAATGAAGCAACAAAAGAACAAAAGCAGGGATTTATTGAAAACAAAAGTACACTCCACAGTGTGGGAGCTGCCCTAGCAGCACTCCCCCCCGACCCCCGCTGCTTTACCGAATCTTCTTGGGTCCAAATACCCCCTAGAACTTTCCCATTGGCCATTCCATGCTCACCTCATGTAAATGAAGAGGTGGCTTGCAATTGGTCTGATTGGTTGCCAGACCCACCCCCACATCAGTCCGCTTGGTTGTGGACAGCGACCATTCAGTGGCTAGAGTGAAGTTACAAAGTTGCAAACGAAGATTCCACCCGCAGTCAGTCTGATTTGTTGAGGACAGCCAATTTCCCGTCTACTGTGCAGAAAAGGTAGGTGGTTTGCAACGGGAGTAGCCTCTGGTCCTTTTGTTACTTAGGCGTGGAAAGTTAGGGTTTTCCCTTCAAGTTAGTTCTGGGAAGTCGGGGTGAAACAGCCTTAGATTCCCTGCCTCCAGACCCTATTCACCTGCCTCACTAGCACCTCCAGTGTTTTCATCCAGAAGCTCAACAAATCTTATTCAACGGTTTTTATAGAACTTCATCTCCATCCCCTCCCATAGAGGTGTGTGTGTGTGTGAGGCTGAGAGTTCAACCCTCTTGTCACATGGTCTTTCTGGTGACTGGCCCCACCCTAAATCACTTCATTAGCATAATCAGGTTTGATCAAAAATAGTGGCTCATAAATAACCAAAGACACTCCTATTAGAAAATTCCAAGAGTTTTAGGAGGACTGTGACAGGAACTGGAGAGAAAGACCATGTATTTCATATTATATCACAGGGACAGAGGTAATGGTTAAAGCTAGTGGATAATGATGCAAGTATTGTCTGCTGAAAGCCAATTCGTTCCGTATTTCTTAATATTGCATGTTTGGTATCTTTTGGTTGCAAGCAACAAAAACGAATTTAAGAAAAAGAAGAAGTAATTAAATCCGGCCGGGCGTGGTGGCTCACGCCTGTAATCCCAGCACTTTGGGAGGCCGAGGCGGACGGATCACGAGGTCAGGAGATCAAGACCATCCTGGCTAACACGGTAAAACCCCGTCTCTACTTAAAAAAAAATTAGCCAGGTATGGTGGCGGGCGCCTGTAGTCCCAGCTACTTGGGAGGCTGAGGCAGGAGAATGGCATGAACCCGGGAGGCGGAGCTTGCAGTGAGCCGAGATCTAGCCACTGCACTCCAGCCTGGGAGACAGAGCGAGACTCCATCTCAAAAAAAAAAAAAGTAATTAAATCCAGAAGGGTAGTGGTGCAGCTAGTTTCAAGGATTTGACCAAACCCAGGTATTATAAAGCATCAGAACTGCCTTTGTCTCTCATGAGTTCTTATCTCTACTTTCTCTCGGAGTCTCTGCTTTCTCTCTGGCTTCTCCAAGATGTGAAGCTTGGCCATCTGGGGTCACACCTTTATGAGCTTGGTTATTGAGGAATAAAACTGAACACTTCCAGCTTCTGTGTTTGAAATCTAGAGGAATTGCCCAATTTAATTCATGTTCCCACACTTTGGATCAGTCACTGTAGCCAGGAAAGGGCAGATACAATGAGGGGCCCCATCTAGGTCATATCCCTAATTCCTTGGCTAGAGGAGTGAAGTTTATTGTTGGTAGCCCTCCCACCAAAACCATAGGAACATTTCCACAGGTAGAGGGTACTTTCTGGGCTGATAAAACTATACATAGGGGCCACATAAATAAACTATTAAATAGGAGCATATAGTTATTCATAATAAACTGACTAATAAGCACTGTTAATTTTCTAATCTCCAGTGAGATAATGTAAAGTGTCAAATGGTCTTAAGTAGTTAGAGTGATCAGCCAGCATTGTTTCTTTGACACAGGGAGCACTACCTGGAAATCCAAATTACAGACCAAATTTAATAAAAACTGAATTCAAGCAGAGAGTTCAGGGAATGCTTTTAATGTTAATGTGATCAAGCTATGATAGGTTGATGATTCTGTCACCTCTACAAGAATATTACTTTCACGTTTCTTGAAATATTGGTATTCTTTGTATAGGACAGTGCTAACAAAAATTTAGATCAGTCAGTTTGTGAAAAGATTGTTACTTTTTTTGTTTAAAACTTTTTCATGAATTTCCATTGTTTTGAAGATGAAATTTAAACCCTTGACATTATTTCCAGGGTCCTGTATGGTCTGACATCTGCATACCTCTCTAACCTCATTATGAGCTACTCTTCTTGCTCCTTTCTCTGTAAGCCCTAGCCATATTTATCTTCTCTCAGTTCCTGGAATGCTTTAATTTCCACCCCCCGCCTTCAGAGCCTTTATGTTTGCTATTTTCCCCTGCCTTGGCTGCCAGCACCTTCCTTACCCTCACCTAATTAACTGCTTACCCTTGGGTTAGATCCCACTTTAGGCAACATTTCTTCAGAGAAGCTTTTCCTGTTTGCCAGTTTCTCTAACTCCTTTCCTCATCCTCTAGACTGGTTCAATTCCCCAGCTACTATGGCACTTGGTACTTTAATACTTACCTTTGTAACATTTAACAATTTTTGGTCATTGTCTATTTTCCATTTAGACTGAACCTTTCATAAGAGAGCTTAGATATTAGGAAGAAGGAGTAGCTGATAGTACCAATTTTTAAGCAAATTGGTTGTAGCTGGGGCTATTGGTTTTATAATTTAAAAGTTAATGTTTTATCTTCTCTTCTGACAGAAAGTGAAATATTTATTTCCATTGCAGTTTAGCAACTTTCCATGTTTCCCTTTCCATTTTTCTTGTGAATCCCGTAGTACAGGATCAAAGATAGGAATTATTTAACATACATGGCTGAGGATTCCTTTTCTAGCTCCTTTATTTAGAATGGTGCTTTTTAACCCTTACTCTAGAGTAAGGAATTTTTTAAAAATACTGATGCGTGGACCCTACCAGCACCTATTGTAGTTTAATTTATCTGAATGAAGCTAGATGATTCTAATGTTCAGTCAGGTTTAAAAATTGCTGGTTTAGAAAATATCTTACTTGAGTACTCTTCTGCCCCTCCAGTCCCTGCCCACCTTCTCTTTTTATTTGAGTGAAACATTTTCTTTTCTCCTTTGATTTAAGCAAAGCTCAAGCTTGGTGTGGGAATGAAAGGAAAAGGACTTTGGAGGGATTTACCTATTTTTTCTAGGAGAGAAAGTGCAATACTAACTTTTCTGTTTTGTGGAATGTCCCAGTGCAAGTCTAGTATTCTGATGTTTTTTTTCTTCCCCAAACTGTTGCCCCCCACCTCCAGCCTATGTACAATTTGTGTTTTATTTTAGTATTGTGTATATAGGATTCAGCACTATCCTCAAATGTATGAACATATCCCCTGTGGATAAGGGGGGACTACTGTATTTGTAAAAGTTCATATTTCATATTTCAATGCATATAAGAATTATTTTATCTAATGGTTACAGTCTATATCCTTCATTGATGTGTTTATTTGAGGGTCTTTGAACATTTTTGTAACTTTTCTCTATCCAAATGCAGTTTTATAGATCATTTTTATGGAAAGGAAGGAGATAATTCGGAAGGATGTTTTAACATGTGGTACTTTCTACCTCATGTTGATCGAAAGATTTTCACTTGTGAATTAATTTGTCTCAGAATCATGGTGTTTCACAATAGAGGGTTATTTTGGTTTATCTGGCTTGCCTTGGTTTGGTTAATGTGGTTGAACTGCTTGGCTACTCATAAAGTTTGGGAAATTGATTTCTACTAATTAATTACAATAGTAACTTAAAATAGATCATTGCTGGTGATATGGAGATGCCTCCATTAATACCACGGTTTCTAAAATGATAGATTTCAGGAGTAGTGTGAGCAGGCTGAGATTAAGAATTAAGTGTGATAGTGGCAAGACTTGGTTATTAGACGTGTGTTCAGACGGATGTGTGGTAGAAGAAGACTATGAGCATTCAGACTTAAAATCTTGGTTAGTAAGATCCATAGACAGGCAGGGTTTTTTTGTTTGTTTGTTTGTTTTAACAGGTTGGAGTGCAGTGGCAGGATCTCAACTCACTGCAAGCTCCGCCTCCCGGGTTCACGCCATTCTCCTGCCTCAGCCTCCCGAGTAGCTGGGACTACAGGCGCCCGCCACCATGCCCGGCTAATTTTTTGTATTTTTGGTAGAGACGGGGTGTCAACCATGTTAGCCAGGATGGTCTCGATCTCCTGACCCTGTGATCCACCCTCCTTGGCCTCCCAAAGTGCTGGGATTACAGGCGTGAGCCACTGTGCCCGGCCAACAGGCAGGTTTAAGGTTTGTTCTGTAGGTGGTAATCTGGGTTAGGGCAGCAAAGAAGGTGGATTCTGAGATCAGCATCTGATGATAACACCAGGAATAGTTCCAAATGAACTTTTCTGTGAGAGAAAGCTTTCTAGGTTTCAAAGGATCCATACCTATTGCAGTAATTACTAATGTTCTCTGAAGAAGGCTTCTTATCTGTCCTGTGACTAGGAATAATTTTTCATTCCCTCCTACTATACAACTTGCTTTTCCCTCTTATAATATCTTCCATATATATATATATCTCAAGAGAGTCTTTCATGTTGTATTACATATAACCTTATGGAAAGCTCAAAAGTTCTTTGAAGCCTCTTGTTTTGCTAAAAGGTTCAGGTAAATTTTGCATTCTATCCCATATGTGCCTGTTTGTTTTAATATAAAAATTGTTTAAATTAGTAACCAGTGAAAATACTGTTTCTCCCTAAAGAATTTTTTTGATAAAATTGATACTTCAGTGGCTTTGAGTGTCTTTTGGCATATTGCCAAATGAAGGTGTTGAGGAAATGCCACTCCAAAATATGACACCTTGATATATTGATTACTTTAAGTTGGAAACACTTGCAAAGTAGCAAATGCAAAGAAACACTTTCTCTGAACTCCTGTTACCTACCTAAGGACAGATCCTCCAAAAGAAGCTCAGTTTGCTCCTAGGGAGTTTGATCAACCAGGGAAGATTGTCTCTTATCACTGGAGAGGAGAGTAAAAGTCAGCACCACACCCAGACAAACTGACACAAAGTATCATCTATTATTATTCTAAGGGCCCATTTATCTTTCTCCAGAATTGTTCTTCTAAATTGCCTGTATACCTCTACCCCCATGCTATATAAAGGGTATATAAACTCCTAAATATCACTTTTTTTTTTTTTGTATACACGTTTCTTTCCTGTGATACCCCCATGCACATAATGAATCTGTATACCTTTTCTCCGTTTAGTTTATTTCATAGACTGGTTTGAAATATCACGGATTTTGTTTGTTTTTGGTATACACTTTTTAAAAATACCACTTTTTTTTTTTTGGTATACACTTTTCTTTCCTGTGATACTCCCATACACATAATAAATTTGTATACATTTTCTCCATTTAGTTTATTTCATAGACTGTTATCGAATCCTGATGGTAGAGGGAAAGTCTTCCTTGCCTTACACAAGTATTTCCCAGAATATATTTACACCATTCCTTGATATGTGTTGCCCTGTTTTTTTTTCTTTAATTACACAAAATTTAGTGATTTCACTTTAGATAAATTCAAAAGTACTCATTTCTTTAATTGATTTTCTTCTTTATCACAGCTCTGACAAGTTGCTTCAGGAAGATAAGGCTGGCTGTTAGACTACTTGAGAATCTTTTAAAAAGAAAAAAGTCAATAACATTTAGTGCAGTAGATCTCTGAAATGCATCTATTTTGTGCTTATTCTGTGTCAGGCACTGTGCTTATCATTAGGGGTACCATGACTAAAAAGAGTATTTGGCCTAAAGTCTTTAAAAACTGTTTTCTTTTTCCTTTCTTTCTTTTTTTTTTTTTTTTTTTTTTTCGTTGAGATAGGGTCTGTCTCTGTTGCCCAGGCTGGAGTGCAATGGCACCATGATGACTCACTGCAGCCTCGACCTCCCAAGCCCGAGTGATCTTCCTGCCTCAGCCTCCCAAGTAGCTAGGACCTCAGTCATGCACCACCACCGCACCTGGCTAATTTTTTAATTTTTGTAGAGATGAGGTCTCCCTATATTGCCCAGGCTGGTCTTGAACTCGGGCTCAAGCTATCCTCCTGCCCCAGCCTTCCAAAGGGCTGGGATTGCAGGTGTGAGCTACCATACCTGGCTAAAAAACTCATATATAAAAAGATTACCATAACACATTGGTAAGTTAAAGAATCTAGGCTGGGCGCGGTGGCTCATGCCTGTAATCCCAGCACTTTGAGAGGCCGAGGCAGGTGGATCATGAGGTCAGGAGTTCAAGACCAACCTGGCCAAGATGGTGAAACCCCATCTCTACTAAAAATACAAAAATTAGCCAGGTTTGGTGGTGGGCGCTTGTAATCCCAGCTACTCAGGAGGCTGAGGCAGATAATTGCTTGAACCTGGGAAGCGGAGGTTGCAGTGAGCTGAGATCGTGCCACTGCATTGCACTCCAGCCTAGGCGACAGAGCGAGACTCCGTCTCAAAAAGAAAAAAAAAGTATCTAGTAAACAATTACATTTCCCTCATTGCTGGCTTAGAAATTACATGCTTTATTTCTATTCTGTTAATATCCATAAATTAGTCATTATTTTATGCAGCCAATATTTGTTTAATTGTAACTGTATGTTTGCCGTAAAGTTCATTCTTACATTGAAAGACTGTATAGTATATTGATTCAGAGAATGAACTCTGGGTTCAGACTCTCTGGATCCAAAATCAAGTTACTTAGGTTCTCTATGACTAAAATAGACAGTGATAGTATCCCTTCTTCAAAGAACATTTTAACTTTTTTTCTTTAAAGATATTTTTCCGAGCATATATTCTTAATTAACAGTTGTTTTTGTCCTGCCACTATGAATGAATTATTTGTGTCCTCTGGCTTCTGTTCATGCAATTGAGAAGTCAGTGTCCATCTGATTGTCCTTCCTTTGTGTGTAATCTGTCTTTTGTCTAGTTGATCTTTTTTAATAAAGGTAAAATTTATATAGTGTAATGTACAAATAGTAAGTGTGCAGTTCATTGAGTTTTGATGAACATACACTAATCCACCCCATCAAGATACAAGAACATTCTATTAGCATAGAAGGTTACATCTATTTCCAGGCATTTCCTCTCCCATTCCACAATAGGAAACCAGATTTCTATCAACATAGATTAGTTTTCCTTGCTCTTGAACTTGATACAAATGGAATCATGCAAATGGACTCTTTTGTGTGTGGCTTTCTTCACTGAGCATAATGTCAATGAAATTCATCCATGTTGTTGTGTTTATGAGTACTTCGTAGACTTTTATCCCTGAGTACTACTATTCCTTTGTATGAAGAGACCATAGACATTTGAGTTCTTTGAGACTACAATAAATAAAGCTGCTATAAATATTCATGTATAAGTCTTTGTGTGGATATATGTTTTTATATATATATATATATATATTTTTTTTTTGGTAAAGCCTAGGAGTGGAATGGCTAGATATTATAATAGGGTAGGTGTATGTTTACCATTTCATTTTACATTCCCACCAGCAATGTGTGAGAGTCCCAGTTGCTCCACATCATCACCAGCATTTGGTGTTGTCAATTTTTTTAACTTTAACCATTCTAATGGTAGGTAATGATATCTTTTGATTTTACTTTTGAGTTTCGTGTGTGTGTGTATGAGAGATGGAGTCTCACTCTGTCACCCAGGCTGGAGTGCAGTGGTGCAATCTCGGCTCACTGCAGCTTCCACCTCCCAGATTCAAGCAACTCTCCTGCCTCAGCCTCCCGGGTAGCTGGGACTACAGGCGTGCCACCTCCATGCCTGGCTAATTTTTATATTTTTAGTAGAGACAGGGTTTCACCATGTTGCCCAAGCTGGTAAACTTCTGAGCTCAAGTGATCCGCCTACCTCAGTCTCCCAAAGTACTTGGTAATTTACAGGTGTAAGCCACCGCACCTGGCCTATTCACTGATTTTTAATTTCAATTATACTTCTTATTTCTACATATTCTGTGTTTTTAAAAATCAATTTCTTAGTCTGGTCATATTTTGATACTCTAATTTCTTTAAATTTTTTATATTTTTCGTTATTGCTTATAATATCTGCAGTTTTGTAAGTGTAACTCAGTTGTTTCTGCTTCCTGTGGTGGCTCATTTCCTGTTTTTAAATTAGTTTTTGATTGTGAGCTTGTTGGGACTTTATCTGTGTGAATTATTTCTGATCTAGGTTTAAGGTGTGTTTTTCTAGAGAATATGCATTTGCTTCTTCCAGGAATCCAGGGATGCAATCTACCCAGGACCACTTACATTAAATTCTCACTTGGCCTCACAAAAGTAACTGAATTCTAACCCCAAACTTGAGTGGATGCCAGATTGTGGTTAGGAAGACCCCACTCCACCACTACCAATACCTACCCAGAGCCAAAGCTAGGAAGGACAAGAGTACTCACTTCTGTGGGATGAGTTGAGTTTTTGTTTTTCTTTCTTTCCCTAGTTTATCTTTCACTGAGGATGTTGCCTTTGGGAGTTCTAGCTTTTTGGTCTTGATCTGAGTTCGACTTTGAGCAGATCATAGACTTTGTCTTATGTTTACAAGTACGTTTCCACTTAAAATAAGGCCGTAGTGAAGATGTAGAACAACTAGAAGTCCCATACATTGCTGGTGGGAGTGTACAGTGGTTTTACAAAACTTTTGGCAGTATCTAGTAAAGCCAAACATAGGCCTACCCTGTGTCAAAAGACAAAATTACAACAAATTTAGCTTAAAAATCTAACTCACTTTTATTAGTGGTTCATGAATCAGGCAGTGTGTCATCAAAAGATTTAGAAAAGGCATTTCAGTGTGCTGAGCAGAGGAAGTTGAATTTATAGGCAAAATCTAGCTAAATAAAGCAGAAATGAAACAAAAAGTGGATTGGTCATTTCAAAGTTAGTTTCTTTATAGTATTAAAACACAGGGGACTTCCTTATGCTGGCTCAGGATAACTGGCCTCCTTCTGATTGATTGCTATGAATCTTTTGATTTTTTTTTTTTTTTTGAGATGGAGTTTCACTGATGTTGCCTAGGCTGGAGTGCAATGCCACGATCTCAGCTCACTGCAACCTCCGCTTCCAGGTTCAAGCGATTCTCCTGCCTCAGCCTCCCAAGTAGCTGGGATTACAGGCTCCCGCCACCATGCCTGGCTAATTTTTGTATTTTTAGTAGAGATGGAGTTTCACCATGTTGGCCAGGCTGGTCTCAAATTCCTAACCTCAGGTGATCCACCCGCCTCAGCCTCCCAAAGTGCTGGGATTACAGGTGTGAGCCACCGCGCCCGGCTTTTTGATTTTTTTAAACTGTCATTACTCGGGGTTTATAGTCTACTACTATATTGCTGAGAACAGTTTTCAAGATTAAAAATAAAAATGTTTTCTGTTTCTCTTAGTTAAAAAAAAAAACCTGTCTCTCATTGTAGGATTATTATTCTCTCTTTTCATTATAGATGTATACTATTTCTACCTTCTGTGTTAAAAATACTTTTCTGGGCCGGGGGCAGTAGCTCACTCCCGAAATCCCAGCACTTTGGGAGGCCGAGGCGGGCAGATCACGAGGTCAGGAGATCAAGACCATCTTGGCTAACACGGTGAAACCCCGTCTCTACTAAAAGCACACAAAAAAATTATGGCGTGGTGGTGGGTGCCTGTAGTCCCAGCTACTCGGGAGGCTGAGGCAGGAGAATGGTGTGAACCCGGGAGACGGAGCTTGCATTGAGCCGAGATCGCGCCACTGCACTCCAACCTGGATGACAGTGTAAGACTCGGTCTCAAAAAATAAAAAAATAAAAAAAATACTTTTCTGACTTAGAGAATCTGGGTGAAGGGTAAATGGAATTCCTTGTACTATTTTTGCAACTTTTCTATAATCCTAAAATTGTTTCAAAATAAAAGGTTAAAAAAATATTTTCCAGACTACTTCAGAAACCTAATTACTAATAATAATTCTGAGTTTTAAGCAACCAACTTAGAAACTTTTGGAATGCAGTCAACCCACTGACAAATGAGGACTATCTGTACTATAGTATTTTTTTAGACGGGGTCTCAGTCTGTCACCCTAGCTGGAGTGGTGGGGTGATCTCAGCTCATTGCAACCTCTGCCTCCCAGGCTCAAGCGATCTTCCCACCTCAGCCTCCTGTGTAGATGGGATTACAGGCAGGCTCCACCATGCCCAACGAATTTTTTTGTATTTTTAGTAGAGAAGGGGTTTCACCCTGTTTCCCAGGCTGGTCTCAAACTCCTGAGCTCAAGCAATCTGCCTGCCTCGGCATCCCAAAGTGCTGGGATTACAGACATGAGCCACAGAGCCTGGCCTTTTAGTCTATTTCGATTCTTCATTTCAATTCACTATACTTTTTTTCTAAGTTTTAAAATATTTTTTATCTTTTACCATTGACATTTTGTGTTGTTTTACAGCTTCTTTATATTGGTCTGCATTCCAAAGACAAAATGAAGTCTCTTATGTTTTGTGATATGTGTTAAAATAATTGAACTAGACAAGAATGTTAGGCCCAAGTGAGATGAAGGAAAGGCTCTTTGATAAGCATTTGGCATTTTAGATCAGAGATGGCAAGTACGTATGACATAGCATTCTTCTTTTATCCATTTCAGATATTATTTGTTGATCAGACACTCTTCTTCCTGTCTTGGACCACACAGTGTTTTAGGTATCTGCTGTCAGTTGATTAGAGTTGGCATGAGAAACAAAAAAAATCTATTGGCATCTCTGACTTAGAAGATCAGTTTTGGGAGAATCTTCTGGAATATCTATTCTATTCTTAAGTTTAATGAGTAATTTCATCCATTTTATGAAGTAACATAACAATTCTGGAAGCCTAGTTATTTAAAGAATGCTTTAAGCTTTGTTTCTTGTCACTTCAATTTTCAGATGTTTGTGAAACCAAGTCTGCTATTTTAATAAAATGTTCTTAAAGTATAATGTAACTTTAAAAAATCTACATACTTGTGTGTCACATCTTTAGCCTTTAATTGGGTGACTTTTTAAATGTTATCTACTTTTATTCTTATGTTTTCCTTCCCAGGAGTGGACCTACCCTATGAGACGAGAGATGCAGGTATGGCAACCTTTTCTTTGTTCAAACCAACCCATGTTATTATCATAATAAGAACCTTAGTTTATAGGATTTGAGACCTGCTGATTTCATGATCTGTAGGTTCATCATTATGTATTTTAAATAATTATTTTAAATATTTAAGGTTAATCTTGGATCTTAAAACGATGGGAAATTAGAAAGAGGAACGTAGTAATAGGTGTATGTGCTTAATGAGTCACTTTCTCTTGGTTTTTTTTTTGTTTTTTTTTTTTTTGAAACAGAGTTTCGCTCTTGTTGCCCAGGCTAGAGTGCAATGGCACGATCTCGGCTCACCGCAACGTCC
Source organism: Homo sapiens (assembly GCF_000001405.40). Lineage (NCBI taxonomy): Eukaryota > Metazoa > Chordata > Mammalia > Primates > Hominidae > Homo > Homo sapiens. The sequence goes on from NC_000014.9 coordinate 52,745,207, forward strand.
ACCTCCCGGGTTCAAGTGATTCTCCTGCCTCAGCCTCCCGAGTAGCTGGGATTACAGGCATGCGCCACCACACCCAGCTAATTTTGTATTTTTAGTAGAGACAGGGTTTCTCCTTGTTCAGGCTGGTCTCACACTCCTGACCTCAGGTGATCCAGTGACCTCAGGTGATCCACCCACCTTGGCCTCCCAAAGTGCTGGGATTACAGGCATGAGCCACCGTGCCTGGCCAATGAGTCACTTTCTTTTTCCTCACGTGAAAAATTGGATACTTTCTTTGTATTCCTTTTGAAAGCAGTTTGCTTTCTCTGTTTGTCTAGATAAGTTAGGGAGAGTTGTCTGTACAGCAAATAAGCATTGTTCATTTTGTGTCCGATTTTTAATCAACTTCCACAATTAAGTCTTCTAGAAGATCAAATTGAATACTTTCAGTTTGGAATGAATTAAACGATAGCTAACCCTCATAGCAGTTCATTTTCTTTTGCATTTCATACCATTTACCGTCAAGTCTGTTTGCCCCAGGATTAAGCAGTATCTTGTTCCTGGGAATCCCATGACTTCTAAAAATCTGTTACTTTTCTCTCTTAATGAAAGTTCACTTTGAAAAAATAGGTGAGTACCTATGAGGCATTTTACTTGGTGTTAGGAGGAATGCAAAGATGACTAAATGTAATTTCTGCCCACAAAAGCCTGGTGGAAGAAATCAGTTTTATATACAAATAATTATGACTTATAGAACTGAACTATAAAGTTACTGTTAGTATCTAGGGTATGATATATCCAGACTGAAAGCTTTCTGTATTGAATTTACATAAAATAAATTTGAATTCAACATCTGGAAGGTACATACTTGTTGAAATTTTGTCAACTGGCAAATATTTGAATTTGGAATTTTTATGTTACAGTAATAATTTGCTTCTATTAACTATAGATAATAGTTTTAGGTCAGGCACAGGAGTTCATGTCTGTAATTCCAGCCGTTTGGGAGGCTGAGGCAGAAGGATCACTAGAGCCCAGGAGTTCCTTATCAGCCTGGGCAACATAGTGAGACTTCGTCTCTATTTTTTAAAGAAAAAAAAAAAGATTAAAAAAATAGATAATAGTTCCAATCTTGTTGTATCTTGTGCTGCTTTTGATTTGGCCAAATAAGGTTTGTCTTATTTATATAGCCTTATAGATTTAAATTGCTGATGGTAAATACCTCAAATTTTTTTTTTTCTAGGAAATTTTACCTGGATTGTTCTTAGGCCCATATTCATCTGCTATGAAAAGCAAGGTATGAACTTTGTTAGATTCATCAAGAGAGACTTTTATTAACCAACTTTTCTTGGGTAAGTTTTTTAGTAATAAAGAGTTTTATTTTAGGGAGCATCCACAAATACTGTCTGTTAACAGTAATTGTCACTCTGGAGTACCTTCCTCTTTCCCTATTTTACTAGACCAGTAGTTCTCAAGTGTTTCACCACAAATCAGAGTTTTTGTTTTTTCCTCATGAAATTTGTATGTTTGAAAGATTTACCAAATAACTGACCTTTAATAACTTATTTACTCTCTAAAACACTAGACATCTGTAATTGCTAATCATAGCTTCAGAACAATATGAGATGTAGTTAAAGCCCAAAATAAGGAATTTCAATGTTTAGTTAAACCTTCCTTATCAAGGGTAAGACTGTGTGTGTTAATTGAAAGTCATTCACCTTAGTTCTGTTTTGCCAGCCAGACTTTAGAGAGCTAGTTGGTATCCCCGCTCTGAAATTTGAAACTTTTTGAGCACCAGTATGTCACTCGAAGGAAATCCTCACTGGAGTATTTCGGATTTCGGATTTTTGGATTAGGGATGCTCAATTATAAGTATAATGCAAATAGGCAAAACAAACAAATCCAAACTCTGAAATATTTCTGGTCCCTGGCATTTTAAATAAGGGATATTCAATCCGTATAGATATTCTACATAGTCAAACTTTAATGGACTTACTCAGTTGCAGTTAAAATAGGTAGATCTCATTTTAATAAATATAGCAATGTTCTTGCCACTTCTAAAAGATTCAATGCTACTAATTCTCTTTGAGTTACAACGTGGAACATATCATAGATGTCTTTCCCCAATACTTTGCCTATTCAGAAGTCAGTATACTTAAATTGTGTTTGATATATCCATAATTTAATTTGATGTTCTTAGGAATTTAACCGGTTTTAAAAGGTCATTGATTTTGAAACTGGAAGATTTTTTTGACAGTTGAGACATGGCTAAGAGTAAACCTGGTCATCTTGATGATTTTTGCTTAGTTGGAAAGATAGGGAGTTAGTAAAAATAAGTACTAGGGAAAGGATAGGGCAGGTAACTATAGACATAGCCGTAATTTATTTTGTAAAAGACAGATGTAAACAAGGTTATTGTCCATATAATTTGCTATTCACCAAGTACTAGTCTTCCAGATGGTTTTAGATAATTTACATTTTTGAAATTCCCACTGTACTTTATAAATATACATACAGTATTTATCACATTAAATTAAAGTATTTGTTTAAAGGTCTATCTCCTCAATGGGAGGCTGAGGCAGGCGGATTACATGAGGCCAGGAGTTCGAGACCAGCCTGGCCAACATGGCAAAACCCCGTCTCTACTAAAAATACAAAAATTAGCTGGTTATGGTGGTACACACCTGTAATCCCAGCTACTCGCGAGGCTGAGGCGCGAGAATTGCTTGAATCTGGGAGGTAGAAGTTGCAGTGAGCCAACATGGCACCACTGTACTCCAGCCTGGTTGACGGAGTGAGACTTTGTCTCAAAATGAAACAAAAACACGCACAAAAAAAGGTCTAGTTCTTCAAAACTTCTTTTCTTGAAATGTCACCATGGTCTTATTAGACAGGAAAAGCCTCTGTGGCAGTTTATTTCCCACCCTAGGTAACCATAATATAGCCCATATTTCTTTTCATACCATTATCTAAAAACAACAACAAAAAATAATAATGGAGATAAACCTAAATGGATAAACTCCTTTTTAAACACTCATTTACTGTTATTATTTTGTGGGAGAGGAGTGGGGTCTTGCTCTGTTACCCAGGCTGGAGTACAGTGGCGCGCTCTCATAGCTCACTGTAACCTCAAACTCCTGGGCTCAAGCTGTCTTCCCACCTTAGTCTCCCAAGTAGCCAGGACTACGGGCACACACCACCATGCCTGGCTTAATTCTCAAAGTTTTTGTAGAGATGGAGTCTGGCTATGCTGGCCACATTTACTTAAGTATATCTTTTTATTAAATTCAAATACAGTTTAAATAAAAGGGACAAATTTAGGGCCTTTGTAATTAGTAAACGGTTTGTTTTTGTAAAGTTTTTCTACTGTTTTTAAATGTGAGGTAAGGTCATAATTTGCTTCATATTAGGTTGGTGCAAAAGTAATTGCAGATCTGCCTCTGAAAAGTACAAAATCTATTCGCTGTTACGTTAGGGCTCTATTTTGATAGTTTATTTTTATTTAGTAGTAGTCTATTGGGCCTTCAAAACTTGTTTAAGCATATTTATACATAATTATGTGCATCGTCTTGTGCTTTCTCACATTCATAAAGTAGATAGGAAAACTCCATAGGCATCAAGTGTAAACGAAGGACTTAATGTTGAATTTGTTGTGGAAATTGGCACAAATCTCAATATAGAACATTGGTTAATTATTAATCTTACCAAATGCTTATCTCACTTTCCCTAACTCAAGTTATACTCAAGAAATACAAAGATAATTGAATTCTAATCTATGCTGACATAAAACTTGCTGCAGAAATTAACACTTAAAACTTGCAAATTATATTGTCTTAGCCCAGGCTGCTCAAACAAAATACCATAGACAGGGTGGCTTAAACAACAGACGATTATTTGAGTTCTGGAGGCTGGCAAGTCCACAGTCATGGTCCGGCTCTGGTGAGGACCCTCTTGCTGGCTCGCAGATCCCTCCCTTCTTGCTGTATCCTCACACGGCCAAGAGAACGAGTTCTTGCCTCTTCTTACAAGGGTACAATCCTGTCATGGAGGTTTCTACCCTCATGACCTCAATCTAAAACTGATTATCTTCCAGAGACTCCACCATCACATCTTGGGGGTAAGGATTTCAACATAAGAATTTGAGGTGATGCAAACATTTAGTTCATAACACATATAAATTATTTTTTTTTACTTTGCTCATGAATTATTAGTGCTACTGTTTTGTACTATTTAAAATGCAGAAAATGGGAATTAAATATATAGGATTTAAAACAATGTGTCAAGAAATTCAAGGTTATCTGATTCTCATGCCATCGTGACTTGTTAGTTCATTTATTGAACAGGTAATTATTGAACAACTTAACTAGTTATACATACTTGATACTTAAGTGAATTGTATTATACATTTTACACATACTATGTATCAGTGAACAAATAAAAATCTTTTCTGTCATGGAACTTAATGCTCTAGGTAATAAAATAACATCTATAAACTCACTTAAACTTATCACTAGCAAATGAAAACTTATTATCTGGTAATTTCTAGAATTGTCATGTTAAATTGCTTTAAGTATGGAGCCAAAAGCACTACAGGTTGAGTATCCCTAATCTGAAAAATCTGAAATGCTCCAAAGTGAAACTTTTTGAGTGTCAGCATGACAGCACAAGTGAATTCCACACCTGACCCCATGTAATGGGTCACTGTCAAAATTTTGTTTCATGCACCAAATGACTGTATGAAATTACGTTCAGAGTATATATGGTGTGTGTGAAACATAAATGAATTTTGTGTTTAAACTTGGATACCATCCCCAAGACATCTGAGTATGTATATGCAAATATTTCAAAATCTGAAATCTGAAACACTTCTGGTCCTACCTTGGGACCAGCATTTTAGATAAGGGATACTCAACCTGTATTGAATATAATAAGATGTCATTGAAGTTGCCATTTTTAACTTCAGGAAAATTTTTAAATGGTAAAAGGTTAATTAGATTCTGTGAAGTATGTAAATTAATTCTGACTCTTAAAGTATACTGGGAGAGGCAAGGAGTTGTCTAGAGATTTGGGTTCCAGTACTGCTGTTAACTAGGTCGGTGATGTCCAAGTATTTGGTAATGTAACTGTTTTATGTCTTAGTGGTTCTCTCTAAACAATAAAGATTGCAGTCAATATATATTAACTACCATTTATTAAACACTTGCTGTGTGTCCCAGGTGCTATGCCAAACATCTTACATAAAGGTTCCATCAAGCTCTAAAATTGTAGGTATGAAATATCCCTGTTAACCTTTTGAGGACATTAATGTATTAATCTTGAATCATTGAAATATCTTGCTGCCCACTTCAGGTATATTATAAAATTAGCTTTAATTCCCTGGACTTAAGCAGAGATGTGGGTTCTGTGTATTTTCAAACATCTGTGTTATATAGTAAGATGATGTTTGATATTTTAAAATATTTATCTTCCCTGTCCTCCCCCTGCTTTTTTTTTTATACAGCTACCTGTACTACAGAAACATGGAATAACCCATATAATATGCATACGACAAAATATTGAAGCAAACTTTATTAAACCAAACTTTCAGCAGTTATTTAGGTAAGAATTATTGCTATGATTTGTAAAACACTTAATGAAGTTTCATTTCAGGTTTTGTACCATCAGTTGTTTCTGTACATATCTAGTTTGTAAAAATGGGTCATATAGTACATAGTTTTTTAAAATAAATTTTACTTAAAATACTTAAATAAATTATGCCCATAATGCAGAATTCTAAAGGTTCAAAAGAGTGTATATTGTCAAGAAGTTTCTGGGAAAGTAAAAATAAAAAAGAATTTAAAAATAATGTATACTGAAAAATAGGTTTTAGTGTACATTATTTTATCTCTTGAGGGATAAAGGAATTGAGTATCTAGGGGATAGGTTTAGGGAAACAGCATCTACTGTTACCTCTTTATTGGGTAGTTTTTGAGTGTTAGGTTAAATTTATGAGCATAGTCTTATAGATAAATTTTTTTTTACATTGGCTTTCTTTTTTACTTTATATTTTTTGGAGATTGGTTTATATCGGTATGTATATCAAACTGCTTATTCTTTTTAAGTTGCATTGTAATCCATTGTATGGCTATACTAAAATTTATTCAATTAGTCTGTTAGATATTTAGATTGTTTCTGGCCTTGTACTAATATGTATAGCATATAGTGACTATCATTGTACATATTACTCAATTTATATGTGAGCATATTGATAGGGCTTATTTGCAGAATTGCTGGATATAAGAGTATGAACATTTTAAATTTTGATAGATGTTGCAGATTGTTTTCCAGTGCGTTGTATCAGTGTACATTCCCATTATCAAGTATGTGAGAGTGACTCTTCCCTTAGTATCTCTCCAAGACGGAATTGTGAAACATTTTTAATTTCTCAAAGTCTAATGGAGTAAAAATGGTATCTCATTTGATGTTCTTATTTATCTTGTAAGTTCAGTTGAGCATGTAATGGTTTTTAATGTTCTTTATTTTAACTTCATTTTTAAAATAGAGTATATTACGCATGGTACAAAAGTGAAAGGATATGTAAACATATATAATGAAAGTAACTCTACTTTTTCTCTTAACCCAAGCCACCTTGCTCCTATCCTGGGAGGCAGCTTCTTCCTTCAATATCTATGTAAAAGTATATATGTTAAAAATATTTTAGGCCAGCACGGTGGCTCACGCCTGTAATCCCAGCATTTTGGGAGGCCGAGGTGGGCAGATCACCTGAGGTCAGGAGTTCGAGACCAGCCTGGCCAACATGGCAAAACCCCATCTCTACTAAAACAAAAATTACCTGAGCGTGGTGGCACATGCCTGTAATCCCAGCAGCTCAGGAGACTGAGGCAGGAGAATTGCTTGAACCCAGAAGGCAGAGGTTACAGTGAGCCGAGATCACACCACTGCACTCCAGCCTGGGCAACAGAGCAAGACACCGTCTCAAAAACAAAACAAAACAAAACAAAAAAAAAACAGCGCTGTGGCTTACACCTATAATCCCAGTACTTTGGGAGGCTGAGGAGGGTGGATCACGAGGTCGAGATTGAGACTGTCCTGGCCAACACAGTGAGACCCCGTCTCTACTAAAAATACAAAAATTATCTGGGCGTGGTGGCACATGCCTGTAGTCCCAGCTACTCAGGAGGCTGAGGCAGGAGAATCACTTGAACCTGGGAGGCAGAGGTTTCAGTGAGCCAAGATTGCCCCACTGCACTCCAGCCTGGCGACAGAGCAAGACTCTGTCTCAAAAATAAAAAAAAAAATTTAATGCTCTGCTTTATTTTTACAATGAAACCAATCTATAAATATCTGTAAATACAAGATACATACTCTAAAATACATTGTGTGAACATATAATAGAATACTATGTAACCATGAAAAAGAATGAAATATATGTATGTGTTTGGATTTGGGATGATCTCCAAGATAATGCATTACATGAATAAAGCAGGGTGTGGAACAATGTATATATTTGCAATGTGTTGAGTAAATATATATATACTACATTCCATATATTTATTCTTAATATATGCATAGAAAATTTCTGGACCAAGAGGCTAGAAACTTCATAGTGATTGCTTCTAAGAAGGAAAATTCAGGGCCTGTGATGGTAGAGGGACGTATTTTTCTTTCGTTTTTAATTTTGTTTTTTTTTGTTGTTGTTGTTTTTTTTTTTTTTTTGAGATGGAGTCTCACTCTGTCACCCAGGCTGGAGTGCAGTGGTGTGATCTTGGCTCACTGCAACCTCTGCCTCCTGGGTTCAAGCGATTCTCCTGCCTCAGCCTCCTGAGTAGCTGGGATTACAGGCATGTGCCACCACACCCAGCTAATTTTTTTTTTTTTTTTTTTTTTGGACAGAGTTTCGCTCTGTTGCCCAGGCTGGAGTGCAGTGGCATGATCTCGGCTCACTGCATCCTCCGCCTCCCAGGTTTAAGCAATTCTCTGCGTCAGCCTTCTAAGTAGCTGAGATTACAGGTGCCCACCACCACTCCCAGATAATTTTTTTTGTATTTTTAGTAGAGACGGGGTTTCAGCATCTTGGCCAGGCTGATCTTGAACTCCTGACCTCTTGATCCACCTGCCTCAGCCTCCCAAAGCACTGGGATTACAGGTGTGAGCCACCGCACCTGGCCTAATTTTTGTATTTTTAGTACAGACGGGGTTTCACCATGTTGGCCAGGCTGGTCTCGAACTCCTGACCTCGTGATCTGCCCACCTCGGCCTCCCAAAGCACTGGGATTTACAGGCGTAAGCCACTACGCTCAGCCGAGGGACATATTTTTCATGGTACCCTTGATATCCATGGGGGATTGCCTCCAGGAACCCCCATGAATAACAAAATCCTCAGATGCTCAAGTCCCTTATATAAACTGGTGTAATATTTGCATATAACCTGTGCACATTCTCTCATATACATTAAATCATCTCTAGATTACTTCTAATACTTAGTACAGTGTAAGTGCTGTGTGAATAGTATTGGATTTTATTTTTATTATTTTTAGTGTTGTATTTTACCTTATTTTTTGTTAATGTTTTTTATTGTTGTCGGTTGAATCCACAGGTATGAAATTCTTGGATATGGAGGGCTGACTCTTTACTTTTGTAGTGTTTTTTTTTTACACCATATTTAGTTTATTAAAACTAGTTATTAAAAAGGAATATCCCAAAACACTGATTTTTTTTTTTTTTTTTTTTTTTTTTTGAGACAGAGTCTCGCTCTGTCATCCAGGCTAGAATGCAGGGCTCACTGCAACCTCTGCCTCCCAAGTTCAGGCAATTCTTCTGCCTCAGCCTCCTGAGTAGCAGAGATTACAGGCATGTGCCACCACGCCTGGCTAATTTTTGTATTTTTAGTAGAGACGGGGTTTCACCATGTTGGTCAGGCTGGTCTCAAACTCCTGACCTCGTGATCCGCCTGCCTTGGCCTCCCACAGTGCTGGGATTACAGGCGTGAGCCACTGCGCCCGGCCTGAATTTTTTATAATTATGAAAGAAATACTTTTTTTTTTTTCAAAGATAGGATCTTTCTCTGCTGCCCAGCCTGGATTGCATTGGCATGATTTCTGTTCATTGTAGCCTTGACCTCCCAGGCTCAAGCAATCTTCCTGCCTCAGCCTTCCAAGTAGCTGGGACTACAGGTGCACCACCGGATCGGGCTAATTTTTTTTTTTTTTTTCTAGAGATGGGGTTTTGCTGTGTTGCCCAGGCTGTTCTTGAACTCCTGAGCTTAAGCGATCTACCCACCTCAGCCTCCCAAAGTGCTGGGGTTACAGGCATGAGCCACCACACCTGGCCATGAAACACTTATTCTTTATAAGTACTTCGGAAGGTATAGAATGACACCAAGAAAAATATTTAAATCATCTACAGTTCCACAATTCAGAGAAAACACTTTTGTTAACATTTGGAATATTTCCTTTTAAATCGTTCTCTGTTGTGTATGTGTATTTACGTATATATGCATAGAATTATTAAAGAAAATGAGAATGTTGTATTTTAAAATATCAAACTATATAAGGTGAAACTAATCTTAAGAAAAAACAAAAAAGCCAAAAAATCATACTATTCATTTCTAATGTGTACAGACTTTTTGTTTTAAATTATAATGTTGTTTGTGCAGGTTCTTTATCCTAATGGAAGAACCATTTCTCCTTAAACTTTTACAATACTAGCTTCTTAGAGATTGATAGTTCTACTAGCAGTGCTTGACACTGAAAATGTTATGCGTTAAAATATTTAATTTCATTCTGAGTTAACATTTTTCCCCTGAAGCATTATTTTATGTAACTGGAATACCCAGTCACTTCAGGATACAGTCATTGTCGAAATCCTTGTAGGTTAAATATTGGATTTTCCTCAGATCCTGAGGTTCAGCTTCTGTGTTTTTTTTTGTTTGTTTTTTTGTTTTTTTTTTTTTGTTTTTGAAACAGAGTCTTGCTGTTTCACCCAGGCTGGAGTGCAGTGGCACAATTTTGGCCCACTGCAACCTCTGCCTCCCGGGTTTAAGTGATTCTCCTGCCTCAGCCTCCTGAGTAGCTGGGATTACAGGTGTGCACCACCATGCCTGGCTAATTTTTATATTTTTAGTAGAGATGGGGTTTCACCATGTTGGCCAGGATGGTCTTGAACTCCTGACCTCAGGCAATCCACCTGCCTCGGCTTCCCCAAGTGCTGGGATTACAAGCATGAGCCACCATGCTCAGCCTCAGCTTCTCTGTATTAAAGTCCTGAATTCTTTGAAGTTGTTACCACCTAAATGATCATTGAAAAACTGTATTTTTTAGTGCAAAATTGTTCTTAAAACTAATTTAATAACTTAGCTAATTGCCTATAGTTGTGTTAATAAACAGTGGTCTTAGAAACGCTTAGAAATGGAAGTTTTTTACAAAAATAAGCTAACATATTTAAAATGCCTTTTAAGTATTTTGTAAAGTGTAAAATTCAGTACAGGTGCTCTCTCAGCTAGTTTTTTTTTTTTTTTTTTTTCCCCTTTACTAAAGATGAGTTCAAACAGTGAATGTTTGACTCCTGGTTCCATAGACCATACCTTCCGTTTTTATTTGTTCGTTCTCTTAGACTTTGGACTTCCTCTGAAATGTCCTCTGTAGGTTCATGAGCAGGAGTCACAGGACCACTTAGAGAACAATCTTCTGGTCTTAGAGAAATTGGTAGAAATAAAAGAATAACATAACGATTACAGGTACTTTTGTCTTTATTTCTAGGTCCACTCTAATCTAGAGGAATGTATCTTCCTGCTTGTGATTTTTCTATTTTAACCAGATGGTTCATTATATGCAAATAAAATATGTATTTATTTTTGAGATAAGAATCTTGCTCTGTTACCCAGGCTGGAGTGCAGTGGCCCAATCACAGCTTACTATATCCTTGACTTCCAGGCTCACACAGTTCTACCTCAGCCCCCTTAGTAGCTGGGACTATAAGTGCACACCACGACACCCAGCTAATTTTTTAATATTCTGTAGAGATGGAGTCTCCCTCTGTTGCTCAGGCTGGTCTCGAATCCCTGGGCTCAAGTGATCCTCCCACCTTGGCCTCCCAAAAGAGTTTCTTTTTGCTGGGATTATAGGCATGAGCCATTGTGCCCAGCCTGATGGATTTTTTAAATACTTAAATATCAGAGATGTTAACATGGTGTTTCAGGTTTTAATGCCTTCAAGCAATGTAAAATCTACCACACAGTTCTTGGGAATATGATACTTTGAAAGTTGTTTTGCATTCTTGCCATGGTTAACAAGAAATAATGAGTTATTTTTTTAAAGTACCTTAAGTGTTTTACTTAAAGTGTGCTTATCACAAAATACTCTATTTTCAGATATTTAGTCCTGGATATTGCAGATAATCCAGTTGAAAATATAATACGTTTTTTCCCTATGGTAGGTACCAGTATTTTTTAAATATCATTTAAAATTTATTTATGATTTGACTTCTTAGTTGTGCTTTTTTTTTTTTTTTTTTTTTTTTTTTTGAGACAAGAGTTTTACTCTTGTTGCCCAGGCTGGAGTGCAATGGCGCAATCTTGGCTCACCACAACCTCTGCTTCCCGGGTTCAAGTGATTTTTCTGCCTCAGCCTCCCAAGTGGCTGGGATTACAGGCATGAGCCGCCATGCCCAGCTAATTTTGTATTTTTAGTAGAGACGGGGTTTCTCCATGTTGATCAGGCTGGTCTCAAATTCTCGACCTCAGGTGATCTGCCTGCCTCAGCCTCCCAAAGTGCTGGCATTACAGGCGTGAGCCACCGTGCCCAGCCCCTTTAATTGTGCTTGTAAAGCTTGCTACTTTTACTTTGCTATGACTGAAAATTATGTGATTGTGTTTTTAAAAGAATTATTTGTAGAAAATTTTTTATGATCTCCAGAAATTTGAGGAATCATATTGTGAATGTATTGGACTTAAATTAAATTTTGGCTTCTTTAATTTTTTTGGACTTGTAATAGTTCTATTTATAGCATTTTGGAAATTGGTGAATCAAAATAATTTTTATACATATAAATTAGGAAATTGTTTTCAATAGGTTTCATTTTGTTTCATTATATGCATTTATTTTATGCTTACATTAATCCACATGTCTTTTGCCTCCAGACTAAGGAATTTATTGATGGGAGCTTACAAATGGGAGGTAAATAACATTTCCTTTCCTTAACTAATGTTTATATTTTGATTATTTGTTAATTTTTTAGTTGGTATTTGTCTTAAATGCAGGATATGGAAGTTACAATTATATGTAGTAGCTTACTCCCAAATTTGTATTTTCCCAATTACTTGTTTCATTTGGATAGGCTTTCTGGAGTATCCCTGTAGACTGTTTTCAAATTCTCTGTGAGCTTTCAGTTTCTTTAATAAGAGTCTGCTATATTCTCTACACAGTTGATAATAACAAATTGTAAAGATTTGAAGATATCCAAGTGATTATAGTATATAAGGAGTTACTTTACTGTGGTTTCAATGTAGTTCAGCTACTGACTCAGGTGTTTTTCTATTAGAATAATGAATTCATGTTTTTCAGGAAAAGTTCTTGTGCATGGAAATGCAGGGATCTCCAGAAGGTATGAAGTTAGAAATAATCTTTCTTTCTATAACATTTAATTAATGGGCTGTATTTTCTGGTTGTTTTTAAAATTATTTTCCCCTCTTCAGTGCAGCCTTTGTTATTGCATACATTATGGAAACATTTGGAATGAAGTACAGGTAAGAAAATACCCTAAAACCTAGCCACAGTTTAAATTCTCATTAAAATGAAACTTAATGGGAATAGTTTGGAAGTTTGAAGTTCTTATTCCCCTGATTATTTTTCATGTAGTCATGTTTGATTAGGCAGGCCCTTATTCCATGATTAGTCTTAACCTAATTTATCTACTTGTATAGATATGCATAGGCTAATATGGAAATCCTATGGAAAACTACTTACCTACCACAAGGGAATTGGTTGGTATGAGTATAAAAACTCGTGACCACAAATGTTAGTGCTTGCCTTATTTAAAGGGCTAATTTATCATGTTCTCCTTTAACAATAGTTGGATGAAAAATTACCTAGGAATTGTTTGCAGCATCTATTTACAATTCAGAGTAGTCTTTCTTATCAAAAATCATCTTTTCCAAGCATTCTGTATAGATTTTTTAAAAGATAGGGGGTGGTAATGAGCTTCTTGCCCCAAGACAAAGCAAAAGCCTGGCCAGTGTACAGTATTTCCTTTCTCAGCTTTTCTTGTTCTACAAATTAGAAATCTTATAGTAATCATTGACACATCTTTCTATTTCAGTCCCCTTTTATATCTAAATTAGAATGGATAACTTTGCTTAAAAATATCTATTCTTAAAGGAATATTATTTGAATACAAATATTTATTTATTTATTTTTGAGACGGCGTCTTGCTCTATTGGCAGGCTGGAGTGCAGTGGTGCGATCTCAGCTCACTGCAACCCCCGCCTCCCAGATTCAAGCAATTCTCCTGCCTCAGCCTCCCTAGTAGCTGAGACTACAGGTGCACACCACCACGCCTGGCTAATTTTTGTATTTTTATTAGAGATGGGGTTTCACCATGTTGGCCAGGATGGTCTCGATTTCTTGACCTTGTGATCCACCTGCCTCGGCCTCCCAAGGTGCTGGTATTACAGGGGTGAGCCACTGCACCCAGCCAGAATACAAATATTTAATTGAAAAAAGATTAAACATGTATTGATGGACTTTATGTTTTATATATTGTTTTTATTATTTCGAATTTTGTCAGACCATTAATGTTGGAAATAACTTGTATTTATTGGGTCTCTGCTATGAGCTCAGTACTATTATAGGCACTTTAAGCCTCATAACAAAAGTAAATAAACCTCTTTAACCAGTGATAGTATTTTGAGCTTGAACTTGTACTATATGCACAAAATGCTTACATTTTATATATTTATTTTAGAGACAGGGTCTTCCTTTGTTTCTCAGGCTGGAGTGTAGTGGCACAATCATAGCTCACTGTAGTCTCAGACTTGAGGACTCAAGTAATCCTCCCACCTCAGCCTCTCAAGAAGCTGGGACTATACCACATCACTGTGCCTGGCTAATTTTTAAGTTTTTTGTAGAGATGGGGTCTTACTACATTGCCCAGGCTGGTCTCAAAGTCCTGGCTTCAAGCAGTCCTCCTGTGTTGGCCTCTCAAAGGATTGGGGTTACAGGCAAGAGCCACTGCACCTGGCCACTTTACACTTACCTCCTATTCATAGTAGTTCCCCAAGGTAGGTGTTATTAGACTCTTCATTTTACCAATGGACAAAATAGAGCTTAGAGAAGTTGAGCAAGCTGCCGTAAGCATATAGCTGGTGAGAAAAGGAATTGTGATATTTAATCTCATCATGCTTTTTCCATTACAACTCATTACCCCTCTCTATTGCTAAGTTGTATGATTATGATTAATTCATTAAATAATGCTATCACATTAACACTCTTTTTCTGTTTTCAGAGATGCTTTTGCTTATGTTCAAGAAAGAAGATTTTGTATTAATCCTAATGCTGGATTTGTCCATCAACTTCAGGTAACTTTTCTTCCTCTTTAAGGCAATCAGAAGTAAGATATAAAATCTTTTATACATGTAATTTAGGTGTACAATTTACTTTGTGAATACTTAAAATTGCCATAATCTGACTACTTTGATGCTTTATTCAAGTTTATATCTCTATTTAGAAGTATTTTCTTGGCTGGGTGTGGTGGCTTATACCTATAATCACAGCACTTTGGGAGAACAAGGCATTTGGATTGCTTGAGGCCAGAAGTATGAGATCAGCCTGAGCAACAAAGTGAGACCCAATCTCTAAAAAATAAAAAATTAAAAAAAAATTAGCCAGTCATGGTGGTGCATGGCTGTGGTCCCAGCTACTCAGGAGGCTGAGATGGGAGGATTGCTTGAGCCCAGGAGTTTGAGGCTACAGTGAACAGTGTGCCTTTGCACTCCAGCCTGGCCCACAGAGTGAGACCCCATCCCTAAAAAATTAAAAAAACTTTTTTTTCTTAAAGGCTGGCATTACCAAGAAAAAAGGGTTAAAGACACATTATCAAATCTAAAGTAAAATAATTGCTGTTAGAAATGTCTGATTTTTTTTTGTTGTTCATTTTGATCACACAGAGCATAAGACAGTTTTGATTCTAAGTATACTAACTATAACAGCTTTTTCTATTCTATGTTTATCTTTTCCATGTTGTTTCATATTTTGTTGATGCCTGGCAGATGCACTGACAAAGATGATAAGTCTATGAATTAACCTAATTAGACCACGTTGCTCAGTTTATTCCAAGAGGCAAAATCATAGGCTGCAGAATGTGCTCTGGCTAATTACATCCAATTATGTAGGAATAAAGCTCATGTTTCAACATCAAGAATATTTATTACAAAATATATTGTTATAGTTACCAAGGTTTAAATTTTATTTTAATATTTAATTTACTTTTAATTTTTACTACATTCAAAAGAGAAACAGTGTCATCTGTGTTCAGCCTGTTCATGTAAAATGTTTGTCTTCTAACTTTGTAAGTTTCTTTGCCTTTTACCATGTTGTAGAAAACATTGTTTTTTTTCATTTTTTTTAAACTATTTTTTAAGCTTTTCTTTTTTTTGTGGATACATAGTAGGTTAGGTATTTCGATACAGGCATGCAATGTGTAATAATCACATCATGGAAAAATAGAGTATCCATCCCCTCAATCATTTATCCTTTGTGTTACAAACAATCCAATAATGCTCTTACTTGTTTTCAAATGTGTAAAAACATTCTTTTTTAAAATTAATTTTTGTATTTGAAAGAATAGTATATACATATGTTTAAGAAGATTGGCCTGGCTCAGTGGCTCACACCTGTAATCCCAGCACTTAGGGAGGCCGAGGTGAGTGGAACACCTGAGGTCAGGAGTTCGAGACCAGCCTGGCCAACATGGGGAAACCCCATCTCTACTAAAACTACAAAATTAGCTGGATGTGGTGATGCATGCCTGTAATCCCAGCTACTCAGGAGGCTGAGGCAGGAGAATCGCTTGAACCTGGGAGGCGGAGGTTGTGGTGAGCTGAGATCATGCCATTGCACTCCAGCCTGGGCAACAAGAACAAAACTCCGTGTCAAAAAAAAAAAAAAAAGAATATTGGAAATATCCTGATAGGTACATCTGTGTGAATATACCTGTAAGGTAACTGAAGTGGAATTGGTGGATTCCAGTGCCTTTGAAATTTGATAGATGTTTCCAGATTGCCTCCAAAAAAGATGAAGTAATAATAAACTTATATCACCAGGAAACAAAAAGTGCCTATTCCTCCGAGTGCCTATTTCCTCCTACCCTAATTAACACCAGTAGCCAAAAGTTTTTTTTTTTTTTTTTTTTGAGATGGAGTCTTGCTCTGTCACCCAGGCTGGAGTGCAATGGCGCCATCTCGGTTCACTGCAACCTCCACCTCCCAGGTTCAAACAATTCTCCTGCCTCAGCCTCCCAAGTAGCTGGGATTACAGGCACGTGCCACCACGCCCAGGTAATTTTTGTATTTTTAATAGAGATGGGATGGCCGGGTGTGGTGGCTCACGCCTGTAATCCCAACACTTTGGGAGGCTGAGGTGGGTGGATCACCTGAGATCAGGAGTTTGAGACCAGCCTGGCCAACATCGTGAAACCCTGTCTCTACTAAAATTACAAAAATTAGCCAGGCGTGGTGGCAGGTGCCTGTAATCCCAGCTACTTGGGAGGCTGAGGCAGGAGAATTGCTTGAACTCGGGAGGCGGAGGTTGCAGTGAGCCGAGATGGCATCATTGCACTCCAGCCTGCGGAACAAGAGCAAGACTTCGTCACAAAAGAAAAAAAAAAATAGAGATAGGGTTTTGCCATGTTGCCCAGGATGGTCTTGAACTCCTGACCTCAGGTGATCCACCCACCTTGGCCTCTCAAAGTGCTGGAATTACAGGCGTGAGCCACCACTCCTGGCCCAAAAATGTTTTATCAGATTTTTGTGATCATTTGTTGGTGTTCCTCTCACCGGTTTGTAAGAGCTCTTTTTATATTATGGAAATCTATTTATAGCCTACCGATTTGAAATATCATTTTTATTTTATACCAAATTCTGATATGTCCTTTAGAAGTTTGAAGTTTTCTTTTTTAAGGTGCTTATGGAATGGCTAGTTCTAGTTTTTGAACCGTTAATATGGTGACTTGAGTTACTGGATCACATTAGATTGGATTTCCTAATATTGAATCATCCTTTTGGTCCAGCAATGGATCCCACTTGGTTATGATAGACTGTTCTGTTAATGTATTGCTGGATTGTATTTGCTAATCTTTTTGTTCAGGATTTTGGAATCAGTTAAATAGTAAATTGGTTTGTCTTTCTTTTTTTTTTCTGTACTATCCTTTTCTGGTTTTACTATCTCTGTCACAGTGTTCTCATTTTTTAGTGGAAGCTTTCCATTTCTCTTTGTGCCATGGATCAATTTAAATTAGATTGGAGTTACTTGTCTCTTAATGCATTAGTATATGGCACCTGTGAAATATCTGACCATAATGTTTTATCTAATTCAGTTATTCATTATTTCATTCATTCATATATTTTGACAATAGACCAGTTCTCAGACAACATTCTTCATTTGGTGTATCGGTTTGATTTTTTCTTTTCTTTCTTTCTTTCTTTCTTTCTTTTTTTTTTTTTTTTTTTTTTTTTTGAGGCAGAGTCTTCTGCTCTGTTGCCCAGGCTGGACTGCAGTGGTGCAATCTCAACTCACTGCAACCTCTGCCACCTGGGTTCAAGTGATTCTGCTGCCTCAGCCTCCAGAATAGCTGGGATTTACAGGTGCCTGCCACCACAACTGGCTAATTTTGTATTTTCAGTAGAGACGAGGTTTCACCACATTGGCCAGGCTGGTCTCAAACTCCTAACCTCTGGTGATCCGCCCGCCTCGGCCCCCAGAGTGCTGGGGTTACAGATGTGAGCCACTGCTCCTGGCCTGGTTTGATTTTCTGATACCCCTCAGGTCACTTTGGATGTATTTATGATCTTCTGTGTAATCATTGATTTCATAAGAGTTCTACATAGAATTAAGGAAAATAATATCTTGTACTTTAATATCTTTTGGTTCTATTATTTTTTTTCTTCATCTGGTTAGTCCATGTTGTTTTTCTGTATTCTAATTTCTGCTTCCTTGGTACTTTGCTTTAGTGTTGTTTGCTGCTGCTGTTGTGAATTTCCTGAGTTGAAAACTTGGTTTCTTTTTATTCTTTCAAAAATTCAAGGCTATTAATTATCCTCTTTGCATTGTGTTAGTCGCATGCTGCAGATTCTCATCTGCATTATTTTTATGTTATAGCTTGATATTCTGTGATTTCAGTTTTGGTTTCATTTTTTATCTAATATGTGTTGAGATTTTTTTTATTGTATAGGTGACTGGGTTTTAAATTTTTTATTTTTGTTCATATTTAGTTTTATTACATTGTAATCACAGAATGTTTTGTAGTACTTGTATTTTTTGATGTTTTCTTTGTGGTTTAATATGTAGTTGTTTTCATGAATTTTATGGGCATTTGAAAAGAAGATGCATTCTGTTTTCAGGGGATAAAGTTAAATGTATTTGTCCACTTGATCTGTCTTGGGCTGAAATCAGTGAATTGAAATCTTTTACTATATTGTGTTTATTTTTTCTTTATTTCCCCTTTTTTGGTTCTGCAAGTTTTTTTCTGTACTTAACTATTTGGTACATAAAAATTCAAGTTAGGTTTTTATTTTAGTTGTACCCTGTTTAAATTTCAGGGTTTTTTGTTGTTGTTGTTGAGACAGAGTCTTGCTCTGTGGCCCAGGCTGGAGTGCAGTGGTGCGATCTCGGCTCACTGCAACCTCTGCCTCCTGGGTTCAAGTGATTCTCCTGCCTCAGCCTCCCAAGTAGCTGGGATTACAGGCATGCATCACCACGCCCGGCTAATTTTTGTATTTTTAGTAGAGACGGGGTTTCACCATGTTGGCCAGGCTGGTCTCGAACTCCTGACCTCATGATCCTCCCACCTCGGCCTCCCAAAGTGCTGGGATTACAGGTGTGAGCCACTGTGCCTGGACAAATTTCGGTTATTTTACCTTGCAGTTAACCTCGTTTAATATTGTGAATCCTACTCTTTCTGTTCGCTTGCTACCTTTTGAGTTTTCCCATTCCTTTTCCTTCAAGCTTTCTAAATCACTTGATTTTAGATGCTTTTCCTCAGTGTAGTCTAGGATTGAGTTTTGCTATTAGATTTGGTATCATTGTTTCCTAATAGGTGAATTTAACCCACTTTCATTTACTGAAAATGACAGATACAATCTTATCTATTATTATTTCATATTATGCTTTCTGTTTTAAATGAATCCTTTTTTTAACCTTCTGCTATAGTTTAAAATTTTTTGGTGTGTTTATGTTTGTTACATAATTTTTAAGGTTTTATTTATTTACTTTTCCTTTTTTTTTTTTTTTTTTTTGAGTTAGAGTCTCACACTCTTGCCCAGGCTGGAGTACAGTGGTGTGATCTCGGCTCACTGCAACCTTTGCCTCCTGGGTTCAAGCGATTCACACACCTCAGCCTCCCGAGTAGCTGGGATTACAGACATATGTCACCACATCCAGCTAATTTTTGTATTTTTGGTAGAGACGGGGTTTTGCCATGTTGGCCAGGATGGTCTCGAATTCCTGAGATCATGTGATCCACCCGCCTCAGCATCCCGAAGTGCTGGGATTACGGGCGTGAGCCACGGCGCCCAGCCCTTAATCCTACATTTAAATAGGATTCAGCCAATCCTATTACCTGTTCCAGTGTCTTTATTAAACTCTTGGACTTTATTAAGAATAGTTCATGGAAACTATATTCCCATGGAAACTATCCCTTTGCATATTGGAAAATATTTTTCTTTTGCCCTTATATTTGAATGACAGTGGCTAGATATAAAATAGGTATTTAATACTTTTTCCCTAGTGATTTTGTACACAGACCTGATATTAAATATTTTTTGTTTGTTTTTTATTTTTTGGAGATGGAGTCTCACTCTGTCGCCCAGGCTGGAATGAGTGCAGTGGTACAATCTAGGCTCACTGCAATCTCCACCTCCCGAGTTCAAGTGATTCTCCGCTTCAGCCTCCTGATTAGCTGGGATTACAGGCACATGCCACCACACCCAGCTAATTTTATATTTTTAGAAGAGATGGAATTTCACCATGTTAGCTAGGCTGGTCTCAAACTTCCGACCTCAGGTGATCTGCCCTCCTCGGCCTCCCAAAGTGTTGGGATTACAGGTGTGAGCCACCGTGCCTGGCCTAAATATTGTTTTAGAGAAGTTTGAAGGCAGACCAATTTTAAGATTCCCCCCTTAGGTGAATTGATTTGTATCAGGAGAAGGTTGTCTAGATCAGCAGTCTCCAACCTTTTTCACACCAAGGACCAGTTTCATGAAAGACAATTTTTCCACGGATGGGGTGGCGGGGGAGATGGTTTCAGGACAAAACTGTTCTATATCAGATCATCAGGCATTAGTTAAGGAGTGTGCAACCTAGATCCCTCGCATACCATAGGGAGGGATAGGTTTACCATAGGGTTTGCGCTCCTGTGAGACTCTAATGCTGCTGTTGATCTGAGAGGAGGTGGTGCTCAGATGGTAATGCTCCCTGGAGTGCCACTCACCTCCTGCTGTGTGGCCTGGTTCCTGACAGGCGATGGACCGATTCTGGGGTCTGCAGTCCAGGGGTGGGGACCCTCATCTAGATGACCATAAGATGCTTTATCAAGGTGTATCCTGGTTTTTTATGTTTTTGTTTTTTGAGGGGGTCTCGCACTGTCACCCAGGCTACAGTGCAGTGGCGCGATCATGGTTCACTGTAGCCTTGACCTCCTGGGCTCAAGTGATCTTCCCACCCTAGCTTCCTAAGTAGCTGGGACCATGGGTGCACACTATCACACCTGGCTAAGTTTTTTGTTTGTTGTTGTTTGAGACAAAGTCTCACTCTGTTGCCCAAGTTAGAGTGCAATGGGGCAATCTTGGCTCACTGCAACCTCTGCCTCCTGGGTTAAAGCGATTCTTCTGCCTCAGTCTCCCAAGTTGCCAGGATTACAGGCATGTGCCACCAAACTCAGCTAATTTTTGTATTTTTTGTAGAGAGACAGGGTTTCACCATGTAAGCCAGGCTGGTCTGGAACTGCTGACCTCAGGTGATCTGCCTGCCTCGGCCTCCCAAAGTGCTGGGATTACGACGTGAGACCACACACCTGGCTTAGTTTTTTAAATTATTTTTGGTAGAGATGGGGTTTTGCCATATTTTCCAGGTTGGTCTCAAACTCCTGGGCTCAAGCGATCCTCCCACCTTGGCCTCACAAGGTGCTGGGATTACAGGCATGAGCCACTATATCCGGCCAAGATGTATCTTGTTGATTGCTCTACATCAGTTTTTTTCTGAGTCACAGTGTGCCCTTACCACTTGCAAATTCAAGCCTTCCCTGATTTCAGGAAAGTTGTCTTCTATTGTGTATTTACCCTTTTGGTTGTTCTGTTTCTTTTTCTTTTTAGTATACCCCTTACCCCGGTATAGTTTATGTTCCCTTTTTTCTTTGTTATTTGCTATTTTCTCTGTAATTATTTGCAGCTTTGTTCTTTTTTTTTTTTCCACTTGATTTTTCTCACGTTTGTTTTCCATGTCCCATGCTGCATTGTTTCATTAAATATTTATTTGGCATTGTTTTAGTTAGGCACTGACAGTAAAGCAGAGAACAAAACAGACAATAATCCTTGACCTCACGAAACTTATTTAGTGGGAGAATCAGACAACAAACAAAATGTAGTAGGCCAGAAGTAATGAATCCAAGAAAAATAAGGCCATGTAAGGAAGGTGGGACGAGAATTGTATTTTTAGAAGGGTGGTCAGAAATGGGCTTACTGAAAAGTGATATTTGAGCAAAGACCTAAAGAGATGCACGTATTTGGGGAAAAGCATTTGAGGTAGAGGAATAAGTGTAAGTGGTTTGAGGTGGGAGCATAGTTCTTAGAAGGATACTCATTTCATCATAGGGCCAGTCCTCTCATGACCTCATCCCAACTTAATCACCTGCCAAAGTCCCCACATTAAGTGTTTGGACTTCAACATATGAATTATGAGGGGAATGCAAACATTCAATCCCATAACTGCCATATTTTCTTTGATTAATTTGTTCATAGTTTTCATCTGCTTCATGGTATAAGTTTTATGGCATTTTCTTTATGACATTTGGTTATACTCTTGCTTTTCTGTTTTTGTTTTGTTTTGTTTTGTTTTTTCTTGCAAAATCTTTGAGTAAGACCTAACTGGTTCCTTCTTGATTATTGGTCATCTTTGAACTGGAGGTATTCGTCTTAGATCAGCTATTTACCCAAGAATAAAATTGTGGGAAAGGGGCCAGAGGAGTGGTTGGGGAAGGCTGACAGCTTGAATTTTCCCAGGTTCCTTTGGTGGCATGAATCAGTGAGTAAGAAGCAGAGCTCCTTATATCACAGGTTTATTTTGTTTAAATTGATAAACACTGATTCATATTAGAATCACCTGGGGAATCCTTACCCATGCCAATGAAATCAAAATCTGTGAGAGTGGGGCCTAGGTATATAGGTTTTAAAGTGCCTCAGGTGATTCTCATGTATATCCAGGCTAGAATTGCTGATTTAGCCTTTACTTTTAGCTATCCAAGATCAACTGATGCTTGGCTACATGCAACCAAATTTCACTTCCGCCTTACCATACTTAAACAGCCTGCTGCTTGCAAAAAATGGCAGGTGTAGGTGTTCACATTTTCCTTAATATGTCCCACCTTCTCCCATAGGCCACTCATATTTCCTGACTTTGTCATACCATGCAAGGGCTTGTTGGTTTTATTTTAGGTCACCTTTTTTAGCGAGCTATGAACTGTACCTACTCTGGCCCACAGAGGAGTTATCTGCTATGCCTAGCTTAGGATGGTTCTATTTTTTTTGAAAATTTTATTGTGAAATTATAATATAGAAAATGCATAAAATGTAAATAAACATCCATGTAACTATTGCCGAAGTATGGAAACAGAATGTTTACCAGGACACCAAAAGCCTTTTTCATGCCGCTTCTCAGGCACAAATCTGTTTCTCCCTCTGTAAAGTAACCACTATCCTGACGTAGCTGGTAATCAATTCCTTTTCCCCTCATTCTTCTCATTTTCAGGGTAATGGATGTTTCCTAGTTTCATCAAATGTTTTCCTTGTTTTCAGAAAAGAGAGAAACAAAAATGCCTTTATTCTTCTATCTATAACTGGAAGCAGAGGACTATTGAGATTGCCAATTTAAGTTTTTGGTGTTTTTTGGGGTTTTTTTAAACAGATGAAGTCAGAGATCATTATAGCTAATGCCATACTGACTGGCAGTTCAGCATGCAGTACCCTAGCACAAACTATTAGCCGGGCTTGATTTATAGTTATCAGTAGTTCTGAATTTATGAGACAGGAATTTTAAACTTCCATTTCTCTTCAAACAATATGGCACTAGATTTTTCAATACAGATGAAGAATACCAACAGTGTATACATTAATCACTATTTTGGGTATCCAAGAATGTAAATATATAATTAAGTTAATTAACTTATTTTTTTTTTAGGAATATGAAGCCATCTACCTAGCAAAATTAACAATACAGATGATGTCACCACTCCAGATAGAAAGGTCATTATCTGTTCATTCTGGTACCACAGGTAAGGATTTTTTTCTTTTTGGAGAAATTTGGGAAGAAAGATAATGAAAGGTGGAGAACTTGCTACAAGTTACACTGAACAATTTAAATTGTTTAGAAAACTTGTTAAACTATTGAGCTAATTCCAGAAGGATTCATTTTATAATGAATAAATGTGTACTATAATAAGCTTAAGTCTTTCAAGTAGTAGTACATCCGTGTTGTAAAGATTAAAATAATACGAATCTGGAGAAGGGGCCCTAAACACGCTTAGGTGATCTTATTAAAAGTAGAGGGCGGTTAATACAGCGTGTAGCATGGCTAATGTGAGCTTCTTTCTCTTGCCATCAATATTTCCATCCTTTCCTCCCTCTGTTGCTATTTCAGAAGTACCCTAAGCCCCTTATTTTCAAAGTTAATCCAAGCATGCTCTTAAAATCTTCCTTTCCCAAGACCTTGCTACCTGTGTTTATCACCTTTGTTTCTCTCCCAACAAAGCACACAAGGCATTTTTACTTTATTTCCAGTTTTTCCTACCCTGCAGTTCACTTCAATCTTTGAACCAACAGTTATATAAGGTAGTAAGAACAGCTTATATACTTAGCACTGACCTGGAAATTGAGGACAGGTGATCTGATCCACAAGTATAGAACTCTTTGCACTCTACTGCACTGCCCATAGTGAGTAATATGACTGTATATTCATCCCCAAGGCTCAACTTCCTAATTGTCATTGACTTTTTCATTTCCTTTGCCACATCTGTCTAATAATTGCTCTCCACATCCTATAGGGTCCGTTTTGTCAGTATTGTTAACATTCCTTCCTTTTTTTAATAGTGACCTTAATCTAGTTCAGGTCCGGATTTGCCTCCTTTCCAAACTCTTGTTATTTGGTCTGTTCTGTACATTGTGGCCAGACTTATTCCCATGAAAGATATTTCTAATATTGATATTTTTCCTTTGCCAAAGCCTCCTTTGGCTTCATTCCTACAAAAGTTTATAGAATGCCATATGCCCTTCTGATTTTTTGGTTTCTTTCTCTCATTGTTCTTCTTTATGTCTGCATTTCAGAAAACAACTGCTGATGGTTTCCTGTGTGTGTCTTCTTTTCCCCACCTAAAATGCATCACATTTAGTCTCCCTATTCTTGGTTCATATGTCATCTCCTCAGGAAGACATGATGATTAATGCACTCTTCCTTTAACCCCTAGTCATTTGGAGTTCCCATAGAAGCACAGCACTTCATCTGAAACTTAATCACAGTATCTGGGTTTAGCCTGAGGGCTAGGATATTTTATCTCATTCAATTGTATTGATACTATATTTTTATCTTTATGAATTTTATAGTGAAACATTCTTCAATTAGAATATGCCCTCTGAATTAACATTATTATTACCATGATATAACAGTCCTGTAGGGCATAAGTTTAAGGTCATGCCATTGTTAGGCAAAAAACACAGCAGACCCTCTGCTGGTTTAACTGTTCCCTAAAGTTTTCCTCCATTGAGAGTCTAATTTCTTGATTATAACTTTTGGGGATACAGAGATAGCTTTGATTCTATGTGGGAGATTTCTGTACTAGCAGATGCTGGTATGAAGAATAGATAAAAGAAAATCTCTTTATATGCTACATGCCTTCCTTTCTCCCAACCTAGACTTCGATAGCTTGAGTGGAAAAATATTTTCAGCTGCTCTTCATAACAGCCTCTGTGAAAGCAAAAAGATTATCTACAAAAAATTATACAAATACAAGATTAATTTCCTAAATTTTATGCCCTAAGTCACATGTTTATGGTGCCTAAAAAACAATTAACTTGATAACTAAACATTTATGTATTATCTCTTGAAAAGGTCTATTTTCACACTATTTCAAAAATTATTTATTTTATATGCAATACCTAAGACATAATACTTGAGAAGGAAAATATATCCTGTCATGAAGATTAAAAAGTTATAATATTTAGGTAATTTATCACAAAGGAATTTACTAAATTTTGCTATATCAGTTGTGGAATTTTCATAGTGTATACATGATCACTTAATAACAAAATTTTACTTGCTGTAACCTTTTAACATGAATTTATTTTAGTGCCCTTTTAATCTTCATGCAATAACTTTTAGGCAGTTTGAAGAGAACACATGAAGAAGAGGATGATTTTGGAACCATGCAAGTGGCGACTGCACAGAATGGCTGACTTGAAGAGCAACATCATAGAGTGTGAATTTCTATTTGGGAAGGAGAAAATACAAGAGAAAATTATAATGTAAAATGGTAAAAACATAAGTAGTTTTTTTTTCAATTACATGTTGCTTCCAGACATACTTCTCTGCAACTTGTTGAGCAACATTTTAAGATGTTGGACTTCTGCAATAGATGACACTGATGGTTTTACTCCTTTTTTTAAAAACACATGCGCGCGCACACACACATGCTTTACAAGTTTTATTATAAACCAAGAATTTTGGACTTGCAAAGAGGTATTATTGCAATAATGCACTTTTCATACTTGAAATTTATTTGTATGATATAAAGTTATTACTTTAAACAAAATGCAAGTATGGGGGGATTGTTTATAAAGTTTGGGTAATTTATAACAAAATTTGCTAAGGTTTGCTAAAAATTCATTTTTCTGTTCTATATATTACATTTTTAACATAATTTTACAGTTCAATTTTATGATGGAGCCTCTTACAGAAACATTAACAAAATGCAGGAATCTGCCACATTTCTTTTTTAGTATAACTTAATAGCTTAATTACCATTTTATTTTTTATACTTCTTCCATTATTAATCTTTAAATCATGATCCTAATTAGCTGTCCTTACTTTAACTTGATCTAATTATTGCTTCCTTTCTTATTACTTTCCTAATTTTTCTATATTTTAAAAACTACAGTTTCCATGATAAAAGGAAAACGTTTTGATTTATAGTACCAAGTGCTTAAACACAAGGATAGTGTTAGATTTTCGAGTGACTTTCCTTTTTGCATTTTTTGGCAGTAAAAGCCAAACGTTGTATTTGTTCTTTTCAGAGTTGTCCAGCCCTTTTTTCCTTTGTCCAAAATGATTCTAAATAGAATCTAATAAACCAATGTAGCATTATTTTTTTCTAAATGAAGCCCCAAAAAAGAAAAGTGCCTTGCATCATTTAAAAAAAATAATTAAATCCTCATGGCCTCTAAATTAGTATGTAGAACACTGAAAAGTTCTTAACATTTTTGTGTAATTTCCTTTCTTTTTAAACCATAAATTAGTTTAAACTGAAAGTACGAGGCTGGAAGAAATATTAGTAAATTATTTGGAATATAGAATGTTTACTCTTTCTTTTTATGTTGTCTTAATGATTCTGTGAGATTGTTCCGGCTCAAACAGAAGCTTTTCTTTGGGGAAGGTGATTTGTGGGAGACTAGTGTATTTTAAATTAGCATTTTAATCCATTCTTGACATTCAGTTAGTCCAGATCTGCCCCATAATTTGCTTTAGTAAAGTCACTTTATGGATTTTTGGCTATGTTTTAGTTTGTGTGTATAAAAGTTCTAAGAAAACATTTTTGCTATTTTAAGTATGTAAGGGAAGAGAGGAGTGTTTTTAACTTTTTATAGTTGATGACTTTAGGGTAGCACAAACAAAACTCCTTTGTATCTAACTTTTCTCAATCCTCTCTTGAGGTGCTTTACTAATGGGAATGATTTCTGTATGTTCCCTTGGTACCAAGAGGTACTATGCAAAGTAACCTATTACACCAAGTTACTTGCTTTGCTTTCCTCTCTATGATGTGATAATACAGTAAAAGCTTTCTTACCCAGCATAGTGGGAGAGTGGAGATTAATTAAAATTGTTAATTAAGAGTTAATTCCTATTGACCCAGGTGATATTTCTCTTCTGATTTCCCTCCCCTTCCCTTCTCTTATCTTACCACTGTGAAAACAGCATATTGTTAATCTCGTTGTCGTCCAGTATTCTGCTTTGTGATTAGGTCTTTTGATGTACAGTGGTCTAGTGGAGTCAAGATTCGCATTGGGTTTTCTAAAATTCCAGTTGATAAAAGTTCCAGATAACACAGCTTTCCTGTATATAGATCACTATTGGGCAGGTCAGCAAAGATCTCTTACAGTGTAATAATAATCTATGATGCTTCATTTAGCAGAAACTCTGCTTAAAAGAATCTTCATAATAGTAAGTTTAGGTTTTAAAAACTTGTTTCATAAATATACATATATCCTCTCTAGTAGTCTGGCCAAAAGAACAGATTTTGTTATTGATAATTTGTAGCTGGTAATTTTCCACATTTTCTATCCACTGTAATTTTTATGTTGTCACTGAAGTGCCTGCCCAGTACTGTATATTACAGTCTCTCACAAACACTGGGAAAAGGGACTGTCATCATCTTGAGTACTCTGTGTGTATATATATATATATAGATAGATAGATTTTTTTTTTTTTTTGAGACAGAGTCTCTAATGTCACCCAGGCTGGAGTACAGTGGCACAATCTTGGCTCACTGCAACCTCCACCTCCTGGGTTCAAGTGATTTTCCTGCCTCAGCCTCCCAAGTAGCTGGGGTTAGAGGCACATGCCACCATGCCTGGCTAATTTTTGTAGTTTTAGTAGAGATGGGGTTTCACCATGTTGGCCAGGCTGGTCTCAAACTCCTGACCTCAAGTGATCCACCCACCTCGGCCTCCCAAAGTGCTGGGATTACAGGCGTGAGCCACTGCGCCTGGCTGAGTACAATATTAATGTAGACAAACCATGAAGTTTATTATTTCATATAAGAACATTACAGGTTTGTTTTTTCTTGCATGTCTGTCCACCTAATGTTTAAGTAGTTCTGGTAGCTCTTCCTATTCTTTATTCTATTTGATTCCATTTCTGTGATTCTTTTATTACCACTGATGTTTTGTGATAGTTAACTATGATAAATTTAACTGATCATGATTTATCTTCTAGAGTATTTAAATAATGTATGAGTGACCACCCAATTCCAACATTAAAAGTGTAATCTGGGCCCATAATTTATAGTGAAATTGTATCAAAACATAGGGAAACTGTATTACTGTCCATTTTGAAAATATGAAACTTGAGTATTGAAAATATTCAAACATGGAATGGCAGTATTCTAATTTCAGTTAGTTGGTTCATGTTAATTTCTTACCTGTTAGATGTTTAAACTGCAGTGACCTTTACTTGTATCTACTCTGTGGTGGAAATGTTAAACCATGATAGCTTTTGCTACCAACTCAACCACTTAACTTTTAGAGCAGTTTTGGGGAGAGTTTATGCTTCATCTGAGTTTAGAAGTAATGTCAGAAAATGTTAAGCATGTCTGTATTAAGAAAATATAAGGTTTCTAATTGTCTTATTAATATGGTAATTCAAGTGAATTAGAAATATTTAACTGCAATCTTGAATTATAAAGTTGAGATATATATATATATGTATCAAGATCTCAACTTGATGTAAAGTAAATGAGCAGTTACCTGGCGGATTTTTTTTTTTTTAAATAACTGATTTAATCCATAATCCCATAACAAACATAGCTTCACCTCAGTATTTTCTTTCTTTCTTTGTTCAACAGTGCTCCGATAAGGGAATGCTAGAAAATAGATGAGAAGTACTGAAAGACCTTTTTTTTTAATTGATTAGAAAAGTAAGTCTCTAGGGTCTTTGAATGCTGGAATTTTTTTTTTTTTTTTTGTCTTTCCCATCTGTGGCAGCTAAAACAAAAATCACTCAAAATATTCAGGTTTACATGTTAGCTCTCTCTCATAGGGAGCTGCCATACCTCACAGTTCAAAGTGTATTCTATAGATCAGTAACATTATACTGACATGTAATTGCAATTTACTATGCAGCAAAAATGATTCAAGAAGAAAAATAACCTACAGTGTCTGTATACCTTTGTATACACAATTGCTTAAGTTACTCTGCTTTTAACATTTGTACTTGGATAAAATGCTTATGTCTGTATAGGAATGTCACAGTGCAAGATGCTGCTAGCCCAGGCACAAAGTATTAAAATTATTTTGTGAAGATTGGTGGTTGTATTAAAACTGCTGTGCCATTATACCTCCAAAATATTGAAAAGCTCATTCATACTGCTGCTTATACCTCAAAACTTCTTTACTTAGATTGTTATCTGCTGGGTAAAAGTAACCCAAATTTACTCTGAGTTAAGAAGAGTGGATGAACATTGAATGTTGAGAAGCACTTAAGAGTATACTCTAAAACACTGTGGTTACACACACACACAAAATTATGGTCTGTAGTCCAGGCAAGCCTCAAATTCCAGCTCAAGTTTATTTTTAAGGATTAGTTGAGCAAGTTTGGAGTTGGAAGTGAGAGAATCGTGTTTAAAGGAAAGGGTAGGTCATCCACAGAACAGCTTTCAGTCATTACAAAAAAAAAATACTTCTTGCTTTTATATTACCATCTTCCCCCATTAGGCCTACCTGCATACTGTGCTTCATCAAATCTAAGATCACCTCACAACTATACCATTATTTTAGGCACCACTAAAAGACAGTGTATTGCTAACAAAACTATGATAAACCATTGATAATATATCCAGATTTCAGAGATGTTACAGTGCATCTTAGTTGATGAAACAAAAATATACAAAACATGAGACACAGTAAAAATGATAAGTACCACCTCATTATACCTTTTCACAAGCAAATAGTGGCCAAAGATGTGAACGGCCAGACACGGTAGCCGACATATGTAATCCCAGATACTCTGGAGGCTGAGGCAGAGGATCACTTGAGCTCAGGAGTTTGAGACCGGCTTGGGCAATATAGTAAGACCCCACAGAAAAATGTAAAGCCAGGTGTGATGGCACACACCTGTAGTTCCAGCTACTGGGGAGGCTGAGGCAGGAGGGATGGCTTGAACCCAGGAACTGGAGGATGCAGTGAGCTATGATCACACCACTGGACTCCAGCCTGGGTGATGGAGTGGGACAGTGTCTCTTTAAAAAATGTGGGCCAGGTGCAGTGGCTCGCACCTGTCATCCAAGCACTTTGGGAGGCTGAGGTGGGAGGATCACTTGAGCCTAGGAGTTAAGAGACCAGCCTGGGCAACATAGACTCCACACAAAAAATTTTTTTAATTAGCTGGGTGTGGTGGCATGCACCTATAGTCCCAGCCACATGGGAGGCTGAGGTGGAAGGATCATTTGAGCCCAGGAGATTGAAGCGGCAGTGTGTGGTGATTGTGCCCCTGCGCTCTAGCCTGGGCAACAGCGAGACCTTGTCTCAACAACAACAACAACAAAAGGCTATCTATTGTGGGTACACTGCCTATGGGGTAGTCCTGCTCCACAAGGAGCAGTTTTTAAAAAAAAAAAGTTTAAGAAGTGTTTTATGTAGCACTTTTTTCATATTTACATTTACTCACCATATGGCTTCAAAAATCATAAACATACTCAACTAAAATTACAGATCACCATTGTCCTCAATGACACAATTTTTGTATGGTGTACCTTACCTGTAATTCTATTTCCTATGGGAGGATTTAAGAGATATCTTAGGAACACTATTTAAAGGGATTTACTGAAGTGCCAACCTTGTGAATGATTTTACCTCAAATTGTTCAGTGGTAAGAAAGGTAATAAAGCATTTAGTTGTGCCTTTAAGTAGGCTAATTTTTTTTGTTTTGTTTTGAGATGGAGTCTCTCTCTGTCGCCAGGCTGGAGTGCAGTGGTGTGATCTCAGCTCACTGCAACCTTTGCCTCCCGGGTTCAAGCGATTCTCTCGCCTCAGCTTCCTGAGTAGCTGGGATTACAGGCGCATGCCACCACGTCTGGCTAATTTTTCTTTTTTTTAGTAGAGACAGGGTTTCACCATTTTGGTCAGGCTGGTCTCAAACTCCTGACCTTGTGATCTGCCCACCTCAGCCTCCCAAAGTGCTGGGATTACAGGCGTGAGCCACTGCACCCGGCCTTACCAGGCTAATTTTTAAAAACATGCGTTTTTAATTACCAGGATTTACCTGATAAAACTACTCTTTGTCAAGGTTGTAGGACTTCTGAAAAGACAGAACTAGCTTTGTTGCGTTTCACGAAGGACAGATCAGTTCGTCTGTATAGGCTATAAGCAGGTAAGTAGTGCACTCTATTGGTGAAGGATTTCTGTTGTTTTGGAAAGCCAACTATAGCTGGCTGCATGGAGGGAAATCCAAAATCCAGATGACGTGGTGTGAGTCAATGGGATGAGAAACACTGGTATTTTCTTTACAATTTCATTTTACAAAGAGCACATTAAACTAAAATTTTATGAATTATGACTTAATCTAATAGTTCAACAGCAGACTCAAGAAAAGCACAGATGTGATTCTAACAGAAGACTACTCATATAAACAGGTTTAATGCAACATGGAATGCAAAAGATTAGAACCATTAAAATATTTAATTCTTCAACTTTAAAAAATTAAATAAAATCAAAATAGGATAATGACCAGAATAGTGCCATTATAATCACATCAAAAAGCTTCCATTAACATTTTATGAATTTGGCAATCTAGTACAATACATTAAGTATTGTGTTTCACTCAATTTTGTGATACTCCATTTTTGAAAAAACTTAGAGGCTTCAGATACCCATGAAAAGAAAAAAATCAGGGTAGAAACACATAGGCTGAGGTTTGCTAATTCACTGTTTACAGAGGACCTTAGATGTCCCACTATAATTGCTCTTAGGTATTTTTAACAAATGAATAGTCATAATTCACAGAAAAGACAAGTGGTACTTTTTATCTACATAGACTATACTATATAAACTTTCAGTAAAACATTTAAATTGTTTTACTTTTAATCTTGTCAAGTAATTTTCATTTCTTCTACTTCAAAAGGTTGACCAGGTTGTTTGCCTGTATTGGGATCAACGAATGTTGGACTATACTATGTTTAGTTATAATAACTAATTTATCCACCCTGACTTAATATGTGGGAAACAATACACCCCTAAGTGTATTGAGATGTTTCTTTGAAACAAAAATATTTAATTTTATGCATGTGATAAACAGCCTTATTCAATGTATACTTTTTTTAAATGAGCAACACAGATAGCAGACATATAACTCCTTATTACCCATACTCTTGACTACCAAGAAAGGAAGCCAAACTTTTAGAAAAATACAATGCAAGAAAAGATTCAAGTTAAAAATATATTCCTTTGGTTAAAAATCATCCCCTTTATAATATTCATTTGTAATCTAAATTCACAGCATGTCCCACCAGCCCAAAGTAATCTTCTAAATGTCATTATACTTGTAGTATTACAATGTTTTTTCAGTCCAGTATTTATGGAGGTCACTCGGCTGCAGCAACAAAATATTTCAACTCTAGGAAGAGTGTAGCCTTGTAGCATTAGCCCCTTTGACAATTTTCTTACAAGATTTTTACTTTAGAAACCTCCGACACATGTAGTTTTCTTCAGATACAGTATATCCAAACTTTTTATAGAAACCAACATTTTGTGGTAGACATTCAAGGGTAATCTTGTAACAGTTCAGTTTCTTGCTTAGCAAAGTAAGGGTTGATAATAACCTGAAATTTAAAAAGGGGGTAGGGTGAGGAGATAGCATTTATTAATAAAAATTGATTCTAGTAACAATATGAATTAATGTTATAAAACTTAAGTTTCCTTAGAAACAGGTTTAGATTATGGCTTTTCCCACTGCATTCATGTAAGTTGATAAGCATTTAAATCACCAAAGCATTTTTACTTAGAGTCAAATATACTTTTATCTAGTAATCTCCAGCTCACTAATAAACAGGACAAATACAAAACTCACCCTAAGCCCTCTTTAAAAATGAAATTTAAGGCTAGGTGCAGTGACTCATACCTGTAATCCTAGCACTCTGGGAAGCCGAGGCAGGCGATCGCTAGAGCCCAGGGGTTTGACACCAGCCTGGGAAACACGGCAAAACCCCATCTCTACAAAATATAAAAATTAGTAGGGCATGATGGCACATGCCTAAAGTCGCAGCTACTCCAGAGGCTGAGGGGGGAAGATCACCTGAGCCCAGAGAGGTCAAGGCTGCGGTGAGTAGTGATTGTGCCACTGCACTCCAGCCTGGGCAACAGAGTGAGTCTCTGTCTTGAAAAAGAAAAACGAATTTTAAGATGCATGTTAACACTAAAAACTCAACCTTTAAAAAAAAAAATGACCAAAATTATTTTGTAAAAATTCTTTATTTAAATCTATTTAAACAACTTCGGAGCAGTCGACATACCCACATAAAATGAGTACATAATAGCTTTGCTCTTTAATCATTTTTAAAGCTACTTTAATATTTGTGAAGGTGTGTATCAGATTAACTCAAGATTGGTCTAATTAATATGAAGTGGAAACAAAGCAAGTCTACATCTATACAAAATTTCTTAATGAATCCAAACCCAGTATTAAAGTGTGGATCTAAGTGCCTTAGAGGATAAAAACTATAAAAGATATACAAACTTGAAGGGTCTGCCCATGTTTGAACAGACTAAAAAATCCTATTTTTAAAAAAAACAAAAGACCTTGACTGAAGTATGCCTGGCTGGTTGCAGTGGCTCATGCCTGTAATTCCAGCACTTTAGGAGGCCAAGGATCACTTGAGTCCAGAAGTTCGAGACTAGCCAAAGCAACATAGCAAAACCCTATCTCTATAAAAAATTAGCTGGGTGCAGCGGCATGCACCTGTAGTCCCAGCTACTTGGGAGGCTGAGGCGAGAGGCTCACTTGAGCCCCAGAAATTCAAGGCTGCAGTGAGCTGTGATCGTACCACTGTATACTCCAGCCTGGGCAACAGAAAGAGATCCCATCTCTTAAAAAAAAAAAAAAAAAAAAAAAAAACATAAATTATATAGACTAGAACACAAGAAATCGGTCTGTTTTGTTCACTGAGGTATTCCAAATACCTAGAATAGCATCTGGTACATAAGCAGGTATTTAATATTTGTTAATTCCTTAAAACTCAGAAGAGTTAGTGTTAAAAAGCAAGTTCTTGGGCCAGGCACAGTGGCTCCCACCTGTAATCCCAGCACTTTGGGAGGCCAAGGCAGGAGCACTGTTTGAGACCAGCCTGAGCAACATGATGAGGCCCCATCTCTACAAATTTTTAAAAATTAGCCAGGTGTGGCGTGTACCTGTAGTCCCAGCTAATTGGGGGGCTGAAGAGGATTGCTTGAGCCCAGGAGGCTGAGGCTGCAGTGAGCTGAGATTGAGCCACTGCACCTCAGCCTGGGTGACAGAGCTGTCAAAAACAGACCCTGTCTCAAAAACTAAAAATTATAATAAATAAGAACTACAAGTTCTTATAAAATGGCAATAAATCAATACCACTTATTTATATTTATTTTAAATGATTTAGATATATACAGTGAAGGCTGTTTCAGTATGTATTTCTACAACTTATGAGAATGAGAGATCACAGAATATTCTGTAATAGTTGAACATTTCCTTTGTTTTTAAATATGACAGAGAAGCTGAGGCAAATCCGATTAGCCCAAAAGTTTATCTCCTACTAGGACGAGAGCATTACTATAAAAAGTTAGTAATTTAAAGATGTTACTGTCTGTAAAGAAGTATGCTTCCAATTTTCAAACTTTAAGGCAAAATATGTATAATAATACTTTATTTCTTCATGAAATTCAGTCTAAACTATTAGAGTGAGAATAAGTTCAGAATTAATGAAGCCAAAAAGAACTTCAAACAAGTATCTTGTTAAGAAACTAAATTGGAACAAAATTTATCCAGGGTTACCTTGTTTCTGCCTACTTACAATTTGCCAAGCTGCTTTCCTCTGCATTCATCACTAACAACAACATCTTCTACTCTTCCTCTCTGAAAATATTTACAATGTTTAAAGGAGTAAGCATTTACTTTTGTTTTTAGCTAAAACGAGTTGGTAAGAATTTACTGATAATAAGTAGTATATTTTGTAAACTTGAACTTAACAGAAATCAAATGCAAAAAATATTATACAGTGAAGGCTGTTTCAGTATGTATTTCTACAACTTATGAGAAGGAGAGATCATAGAATATTCTGTAATAGCTGAACATTTCCTTTGTTTTTAAATATGACAGAGAAGCTGGGGCAAATCTGATTAGCCCAAAAGTTTGTTTCCTACTAGTATGAGAGTACTACTATTAAAAGTTAATAATTTAAAGATGTTTTTACTTATTAGAGGAAATAGTATGAGTCAAGTTGTGACCTAAACTTGTTTTGGCTATGTCCCCAACCTTCCCACCCCATTGTCTTTAAACAAATATCAGGATCAACATCACCAAAATGTAACCTTTTCATGAATATATCCATCATTCTACTCCTTGCTTACTAGCAAGTTATTTTAGATATCCAAATAAAATTAATGTCTAGTACAGAAACCCCACCGAAATTCCTAAGTGTGACAGAACACATCCCAAGTGTTCCTACCTTATTCTCATTGAATTAAGGTTTTCTCTCCCTCTTTTTTTATTTACTATTTTATGTGAGTTATTGAGGGATGAAAGGGCACTACATGCATTAGATGTATCATAATTAGAACGGAATAATCTGAACCCTTTACCATGTGGAAACAAATTTATGCTAACGTGGTATATTCAGAGTTGTTTTTTTTAAAAGAGTAACATTAGGGATTTTGTGCATTACTGCTAAGTTGTTTGGTTTCTCTATGCCTATACCAAATTGATCCACCTTACAGAACAATTTTAGCATACAATTCATACTGTTATACATTTTCTTTCTTAAAGCTCTCAGAA
Organism: Homo sapiens; assembly: GCF_000001405.40. Classification (NCBI taxonomy): domain Eukaryota; kingdom Metazoa; phylum Chordata; class Mammalia; order Primates; family Hominidae; genus Homo; species Homo sapiens. The sequence goes on from NC_000014.9 coordinate 52,781,659, forward strand.
CACACTGGGAAAAGGGATTTCTAAGAGGCACTGAAAATCAATGAGAAAACAGATTTGTCTAATGGAAACTCAAAGTCAGTTGTGCTAGAAAACAGCTGTCCATTTTATTTATAAGCAGCACATACCTTAGCACAGGAATGGATGAATTTATGTTCTATAATCAGAGTTGCCGTAGCAACAATCTGTCCTAGAGTCACATCTTCTACAACTGTAACATAATAATCCCCAGATTTCTTCATATGCTCAAAAGATTCTGTGGAAATTGGATAACAAAGTGTTACATAGTAGACATTCAATTTTATGGGGAGCCAGAAAAATATTAGGATTAGCTGACTTAATTACTAAATGTTTAAAGCTGTTTTACCATAGTAATTTACCTTCCATTTCTAAAGAAAATATTACCAAGTAGTTGAAATATCAGCAATTAGTATCAATTGGAATATAACCTACACATTCAAAATATCTGCTAGCAAAATAAAGACTAATATAGCTATTTTAGATGAACAACACTTAAAATACAAGTAAATGGCTGATGTTGCCACTTCCATGACTAATGAAAACTTCAATTTCTTCATTTACTTTAAATAGATCTCTTTAACTTTTATACTCAATAGATATTCAAATATAACCTTTGCACATTTTAACAAGAGCATGTTTACATGGCTCAATTCTAGAATTTTTAGTCTTTTGCTTTCAAAATATTTTTACAAAATATATTTTAATTTTCCCTTTGTGATGGAAAGTGTTTTGTGATAACATGACTTGCTCTTGTTTGCTTTGAGAGCACCTTGCAAGGAAGTAAAAACATATCTGTTTCCAAGTAACTTTTCCAAGTCACATAGCAAATAGGTGCAAAGATACTTCCCCTCAAATGGATTTTCAGTACTATTGCTGAAATAACATGGTTTCTCATCTAATTCATGTGCATGCAAAGAAAAATTCAGGAATAAAAATTGAGGCTAATAGTCTCTCATATTGTTAATTTCTATGGTCTCATTCCAGATAGAGATCTAAAATGGGAAAAAGAAATTCAGTGAATGAAAATAAACAATGAGAATCAGAATGATGGTCCTCATTCTCAGGAGGGTCAAATAGAATTCAATACAAAATTCCCTATTATAAGGAAATGAAGAATTGTAATTCCTCAGCTATTAAATATTACTAAATATTTAGTAATGATAATAATACTTCATTTCCTTTATAACAGGAAAAAGCAGTGGTAGAGCACTGGACAGAATTAAGGTTTTATTCCTCACCGTAGCAATAACTACCTGTGATCTTGGGCAAGTCTTTGGATCTCTCTAAATTCCTATTTTCTCCTATGTCTAAAAGAAGAGGGGCAGGGGACGGGTGGACTAACTCTTAAGATGCCTGCTAACCTTAAACTTCAATACAAATAAACCCCAAAATAAATTTAAAGCGTATAGTCTTGCTTTTTTGATTTGGTAATGAAATTTCTGTAAATAACCACAGTAAGGGAAATACTACAATAAAAAAACGAAAAACCTCTAGAGCTAACACCTAGGTCCTATGGTACAATAATTATCTAATAAAGTAGTCAGATAGTTTGCAAAAACAAAGTTACTGGTACATTTGGATTCTAGAACAACTCAGCCACATTAAACATTTGTATAAAACAGCTAATTTGTTCTTTGAATAATTTCCAGCTATTTGAACAAAAACAGAAGTGGGCACTGAACAGCTCTAAACAAAAATGAAATCATGTTTCCCTTTATTTCAGGAAAAAGAGGTTATAGTACTTACTCATAAATTGTTCAGGGCTGACAACTCCAGTCTCTGTTAGCTGACCCAATACCTTAAAAAAACCTAGTTTTGAAAAACAGATTTCAAATTACGAGAATAGCAAAAGGAAGACAGTATGAAAATAAGCAATATATTAAGCAGGTGGGCTTACAGGCAATTATTTTTTCAGAACTTTCTATAATCTTTTAATTATTAGAATAAAGTGAACCCTATTCTTCTATAATCACTACATATAACAAAAATAACAGGTTTTACCAGTGCTTCTGCCTGCATAAGATGTTTTAAATAGTGCTGACCTTAATATCCAGTATTTATAGACCCAGAACATACATTCTTCAATGTATTATATTTTACATTAAGTTCAATGCAAAGGGTGCCAGATTTTCCCAAATATGTGATTTGGTTTTACTTAAAGGTGCAACATGGCTAAATACAATATTCGTAAATTAAAGTATAAGTAACACTGTTGAGATTACACTCTTTAAAATTGTAATTTCTAGTGAATTTCATTAGTGTTACCGGAAATTGATGTGAACAGTGCACCTGGAATTTTGAAAATCTTAACTTTCCTACACTCAATAATTAGGCCAAAATTAGGCCCTTCAGGCTGTCTAGCAAAGAGATAATTGTGAAAAGGACAAAGTTGACTTTTAATTACCAAAGTTTAAGGAAGTTAACTTGGAGAATTTAGATGTTAAAAAAGAAATAACTGTATAAAAACCCTTTCAATTTATCCAAGGAAAATTATTTCCACCTTCATTCCCCAACCAGCTTCTTAAGATCCCTCCTTATGTGTCATCATACATGATAATTTAATTTTTGTTTATGAGAAATCTTTTTGGCTTAATTAGGAAGGAGTGATGTTGTATTTAAGTCATTTTAAATATTTCACAGTAATATTTGGTCTTAGCCATGACACACACTCATTGGTATTGAGTGTCCATCACTTTAAAAACTAAGTATTATACAAAAAATAGTCCAAAAGTCAAATATTTAAAAAAAATTATCTGCATCATAATGTTTAGAGAAAAATGGAAGGCTAACTCTAATTTTACACAGGATTTTGTACATTACCTCTATTTAAGTCAGCAGTACAAAGAGGCCTCAAAACCAAGCCTTCTCCAGGATGTGTTGGGGAAATGGCTGGAGAAAATGTAGCTGTATTCTGACTCCAGTCCACTTCTTTGAGTAGACTTGGGTCAAACATAGGAGTTTCATCAGGTTTCATTTTTCTAGTAAGGTCTAAAATAAAAATTTGAATATTAAGTCACTTTATTTAATAGAAGGAAAATTATGATTGTTGAGAAAGTTAATATAAATTAATGCAATTAGAAGCATTCTTTAGCACATATGCGAGATATTTTACTGCAACCCAGCCTGAATCTAACATTAAATTCCACAACTACAGATAAATAGAAAAATCATGCCTACTATCAGATAAAAAAATGGCTAAGTGACTAAATTAGTAAGTTTTAAACTATAAAATCCCATTTATTATCAAGTCTTTTTTTTTTTTTTTTTTTCAGACAGTCTCACTCTGTTGCCCAGGCTGGAGTGCAGAGGCGTGATCCCGGCTCACTGCAACCTCTGCCTTCTGGGTTCAAGTGATTCTCCTCTTTCAGCCTCCTGAGTATCTGGGATTATAGGCACGTGACACCACGCCCGGCTAATTTTTTTGTATTTTTAATAGAGACGGGATTTCGCCGTGTTAGCCAGGCTGGTCTCAAACTCCCGACCTCAGGTGATCTGCCCGCCTCGGCCTCCCAAAGTGCTGGGATTACAGGCGTGAGCCACTGCGCCCGGCTATTATCAGGTCTTTTAAAACATGTTTTTCCTCTGGGTTGGTGCTACTAAATGAATAGCTGACTTTTCATGGGCTCTTAAATTTTTTACATTATGTTCTTGGATTTTATTATTGAGCCAAGAAGGCATCTGTTTCAACAGGAAATTGCAAGGGGAAAAAAATTTTTTTTAAAAAAGTAATCTCTTAGTCTTACTTGCCAATAAAGAAAACTTTCAGCTGTGCACGGTGGCTCACACCTGTAATACCAACACTTTGGGAGGCCGAGGTGGGCAGATCACCTGAGGTCGGGAGTTCGAGACCAGCCTGACCAACATGGAGAAACCCCCATCTCTACTAAAAATACAAAATTAGTCGGGCGTGGTGGCGCATGCCTGTAATCCCAGCTACTCGGGAGGCTGAGGCAGGAGAATCGCCTCAGAACCTGGGAGGCAGAGGTTGTGGTGAGTTGAGATTGCGCCATTGCACTCCAGCCTGGGCAATGTAAGAGTGAAATTCCCTCTCAAAAAACTTACTGGGCATGTAGCCTTTTTTTTTTTTTGAGATGGAGTTTCGCTCTTATTGCCCAGGCTGGAGTGCAATGATGTGATCTTGGCTCACCACAACCTCCGCCTCCCAGGTTTAAGCAATTCTCCTGCCTCAGCCTTCTGAGTAGCTGGGATTACAGGCACCTGCCACCACGCCCAGCTAGTTTTTTTTGTATTTTTAGTAGAGACGGAGTTTCGCCATGTCAGCCAGGCTGGTCTCAAATTCCTGACCTCGGGTGATTCGCCTGCCTCAGCCTCCCAAAGTGCTGGGATTACAGGTGTGAGCCACCATGTCTAGCCACATGTAGCTTTTTTTTTTTTTTTCAATGAACCATGAATAGAAGAAAATTGATGAACAGGCTCAAATTAATTTTTTTTTTTGGCATTCTCAGAAATACTTTACCTTGGCTATGCTAGATATACACTGCAGGATTTTGTTTTCACAGCAGATTTTCTAAAAATCTGTGGTATGGACCAGGCATGGTGGCTCGTGCCTTTAATCCCAGCACTTTGAGAGGCAGAGGCAGGTAGATCACCAGAGGTCAGGAGGTCAAGACCGGCCTGACCAACATGGCGAAACCCTGTCTCTACTACAAATACAAAATTAGCCAGGTGTGGTGGTGGCCACCTGTAATCCCAGCTACTTGGGAGGCTGAGGCAGGAGAATCACTTGAACCCAGGAGGTGGAGGCTGCAGTGAGCTGAGATCACACCATTGCGTTCCAGCCTGGGCAACAAGAGTGAAACTCCGTCTCAAAAAAATTAAATTAAAATTAAACTGTATAGTGTTTCTCAGTTGCATCTAAGCAGCTTAAAAATAGCTGGTGTTTTTCATGCTATTGAAAAGTGATCATGATATTTCCCCCTCTTTTTTGAACATTTAGAAATGAGCAGGTTCTCACTAGTTGTAATGTTTTAAAACTGAGACTAAATAACAGAGAAGTAACGATAGGAAGGATGAAAAACAAATCATACAAAGCATAAAACTGGGGCCAGGGGGCTTCTGTGCAGCACAGAATTGCTAAAAGAAACAGATGCTTCCCAACAATTAAAAGTTGAGTATTCCTTATCCAAAATGCTTGGGACCAGAAATGTTTCAGGTTTTGGATTTTTTTTTTTTTTTTTTTTTTTTTTTTTTTTCAGATTTGGGGATATTTGCATATACATAATGAGATATCTTGGGGATGGGACCCAAGTCAAAATTCATTTGTGTTTCATATACATCTTATACAGATAGCACAAATATTTTACACAATATTTTAAATAATTTTGTGCATGGAAAAGTTTTTGTACATTATACCAGATGTGGAATTTTCCACTTGTGGCATCATGTTGGCCCTCAATAAAGTTTCAAATTTTGGAGTGTTTTGGATTTTTGGATTAGAGATCCAAAAAAAGCAGTCCCCAACTTATTTCTATATCCAGTTAAAGAAACCATATTTTAATGAGAGAACAATTTGCCCAATAACCTAACCCCCAATTGTTCCTTATTTCATAAGTCACAGTATGCTTTAGGGCAAATATTCTTAACTTTTCCTTAAAGATGGATAATAAGTTTCTGCCTGTATAATCCTATGTAACTATATAAGCAATGCTGCAATATACTAGTTATGGGAAGGTAGTGTGATGTGATGTAACAACAGAAGTTAACACTTGCTCAGCACTTCTTATGTGCCAGACTGTTGAAAGAGCTTTACTAATTCATTTATTTCAACCATCCTACAGGTTAGGAGTGGTTATTATCTACATTTTAACAGATGAGAAAATGTTAAGTAACTTGCCCAAGGTCACAAAATTAGCGGAGCCAGGATTTAAACCTAGGCATAGAAAGAGCATGAGCTTTGGATTCATACCTGGTGTTCAAATGTCAACTGTGTGATATGTACTACGGTAATTAAGCTTTTAGAATCTAGTTTCCTCATTTGTAAAATGGAGATGAAATTACTGGGAGAATTAAATGCATTACTGTATGCAGTCATGCACTTAGCAGTGCCTGGAATACTGCAAGTACTTAATAAGATATATGCTAGTTAGCAATAAATTTAAAATTAAAGTTTATAAATTCTTGTTCATTTTTTTTTACCTTTAATTCATGAATCAGGCACTGTGCTGGTTACAGGAACTACAAAAAGAATGACAGGCTCTTACGTTTATGTTATACCAAAAGTTAGCATTCTTGGGTAGAAAAGAACGTAGTTTATAATGTAGACTGCTGAGAGGTCCCCCCAGCCACACACACACAAAATGATTCAAATTATGCTGCATACACTATACCCAGTTCTAACAATATTAAGGAAAATATAGAAATTGTGATGATCAAGCAGTCATTTCAAATTTAACAAGTTTAATAGCCATTCAAAATAGGTTTTTTGTTTTGTTTTATTGTTTTGAGACAGGGTTTTACTCTGTTGCCCAGGCTGGAGTGCAGTGGTGCAATCATAGCTCACTGCAGCCTCAAACTCCTGGGCTCAAGTGATCCTCCTACCTCAGCTTCCCACATCAGCCTCCAGAGTAGTTGTGACTACAGGCTCATACCACCACGCCTGGCTAATTTTTGTATTTTTAGTAGAGATGGGGCTTTGCCATGTTGGAAAGGCTGGTCTTGAACTCCTGACCTCAAGTGATCCTCCAGCCTCAGCCTCCCAAAGTTCTGGAATTACAAGTGTGAACCAGCATGCTCAGCCAAAACAAGTTTTTAATAGATGAAATTGAGTCCACGTGTTTTAGTGTTTTGTCTAAATTGGACCCTTGAGGTTTTTGTGTGTAATCTCATCTGAATGGTAGGTAGCAACATTGTTTTTCAGGTATGTAGATAAACAGGCTAAGTATTAATAAAGTGAAATGTGTACAGTATTAAAAATGTAAATTCCTCGAGGCAGCACACTATTTAAACATTTTGGTCTTGCTATTAAACATATAGTTGTAAATACAAAGTTCAAAGAAAACTCAAAAGAGAATTTAAATCAACCTTAACCACATTTAACTAGATTCCTTTTTCCTATAAAGTTGTCTGTGTTTACAATAAAAATGTGGTCTAGAAAACATGAAAAATAGGGTTAATAATTTTCATGAGAGGGAAGAAGTATACAGGAAAACAACTAGGATTATGAAGCCCTTAAATAATGAATTTTAACCAGGAAATACTAATATTTTCTTGTACTTTTCTTTGATGAGACAGTCCTTTTCCACGAATGATCATAAAAATAAATAATATTGGCTAACACTTATTGAAAACTTTCTATATGTTAACTCTTAAAAATACAATGAACGATGTATCATTATTATCCCAATTTTACAGATAAGGAAGCAGGCACAGTAACTTGCTCAAGGTTAGAGTGCCAATAAGAACAGAGTGAGGATTCAAAATGAGGCAACAGGGCCAGCTTCAGAAGCCCCTGACCTGTGCCGTTACACAGGGCCCTGCACTTAAGTTTGATACCCTGCTGCCACTGTTTTGAAGTTCTTAATTTTTTAACAAGGAACCCTGCATTTTAATTTGGATTACCACAGATTACGTAGCCAGTCCTGCTAGGTAGTATGACTTCAGACTCTGCTCTTAACCATTACACTGAAGATGCACTAGAGTAGATAAATTCCCTATCTTACTGTTGTACAAGGGTTAAAAATTAAGTCATAAGCAGCACTTAGAACCTACATTTGGAAAATGGGAATCAGACTAGTCAAAATACATTAAACAAAGCATTACAGATTGAAATAAGAATCTATTAACCAGGCAATCAGAAATTAACATCAAAAATTTTTTTATGAGCTATTCTACAAAACAGAGCCATACTGAAGGCCCACTTTAGCTCACTCTGTCCTCAAACCGTAAAATTCTGCTGGTGCCCAACTAAGGTACTGGGCAAAGTGAAGCAAGATATGACTTGAAACCTGGTTCCAAGGGGGTTTAGAACATAATTAAATAAGTAATTTTATATAAATAATCTTTTAGCATCTTCAGGTGCCCAGATATTGCAAAACTAGGAAATTTCTGCGAATAAAATTGCACAGTTGTGTGAAGCGGAATCTCATCATATCATTAGGTTCTTTAAAGTTTTTAGATGAACTTTAAACACTAATCCTCCTTAAGTATTCCTCAGAACCTTTTCTGATTAACTGCTAAATTAGCAGGCGTTTAGAAGACCCGTTTAAGCCTAACCCTAGCCCAATAATGCCTAGTGAATGAATAACGAATAAGACTTACCTGTAGGTCACATTTCAGAAAATCCAGAAGGACAAAAAAAAAAAAAAAAAAAAAAATTCCCAAACTGCCACAATATCGCGGAAAGCATACACCAAATTCATTTTTACTAGTCATCACATCAGTTGAATATTTTTTCACTCAATTGAATATTTTTTAAACAAAACTTCAACTATTTGGCGTCTGAGCCTCTGTATCAGGTTGGAATACGAATGGGGAGAGAGGCTGCTGCTAGAAGCAACCAACGGAGAGCAACAAGTAATAGACACCGGAGATGAAGATTTTAAAAGTCGATCTACAAATTTTAAAAAATACAATCTAAGGCCAAATCTAAACCAGCCTATGTATTTCTCAAGAGCTCCTGGGGAACCTTCTAAGTACAGGTGAATGGGGGAGGGGCGGACTTCGGATTCCTTTATATTCATTTTATAACAATTTCGATAACAAGAATCCATTCTGAATCTATTCCGTTAAAGATTTTTAACACACCTGGCCATATTTATTAAATTGTGTAACTGCATGAATGTTCAAAAGTATTTTCTGATAGTTTGACCTTTACAATCTAGGCGTTATTCCCAGTCTACCGATGAGGAAGCTGGAGCACCTGGAACTCCCAAGACTTGCCCCTTAGGTAACACAGCAAGTAAGTGACTTGGGGCTAGAATCCTCGTTTTCGCATCTTGAGCTCGATTACCATCCTCAACAGACCCCAATCTTTACATCATCATACCATACAGCTAGCGCTCTCTCCCCTATTTAGCAAATCCTGCCTAAATTAATTTCTTAAGATCCATTCTAGGATTCGTTCATGAGGGATTATCCTAACAAAACGAATCCTATAATCGCCCGTTCAATTTTGTATGAAAATTTTAAATTAGTTTGGCTTACATAAACATCAGCTCCCGCAACAGAAATCACAGTACAGTACTCGGTATTTCTAGGGGTAGGAGCCTAGGAAAAAGAGACAAAGAATGTCCCTCTGTACCCTGGGGAAAGCGCCGACCTACTCGGTGCGGAGGTGGTCTTCGGAGCAGCTGCCTCAATGGCTCCGACCACCGTGGGATGCGCCCGGGAATGGGAGAAGAGAAGGGGCCTGGGACGTTCGTGCCCATTCAAAACCGATGGCTGCAGAGAGCGCGACCAACTGTCTCATTTCCCACGCCAAAGTCTGGGGAGCGAAGTTCCGACCCCAGTCCCAGTTCCAGCCCTGCCAGGCCAAGACCAGCGTATGGCCGGACCGCTGGCCATCATCCTTAACCTCTGCTCCAGGCGCGCGTGCGTTCAACTTCCTGGGAACCGCGCTCCACACCATGTGCACCCAGCTGGCGAGGATTAACGCCCAGCTCCTCCACACAACACCCCCGGGGGCCTGGCCGGGGCACCAGACACACCTGTTAGATAAACCTGAGGGCAGGCCCGCCCCAGCCCCCAGGACACACGGTCCTGCTCTCGCGCCCCGGCCCCGGTCCCTCCTCACCCGTAGAGGCCCTGCGGTCGGCGCTCCTAGCCAGGCGCGTCGGACTCTCCCCCACCAGTGTGCACAGCACCGGATCCGGATCCGGCTTCAGCGCCAGCCCCACCTCCTCCTCCACCGCCCGCGCCACAGTTGGGAACCGCGGCCCAGACGTGGCAGCGCCAACGCCTCCACCTCGCCTCTGCCCCCTCACGCAGGGCCGCGCGCAGGCGAGCGGAGGCGGAGGCCAAGGCGCCACCCGCCCAGGCCCGGAGAGCGAGGGGCGGGGCCCGGAGAGCGGGGGCGGGACCAGGAGGGCGAGGGGCGGGGCTCGGAGAGCGGGGGCGGGACCAGGAGGGCGAGGGGCGGGGCCTGAGGCTCGAGTCGCGGCGCCTGGGGCGGTGGCCGCCGGACCAAAGCTGGCCTCTCCCGGCTCCTCCTCCTCGCTCCCCAAGGCCTTTCCCACCGCGTCATTGTCTCGGTTTATCTGCAGATACGTCTACCTAGCAGTCAGCCCAGCAGCGTAAGTGGTGACCAGTGTGGGCCTCTTTGATCCTGAGACCGAAGGCTCGGCCACTGGCCCTCTCCATTTGTTCCTTGTTGCCCTCCCTTCATGATTCAATCCATTAATTAGGACTTTTCCTACCAGCTGGCAGTTCAGAGCTCCGCATCCCCAGGCCTCTGAGTCACAGTTCCTGCCTTCATGAAACTAGGAGTTGGGGCCACTGCATTCTACTCCTTCGGGACTATTGTTTCATTTCTCAGTCCCTCAAACCCTTTATTGGATGAACATGGGGTTAGGACAGCGGTTCTCCACTGCAACAGTTTTGCCTCCCAGGAGACATTTGGCAATGTATGAATCATTTTCAGCCTCTCATCTGGGGTGAGATGTCATTGGAATCTACAGATGGTGGAGGGCACAGGTGAGTAGAGGCCGGGAATACTGCTTCACGCCTTACAGTGCGCAGGACAGCGCCGCACAACAAAGAATTACCTGGCCTGAAATGTCTGGAGTGCTGAGGTTTAGAAACCTTTCGTTAGGAGAAGAAAAGTGACTTTTTTCAGAGCCCCATTTCTGAAGTGTCTTACCTAAGTAGCACTTTGTCCCTATTTTAACAGATGAGGAAACAGAGGTTCAGAGATGTTACATAATTTACAAAAGTCTCATAGCTAGTAGCTCCCCTTCCTTGCCTTGTACCATAATTTTCAATTTATTGAAATCGCAAAGTATTTTATTCTTAAGCAATAGTATTCAAAGAACCCCATAGATCATATACCAGAAATCATATTTTTTGCTCATTTGTGAGATTTAAATTTCAGTTAACTCCTTTACTGATTTATGCTTTCTCAGAACTTCAAACATCAGTGAGTTGATGGCATCCATATCTCTGTTTTTATCTCTGTTTTTACACCCATACATACAAAAGAATATATAGGGCATGAGCAGAATGTGGTGGTATGCATCCGTAGTCCCAGCTACTCCAGAGGCTGAGGCAGGAGGATCACTTGAGCCCACAAGGTTGAATCCAGCCTGGACAATAGAGCAAGACCCTGTCTCTAAAAAAAAAAAAAAAAAAAAAAAGAATATGTAAGGCATAAATAAAATAAACACTCATGGCTGGGCGTAGTGGCTCACACCTGTAATTCCAACATTTTGGGAGGCCTAAGCAAGTGGATCTCTTGAGCCCAGGAGTTTGAGACCAGTCTGTGCAACATGGTAAAAACCTGTCTCTACAAAAAAAAATACTGAAAATTAGGCAGGCATGGTGGCATGTGCCTGTAGTCCCATCTACTCAGGAGGCTGAGGTAGGAGGATAACCTGAGCCCGGGAGGCAGAGGCTGCTGTGAGCCATGATTGCAAGACTGCACTCCAGTCTGGGCCACAGAGCAAGACCCTGTCTCAAAACAAACAAAAATTTAAAAAAATGCTTATGTACACACCACTAATCTTAAGCATATGGCCCTCCCCGTTTTTCTTATCAGACTTCTGGTCAAATGTTTTCAGTGAGTTTATCCTGTACAACAAACTGCTGTATGTTTTATAAATTAGCAAAAAGTGAAACATAAGCAATTCTAAAATCACAGAACACAAGGCTTGTAAGAGGTACCCCCAGAGATCTCATACTTTCCACATATACTCCTCCTTACCCACATTGGGCCATAAGAACCCAATTTCTCCTTAATAGACAAGGTCGATTACTCTGGCCAGTACAGTTAACCCCTTTCTTTGCCTGTAGGTTCACTTGGCAATGAGGAGCCCAAGATAACCAGGAGACAGTCTCAACTTCTGGTTTAATGGAACCATTGGTATGTCCTTTGGTTGATTTTTATTTATTTTTCTAGATTCTTAGAAGAAATGCTGCATTCACCATTATTCTTTTTTTTTTTTTTTTTTTTTTTTTTTTTTTGAGAGGGAGTCTTACTCTGTAGCCCAGGCTGGAGTGCAGTGGTGTGATCTCAGCTCACTGCAACCTCCACCTCCTGGGTTCCAATTAAGCAATTCTCCTGCCTCAGCCTCTTGAGTAGCTGGAATTACAGGTGCGCACTACCACACCCAGCTAATTTTTGTATTTTTAGTAGAGATGGGGTTTCACCATGTTGGCCAGGCTGGTCTTGAACTCCTGACCTTGTGATCCACCCACCTGGGCCTCCCAAAGTGCTAAGATTACAGGTGTGAGCCACCGCGTCTGACCAACAACAATATTCTCATTGGCACAAATAAGGCTATTACGTGGATAAACATAGATGTCAGTGATTGAGTTGAGAAGTGATTCAGGAACGTTGGCCTGAATGAGAAGTTTAAGAATACCTTGGCCGGGTACCATGGTTAACACCTGTAATCCCAGCACTTTGGGAGGCCAAGGCGGGCAGATCACGAGGTCAGGAGTTCAAGACCAGCCTGGCCAACATAGTGAAACTCTGTCTCTCAGAAAAAATACAAAAATTAGCTGGTGTGCTGGCACATGCCTGTAGTCCCAGCTACTCGGGAGGCTGAGACAGGAGAATCACTTGAAACCTGGGAGGCAGAGATTGCAGTGAGCCGAGATTGTGCCATTGCACTCCAGCCTGGGCAACAGCGAGACTCCATCCCCCCCCAAAAAAGAATACCTTAGCCAATTTATTTCATTTATATTTTCCTCTTAATGTTTGCACAGGAATTAGATATAACAATCCATGTCTAATTAAGTATAGAAGAGTTGTTTCACTAGGTATTACAAGTTCCAAGTGATAAGATATTATAATTTTAAATTAGCCACATTGTTTCTTTCTTAGTGGTATATAAATTAATGGCGTGTCATACAATGGATGTGTCTAAGATTGGATGAAATATGGTACAGGCCAGGCACGGTGGCTCACGCCTGTACCATTCCAGCACTTTGGGAGGCTGAGGTGGGTGGATCATGAGGTCAAGAGATCGAGACCATCCTGGCCAACATGGTAAAATCCTGTCTCTACTAAAAATGCAAAAATTAGCTGGGCGTAGTGGCACACGCCTGTAGTCCCAGCTACTCAGGAGGCTGAGGCAGGAGAATTACTGGAACCCAGGAGGTGGAGGTTTAAGTGAGCCGAGATTGCACCACTGCACTCCAGCCTGGCAACAGAGCGAGACTCTGTCTCAAAAAAAAAAAAAAGGTAATATGGTACATACTTAATATGGTCTTAAAGTTATAATTCTCTGTTATGGTTTTAATGTCCCCTCCAAAACTCACATTGAGATTTAATTGCCATGGTACAGTATTAAGAGGGTGAGGCCCTTAAGGGGTGATTAGGTCATGAGAGCTCTTCCCTCACATAATATGGATTAATGCTGTTACCGTGGGAGTGGTTTCCTGATAAAATGGATGAGTTCAGCTCCTCCCTGTCTTTCTTTCTCTTACACTACTCCTTCCATGTGATGCCTTCAGCCATGGGGTGACCCTCAACAGATACTGGTACTATGCTCTTGCACTTCCCAGCCTCCAGAACTGTGAGCCAAATATGCTTCTTTTTATTATGAATTACCCAGTCTTGGTATTCTATTACAGTAGTAGAAAATAGGCGAAGACATTCTCTAAACATGTTTATAAATTATTTCATTTGATCCTCATATGAATCCTGTGACATAAGGTGGGCACTATTATTTCCATAATGCAAGTGAAACTCAAGCAATTTTCCTTTTCTTTTTGAAACAAGTTCTCACTCTGTTGCCCAGGCTGGAATATGGCTACACAATCTCAGCTCACTGCAACCTCTGCCTTCTGGGCTCAAGCAATCCTCCCACCTCAGCCTCCCGAGTTACTGGGACTACAGGCGTGCAGCACCACACCCAGCTAATTTTTTTGTATCTTTATTAAAGATGAGGTTTCACCACATTGCTCAGGCTAGTCTCGAACTCATGACTAGCCATGAGTTCAAGCCATCATGTGCCCACCTCAGCCTCCCAACTGCTGGGATGATAGGCATGAGCCACTGTACCCAGCTATAATTTTTCTTTTTTTTATGAGTGAGGCTGTGTGCCTGTTCTCATGCTGCTAATAAAGACATACCTGAAACTGGGTAATTTATAAAGAAAAAGAGGTGCTCATGCCTGTAATCCCAGCACTTTGGGAGGCCGAGGCAGGTGGATTACCTGGGGTCAGGAGTTCAGGACCAGCCTGGCCAACACAGTGAAACCCCATCTCTACTAAAAAAATACAAAAATTCACCGGGCGTGGTGGTGGGTGCCTGTAATCCCAGCTACTCGGGAGGCTGAGACAGGAGAATTGCTTGAACCTGGGAGGCGGAAGTTGCAGTGAGCCAGGATCATGCCATTGCACTCCAGGCTGGGTGACAAGACTGAAATTCCGTCAAAAAAAAAAAAAAAAAAGTGAGCTGGGATCATGCCATTGCACTCCAGCCTGGGCAACAAGAGTGAAATTCCATCAAAAAAAAGAAAGAGGGGCCGGGTGCGGTGGCTCATGCCTGTAATCCCAGCACTTTGGGAGTCTGAGGCGGGTGGATCACAAGGTCAGGAGATCGAGACCATCCTGGCTAACACAGTGAAACCCCGTCTGTACTAAAAATACAAAAAATTAGCCAGGCGTGGTGGTGGGTGCCTGTAGTCCCAGCTACTCGGGAGGCTGAGGCAAGAGAATGGCGTGGACCCGGGAGGCAGAGCTTGCAGTGAGAGGAGATCGCGCCACTGCACTCCAGCCTGGGCAACAGAGCGAGACTCTGTCTCAAAAAAAAAAAAAAAAAAAAAAAAGAAAGAAAGAAAGAAAGGCAGAAAGAGAGGAAGAAAGAGGTTTAATGGACTCCTAGTTCCACATGGCTGGGCAGGCCTCACAATCATGGTGGAAGGCAAAGAAGGAGCAAAGTCGTGTCTTACATGGCAGCAGGCAAGAGGGCATGTGCAGGGGAACTCCCCTGTATAAAACCATCAGATTGGCCAGGCATGGTGGCTCATGCCTGTAATCCCAGCACTTTGGGAGGCTGAGGTGGGCAAATCACTTGAGTTCAGGAGTTCGAGACCAGCCTGGCCAACATGGAGAAACCCTGTCTCTACTAAAAATACAAAAATTAGCCAGGTGTGGTGGTGGGCGCCTGTAATCCCAGCTACTCAGGAGGCTGAGGCAGGAGAATCACTTGAACCCAGGAGGTGGAGGTTGTAGTGAGCCGAGATCGCGCCACTCTACTCCAGCATGGGCAACACAGTGAGACACCATCTCAAAAAAAAAAAAACCTATCAGATCTCATGAGACTTATTCACTATCACGAGAACAGCATGGGAAAACCCACCTCCATGATTCAGTTACCTCTCACTGGGTCCCTCCCATGACACGTGGGGATTATTATAATTCAAGGTGAGATTTGGGTGGGGACACAGAGCCAAACCATATCACTTTTTTTCTTTATAGACATTTGAACTTAAGAACTCAATAAAGCTGGCCACAGCTCACGCCTGTAATCCCAGCACTTTGAGAGGCCGAGGTGGGCGGATCACTTGAGGCCAGGAATTTGAGACCAGCCTGGCCAACATGGTGAAACTCTGTCTCTACTAAAAAATACAAAAATTAGCCAGGTGTGGTGGTACGCGCCTGTAGTCCCAGCTACTCTAGAGGCTGAGGCAGGAGAATTCACTTGAACCTGGGAGGTGGAGGTTGAAAAAAAAAAAATAACAACCTTGAAATATTACAGAAATATAGAACAAAGAGTGATCAGTCTCCTTATTTCTGCCTTCAAAGATAACCACCGTGTTAGTCCGTTTTCACACTGCTATAAAGATACTACCTGAGACTGGGTAATTTATAAACAAAAGAGGGTTTAATTGATTCAGTTCCACATGGCTGGGGAGGCCTCAGGAAACTTACAGTCACGGTGGAAGGTGAGAGGAAGCAAGGCACACCTTCACAAGGCAGGAGGGAGACAGAACAAACAGGAAACTGCCAAACACTTTCAAAACCATCAGCTCTCGTGAGAACTCCCTCACTATCACAAGAACAGCATGGGGGAAACCGCCCTCATGGTCCAATCACCTCCCACCAGGTCCCTCCCTCAACACATGGGGGTTGCAATTTGAGATGAGATTTGGGTGGGGACACAGAGCCAAACCATATCAACCACAGTTAACAGCTTGATAGATGTTTCTTCAGACTGCCTGGGTTTCATTTTCAGCCCTTCCATTTAGCTGACCACCTTGGACAAATGATTTGTCCTCACATTGTCCCAGTTTTCTCATGTCAGTGTAATAGTACAGGCTTGCAGAGTTTGATGAAGGTTTAATAAAATAATATATGTAAAGTGTTCAGCATTGTGCCTGACATATAGTACGTGCTTAATAAATGCTGGTTTGTGTACATATATTTGCATATAGTCAGAATAAGTCTGCAATAACAAACAACCTCCCAAATCTCTGTGGCTTAACACAATAAGTTTTTTTTTGTCTTACACCAATTGTTAGGGCACTTTCTCCATGTAATCACTCAGGGATAGAGGCTAATGGCAGTTCCACCCTATTCTGGTCAAAATCTGAAATACATGACATCTTTAGTGACCAGAATAGTGAAAAGAGACTGGAAAATCATGCATGGAACTTTTACTGCCTGATCCCATAATTGACATACTTCCCTTACGCTCACAATTTATTTGCCATGTTAGTAATTGTAACCCTGCCTAGCTACCAAGTTAGCAGGGAAATTCAGAGTAGAGAATATTTGGTGACTGCTTAACCTCTGTCACAATCCACATGTTTTTTCCCTAGCATCGTATAATACTGTCCAAACTCTGTTGTAATTTTTTTTTTTTTGGCATGTGACATTGCTTTCTTTTAATTGAAGTGAAGGCAAAACCTGGTCACGTTCAGAGATTAACAGCCTCATCCAGGTGGTCAAGTACAATTTTGTCTTTCTTGGTTAACCAGGTCCTAATTTCAACGTATTTCCATATGTTCTTTAAAATCACCTGAAACTGCCCTGCGCAGGCTCACACCACGGCTCTGTACCAAGGGCTTGGACCCGCCTGCAGCCAGACGGCATCTCACTAGATGTCATCATCATCAAAGAGATCTTCAAAACCATTTAAAAAGTCTACATGAACAGCCTTTTCATTAGTTGCCAAGTCCATCAAGAACCTGGTGCTGCCTCCCGCCTCGTCCAGGTCCACGTAGGGCCCGGCGCCCTTGGAAACATCTCATCCACGGCCAGCTACATCTTGGGCTGCGGCGCTCTAGGCCCACTTCCGGCCACGGGGCCGCTTCCTATTTTTCTATTTTTTAACAACTCCCCATATTAATATTCATTCACTCATTGACTGTTAAGCCCTTCTATGTATCAGGAATTGTTCTAGGTACTAGGACATATCAGTTAAGAAAACATTTGTTAATCCTTGCCTTCATGTAGTTTATTAGATTGTGAACAGATCAGAAAAAAACATGTAAAAAATTATAAAATGTTAGGTGATCAAAGTTATGGTGAAAAACAGGAAAGGGAAGAGGCAGAAGGAGTGTTGAGGTGCAGTGTTAAATAGAGTAGTCAGAGAAGACCTCTCTGAAATGTCATTTGAGTTAAATTCTGAAAGGTGTGAGGAAGTCAGCCTTGTGACTATGTCTAGAGGAAGAGCATTCCAAGAAAATAAAACTGTCAGAGTGGCTTGGTGATGCCTGAAAATGCATTTTACTATTTTTGTACACGTCTGAAATTTTCCATGAAACAAGTTAAAAAAAAAAGTAGCCCTGGTAAAAGGGAGGTTGAAGCGGGCGGATCACTTGAGGTCAGGAGTTGGAGACCAGCCTGGCCAACACGCTGAAACCTCGTCTCTACTAAAAATACAAAAAAAAAAATTAGCCGGGCGTGGTGGCGGGCGCCTGTAATCCCAGCTACTTGGGAGGCTGAGGCAGGAGAATCGCTTGAACCCAGGAGGCGGAGGTTGCAGTGAGCTGAGATTGCGCCACTGAACTCCAGCCTGGGTGGACAGAGTGAGACTCCATCTCAAAAAAAAAAAGAAAAAGAAAAAAAAAATCTTACCAGTGTACCTCCTCAGAAATAATGTTTTAACTTGTTTGTTACTCCACAACTTCCTTAACTCTGGCTCCAGACATTGCTGGTTTTTACTGCATCGTTTCTCATATGCTAATTTCATCTTTCCAATTATTTGCTAAATTCTTAATCATGTCTTATCCTTTTTTATTCCCCTCTTTGTATCATTTCCTTCAAAGTGATTGGACGTATAATAAAATATCTATTAAAAAATAGTAAATTGAGAAGTAAAACTTAGTGATGGCTTTACTAAGTATGTCAGTCTCTAATTCTTATAGCATTTTACTATGTTGAGGATGTAAAAAAGCAGATTGCAGAAAATATTATATCTACAAGCAATTTAAACGTTTTTAGCATTAGGGCCGGGAGCAGTGGCTAACGTGTGATCCCAGCACTTTGGGAGGCCAAGGCAGGTGCATCGCGAGATCAGGAGATTGAGACCATCCTGGCCAACATGGTGAAACTCGTCTCTACTTAAAAAAAAAAAATACAAAAATTAGCCAGGAGTTGTGGCATGCGCCTGTAGTCCCAGCTACTCGGGAGGCTGAGGCAGGAGAATCACTTGAACCCAGGAGGCAGAGGTTGCAGTGAGCTGAGATTGCACCACTGCACTACAGCCTGGGCGATGGAGGGAGACTCTGTCTAAAAAAAAAAAAAAAGGTTTTTAGCATTAAAGAGCTGGTACTGCCAGACAGTATGATTTACACCTGTAATCCCAGCACTTTGAGAGCCTGAGGTCTCAAGAGTTTGAGACCAGCCTGGGCAATACAGTGAGGCTCCATCTCTACAAAAAATAAAAAACAAAATTAGCCAGGCATGGTGCTACAAGCCTGTAGTCCCAGCTACTCAGGAGGCTGAGGTGGGATTGATCACACTACTGCACTCCAGCCTGAGCAACAGAGCAAACCCTGTCTCAAAAAAAAAAAAAAAAAAAGTTGGTTCAAAAATACTTTGGATATTTTTTCAAGCAATTGGACAGATGCAAGGTACAATTGGAAAATAAACCTTTCTTAGTCACATACTTATGATTCTTTCACTTAAATTTATTCTTTCGGGCCAGGCACGGTGGCTCAAACCTGTAATCTCAGCACTTTGAGAGGTCAAGGCAGGCAGATCGCATGAGGTCAGGAGTTTGAGACCAGCCTGGCCAACATGGAGAAACTGCATCTCTACTAACAATACAAAAATTAGCTAGGTGTGGTGGCGTGCGCCTGTAATTCCAGCTACTTAGGAGGCTGAGGCATGAGAATTGCTTAAACCCAGGAGGTGGAGGTGGCAGTGAGCCAGGATCATGCCACTGCACTCCAGCCTAGGTGACAGAGTGAGAGTCAGTCTCAAAAAAAAAAATAAATTATGTTTTCAGTTTATTTACTTACTGTTGCCATAGAAACAGGCTACACTGCCTAAACATTTTGAGTAAATTCTACATTTTTTGCTTAAGATGCCCAAGAGTCTCAACAATTAGATGATTGTCATTGAAGCAAAAAATGAAATCAGCCTCATTCAGTCCAAACAGTTTGCTCAACTCCCTAAACCTTATTTAACTTGATTGTGAGGTCACTTCCAGACACCACTGGGAGTTTCTCTAAAAGACCACTCACTTAGAACCACCCTGCACTGAAGGGAAGTGGTGACAAGCTGCTCAAGTAGTAAGGAAGAACTCTTGTCACAGACAAATTTGTCAGTGTTAGTCACACAACTAGAACATAATGTTTAAACGAAAATGTATGACATTGCTGGAAAGCTATGTCGGAAGAACTGCGGCCAAAGCAAAGAGAATTACAGACATAAGGAGAATTGCACTTTCATGACATGAATAACTTAGAAGACTGGTACATAAAAAAAAGCTCTGTGTTTTGTTTTCAGTTTGGTTTTCATAATTTAGTTCACCCTAATTGTAATCTATTTGATATGAGGCAAAATCTCTATTTTGAGAACAATGTTGTTACCTTAGAAAGGAAGGGTTACGGCATTATGCTGACATGCAGTTGGAAACATTTTTAGGATTTGGAATGATTTATTTTTTAGTATCAGACTATCTAAGCATAGCCTTTATCTAATCATAAAAACAGTTTTGGAATAGTGGCCATACCTCAGTGTCAAACACAGAAAACATAAGGCATAATCATAATCTAACAGTCACCCAAGTTGCTTTGAGGCCATAAACAGTAGTTTTCATCTCTGAACCTCAATTTTCTCATCTGAAAAATGGAAACACAAAATACCTTTTTTGTGTTTTGTGTAGTTTTGTTTTGTTTGTGTTGTGTTGTGTTGTTGTTGGGTTTTTCGTTTGTTTGTCTTTGTTTTGAGACAGGGTCTCGCTCTGTTACCCATCCTGGAGTACAGCTCACTGCAGCCTCGACCTCCCAGGCTCAGGCTATCCTCCACTTCAGCCTGAGATATCAAAGCTAAAACATGAAAAATGAAGAAGAGTTGTCTAAGAAACTTCTTAGTTGGCTAAGAGGGGAAAGTAGTTTAGGCAGAGGATCCAGCATTGAATTGATTTTGAAGTAGTGTCGAAAGGAAAGCCAACATGGCTACATTGTAGAGAGACAGGATCCAGATCTTGGAGGCTTTATAAAGGATTTGGCCTTTGTACTGAAGGTAGTGGAAAGCCATTTAAGTTTTTTGTTTGTTTCTTTGCTTTTTGGTTTATATATTTAAGCAGGGAAGTGACGTGATCACTTGCATTTTAAAAAGATCATTCTGGGCACTATGTACAGAATGGAGGAGATGATGGCGCACAAACACTGTAATATATATGTGGGTAAGCCAATTAGGAGGCAGCTGGAGGAAATGGATTGGGGACTGACAGAGAAGGGGGAAAATATGGACTGATTCATGAGATATTTAAGAAATAGGATCAGTAGATCGTGAGGTAAGGATGAATGAATCAAGGATGACTTTCAGATTTTTGGCTTAAGCTAATGGGTGGAGGCCATTTACTTAAACAGGGAATACTCAAGGAGGGGAAGGCTTGGGAAGGAGAATCGTGAATCATAGTTGATCATCACATGAATACACAATAAGCCAGTGAGAGTACTAAAGTCTCAGGGTGCAAATCACATATATATGTGTGCAAACACAGGTTCTCATAAAAATCATACTTACGGCTTACTCACTAAATCTTGCTTTATAAGTTCTGGATGATTCTTTCCTTTCAATAGTCTCTTCCAATCCTATTCATGGGCATTTCTGATCTTTTCAGACCAGGTCTTGGGTGTTGTAGTGGTTGGAGCTTCAAACTGCACATTTTGGAGGCTTTTCTTTTCTATAGATTTCAAAACTTCTTGTTTTTTTCTCTTATCCTTTGGCCTTGCACTTAGGATCTGATTTCATCTAAAGATCGCTTCCACAGCTTGATCTTGTTAAAGTTCTTATACTTTTTATTTTCTTTATTGGATTCTATAATAATATACTCAACTGCTTTGTATTGTCTTCCCTATGTTGTACCAACCTCCAAAACTAAATATAAAACAAGAAAACTATTTTGAAGGAAAAAGCATATTTTATCACAAGCTAATATTGCTAATGTTTATGGGGACACCTGTTTTACAGTAACAAAACAAGGTTTAACTGAATTCTTTCAGTCTTCTTAAAATGTACAGCTCAAAACAATAATACAGAAAAGTTGAAAACAGTAAGGAAGAGAATAGCAGGCAAATACTCAACAAAAAAAAGGTAGCATAGATCTATTAATATCAGAAAAAAGCAGTATTTTAAGGCAAAAGCATTACTAAAGATAAAAAAGGTCACTAGATATGATAAAATGATCCAAATCCAAGAATGAGAGGAATTAGAGACAAATCCCACAATCATAATGAGAGATGTTAACATCTATTTCTATAGTGATAGGTCAAGCAGACAAAACGATAAAATCAGCCAGGCAGATGGCTAACGCCTGTAATCCTAGTGTTTTGGGAGGCTGAGGTAGGAGGATCCTTTGAGTCCAGGAGTTCAAGACCAGCCTGGCAACACAGCCAGATCCTCCCTCTACAAAAAATAAAAAGTAAAAGTCAGCCAAGGGTGATGGCATGTGCCTGTAGTCCCAGTTACTAGGGAGGTTGAGGTAGGAGGATCACTTGAGCCCAGAAGTTCAAAGTTACAGTGAACTATGATCCTTCCACTGCACTCCAGTCTGAGTAACTGAGCGATACCCTGTCTCAAAAAAAAAAAAAAAAAAAAAAACCTTCGAACAATCAAGTTGATTGGCAACTAACCTGACTGTAATACTAACCTGTGGGCCAATATAAACTTCAAAACTCTGAAAAAAGCCAACAAAATTTAAATATTTAACAACATAGTATTTAATGTCTGATATCCAATAAGAAATTATTAGACATAGAAAAAAAGTAGCAGGGCCTGGGCGCAGTGGCTCATGCCAGTAATCCCAGCACTTTGGGAGGCCGAGGCTGGTGGATCACAAGGTTAGGAGTTTGAGGCCAGTCTGGCCAACATAGTGAAACCCCGTCTCTACTAAAAATACAAAAAAATTAGCTGGGTGTGGTGGTGGGCGCCTGTAATTCCAGCTACTTGGGAGGCTGAGGCAGGAGAATCACTTGAACCTGGGAGGTGGAGGTTGCAGTGAGCTGAGATCGCACCACTGCACTCCAGCACGGGCAACAGTGCAAGACTCTGTCTCAAAAAAAAAAAAAAAAAAGCAGCAGGCCAGGCGCGGTGGCTCATGCCTGTAATCCCAGCACTTTGGGAGGCCAAGGTGGGCGGATCACGAGGTCAGGAGTTCGAGACCAGCCTGGCCAATATGGCGAAACCTCGTCTCTACTAAAAATACAAAAATCAGCTGGGCATGGTGGCACGTGCCTGTCATCCCAGCTACTTGGGAGGCTGAGGCAGAAGAATTGCTTGAACCCCCGAGGCAGAGGTTGCAGTGAGCCCAGATCATGCCACTGTACTTTAGCCTGGTGACAGAGGGAGACTTCATCTCAAAAAAAAAAAAGAAAAAAAGCAGCAAATTGTGAACCAGAAAATTATATCTATGTAGACACAGTTTAATATTAACATTATAATACACAATGTTCAAATATATAAACATTGTATATAGATAGTATATGTCATATATAAATACACACATTTATATTTTTGTTCCAGTGCTTTTCACCTTGGCTAACTTCAATGTTAATGCCCCAAGAGAGATGATATTGTTTCAGAGTGTTACAGAAAAAAAGATACAGCAAGGTAGGTGGCTCCAAAATATATTTCATGCTAGATTGGGGAAAAGGGACATCTTCATGGGCTGTAAATTTCTCTCCACTTTTTTTTTTTAATGAGAAATCTCAAACAGGGAAGACAAATTTTAGTTTAAAAATCTCACTAGTACTACATAGCAGTCTCATCCAAATGCTGGTGAAACTTCTGAACATGATCATTCTAAAAGAGCATTTATTCTCCCCACACAAATGTCAAGTCTTCTGCTATTAACATCTATTGGGATTGGCATTCTCAATCACCCTTCCTAGTTCCTGGGATATTTCCCATCTACAATGGGAAGTATGAAGTTATTAATAAGCAGAACAGTGGTTCTCAAATGTCCTGAGACCGGCAGCATCCACATCATCTGGGAATTTATTAGAAATATAAATTATTGGATTCCATCCACACTTAAAATTTTTTGTATTTTTGGTTGAGATGGGGTTTTACCATGTTAGCCAGGATGGTCTCGATCTCCTGACCTCGTGATCCGCCTGCCTCAGCTTCCCAAAGTGCTGGGATTACAGGCGTGAGCCACTGCACCCAGCCATCCCGCACTTACTGAATCAGAAACTATAGGAGTAGATTCTAGGAGTTTGTGTTTTAACAAGCCTTTCAGGTTATTCAAAATCTTGTTCAAATTTAAGAACTACCAAATTAGAAAATATTAGTGTACTAGTGGACATTAATGTCATGGACCCGGGATCTTTCTGAGGGAATTTTTCAGGAAGATATGAAAAAGAACATAGAACAACTGCAACTAAACAAGAAGAACACCTGGATCTGCAAAAATAGGCCATCTGAGCCTCGTTGAGAATAGTCATGGGGCAGCTTTCGGTATTACAATGTGCCCTTTCTTTTCTGTCTTTCTTTCCTTCTGTCTTTCTTTTTTACCATCTGAGACATGGAGATACGCATATCCTTCTTTGTATTATTGCTACTACTATGGCAAGAAGCACAAAGGAAAGTAGAAAAGAAAAAGGAAGACCTATCTTCTTTCTTTTTAGAAAAATTGTTTAATAATTTCCAGCTGAAGTGGGTATTTGGTATTTGCTCTTGTCTTTGCATCTCTCCATTCTTCTAACCGTAATTATAAATCAGGAGTGTGAGGATGGTAGAATATGAGAATCACCTAGGGAGCTTTATCAGAATATATATCTCCCACACCCTTGCTAACTGAGATGTTGACAGAGCAGTGTGGGCGGACTAATACATATATGCTAAGAAAACTTCCTGTGATTCCGACCTACTTTTATCCTCACCTCTCCCTACACCCCACCAGTTGTCTTGGCCTTTTGTCAATGCAGGAGGAACTGTCAGGATCACCGAATTTATCTTCTATCCCCTAGTACTTACTAATATGCACCTACTACAACTTACTGCCATGCTGTGAGATGTGGGCTCTGTCTTCGAGAATTATTATTATTATTATTATTACTATTACTATTATTTTAAGACTGAGTCTCGCCCTATCGCCCAGGCTGGAGTGCAATGGCGCGATCTCGGCTCACTGCAACCTCCGCCTCCTGGGTTGAAGCGATTCTTCTGCCTCAGCCTCCCGAGTAGCTGGGATTACAGGTGCCACCATGCCCAGCTAATTTTTTGTATCTTTAGTAGAGATGAGGATTCACCATATTGGCCAGGCTGGTCTTGAACTCATTACCTTGTGATCCACCTGCCTCGGCCTCCCAAAGTGCTGGGATTACAGGCATGAGCCACTGCTCCCGGCCGGGAATTTTATATTGTAATTTACTACACAAAAGAAACAACCAGGCCGGGCGCGATAGCTCACGCCTGTAATCCCAGCACTTTGGGAGGCCGACGCGGGCAGATCACGAGGTTAGGAGATCGAGACCATTCTGGCTAACACAGTGAAACCCCGCCTCTAATAAAAATACGAAAAAATTAGCCGGGCGTGGTGGCGGGCGCCTGTAGTCCCAGCTACTCGGGAGACTGAGGCAGGAGAATGGCGTGAACCCGGGAGTCGGAGCCTGCAGTGAGCCGAGATCGCACCACTGCACTCCAGCCTGGGTGACAGAGCGAGACTTCGTCTCGATAAAAGAAAAAGAAAAAAAAAAAAAAGAAACAACCAGTGAAAAGTATTGGACTAAATGCAATCAAGTGCTATATGGTGTGATACAGACTTCAGGACTATGAAATCTGGAGAAGAACAAGATCTAGGTTTCTCACTCACTTTGACAACACTGTCTTCTCATCTTGGAATTTTTGGGGTCAGATGGCCCAAGCTGCTAAAAGGACAAATAGACATTCACATTCCATTCATGCATGTGAACAGAAAATGTAGAAGGGAAGAGTTACAGCAATTGCTTTGTGAAACACACCTGAAAATTATGGATGAAGTAGGGCCAAAATAGGCCAAGAACAAAAACAAGAAAAGCCTTTTGATGTAAAGCCACTGATCGGCCTGTGGTTATTTCGTGCTTCTCCATCCCTTTCCTGTTGCCTGATCCTCAGCCATTTTGCTTTTGGTTTATTTTTTCAGTAGTGAATAAGTAGGACAAGGATAAATTTTGGTGCAATTTATCTTGTACTCCCTAACAATAAAAGGTTTAGTGATGAGAACATTTCAAAGTATTGACTAAGCTTTATGTAGGATATACTGTGGAGTGAAAAACAAAAAACAAGGTGAGAATGGTATACATATAATATATATACTATTATATATAAATAGTATATAATATATATTATATACTATATATAATATATATTATATACTATATATTATATATACTATATATAGTATATATATTATATATACTATATAATATATACTATATATATTATATATACTATATAATATATACTATATACTATATATATTATATATAGTATAGTATATACTATACTATATATAATATATATTATATATATTTCTGTTAAAGGGGGAAAATAATATATTTAACATAAACATTTTTGGGAAGATACCCAAGAAACTGGCAGTATTAGTGGCAGTCACTGGGTGACTGACCAAATGGGCAGGGCAAAAAGGGAGTTTTCAGTGAAAACTCTTATATTTCTTGAATTTTGAACCACTGGTTTGTATGACTTAGTTTTAAAAATCAATCAAAAATTTAAAAGTATTGGCTAAGAGAAGATCTAGGAATTTCAATCCTTTCACCTAAGAGGCATCATGGTGTAACAGAAACAGCATTGTTTTGGGGGTAAAAAAAGTACCTGGTTTTGAAACCTGGTCTGCTATTTACTAGTTCCATGACCTTGGCCACATTCCTCATGTTAGCTGAATCTCATTTTGGGCATTAATAAAATGGCATAACAAAAGCTACTTTGTGAGGATTTGACATTATATAAAACTGCCTTGCGCTTACTAAATGGTAGCTGTTATTCTGTGGATTTCAATTATCCCTGCTATCCATTACTACCAATTAGGAGCTGGATGGTGATTAAAGGGAACTCAAGTTATGAATGAGGTCTCAGAGAGTCTTAATTTACAAATATCAACTAACACCTGCAGCGGAAAAGCAGCATTACAAAAATTTTTTTTATTCAGGTATTTTTTTGAGTCTTTAGGTAAGTCCCAGGGCTTTTTGAGGCTTCTTAAGAACTATCCCAAGAGATCAAGCAATCAGTGACATTTAATGATGGCCAGCTCCATAATGCAATCTCATATTGGTTCTCCTTTCTTCCTCGCTTCACTGCCCTTTCCCTATCCCTGTTTCTTGGAACTGCTCTCCCTAATAAAGTAATAGCATATAAGCCTTTTGCCTCAGACTGTGCTTTCTGGAGAAACACAAGCTGAAACTACGATCTGTCTAATCCATGAAGACAGTCAGGGACTGCATAGCAGATGCTACTGGTGTCCTTCCCATGTGCTTTTAGGCCTTAATATTAAGAGGGCTTGCTGACCAGGAGTGGTGGCTCATGCCTGCAATCCCTTTAAGCACTTTGGGAGGCTGAGGCAGGAGAATCACTTGAGCCCAGGAGTTTGAGACCCGCCTGGGCAACATGGCGAAACCCCGTCTCTACCAAAAAAAATATAAAAATTAGGCAGGCATGGTGGCACATGCCTTTAGCTACTCAGGAGGCTGAGGTGGGAGGATTGCTTGAGTCCGGAAGTTGGAAGTTGCAGTGAGCTGAGATGGTGCCCAGCATGGGTGACAGAGAGAGACCCTGTCTCAAAAAAAAAAAAAAAAAAAAGTTATGGGGGTTTGCTTTCCCCAAAATTCGCATCTTTTGCTTTATGAGAGGGCTTTCTCTGCCATCCTTGAATAATATTTTCTCCCATTCTGTGGACTGTCTTTTCATTTTCTTGATGGTGTAGTTTGTGGCACAAAAGATTTTAATTTTAATGAAGTCCAATTTAGCAAATCTATTTTCATCACATGTGCTTTTGGTGAGATTTACTCCTATGTTTCCCTTCTAGTAGTTTTAGGGTGTTTTTATTTTTATTTTTTACATTTAGGTATATGATGGACTCCTAGTAATTATTTATGTATGGTTGAGGTAGGTGTTCAATTTCAATCTTTTTGCGTGTGGATACCCAGTTGTCCCAGCAATAGTTGAAAAGACAATTTTTTTCCTCATTCAATTATTTTGGCAATCTTCTGGAAAATCAATTGACCATAAATACAAGGGTTTACTTCTGGACTCTCTATTTTATTCCATTGATTTGTATGTTTATCTATGTGCCAGTACCACTGTCTTTATTACCATAGTTTTGTAAAAGGAAAAAGAGACCATTTTTCCTCTCTACTCCACACACTCGCAGCATACTTCTGTGACCAGATGTGCGTGGGCTCTTCCCCACACCAAGGAATTCTTCAGCAGACACCAACTGGGTGTCCTAGAATTCAATTTAATTCTGATACTATCTACTTGGAGAGAGTGTCAGATCCCACAGGTGAAGGGCTCAGTGCCACAGGACTGCCCCCCACCTCCCCACTTCAGACACTACTCGAAAGTCCCAAGCTGTGACCTGTATTTCTGACCTACCAGCTACAAATCAGGGTTCCCACAATGCCCCCTCATTGTGCTCAATAATTGGCTTGGATGGCTCACAGAACTTAGGGAAACACTTTACTTGAGTTTTTTGGTTTATTATAAAGAATATTACAGGCTGGGAGCAGTGGCTCACACCTGTAATCCCAGCAATTTGGGAGGCCTAGATGGGCGGATCACTTGAGGCCCGGGGTTGGAGACCAGCCTGGCCAACATGGTGAAACACCGTCTACTAAAAATACAAAAGTTAGCAGGGAGTGGTGGCTCACGCCTGTGGCCCCAGTTGCTTGGGAGGGTGAGGCAGAATTGCTTGAATCTGGGAAGCAGAGGTTGCAGTGAGCCAAGGTCCCACCAGACTTGGTCTCAAAAATAAAATGAAATAAAATAATAAAATAAAATAAAATAATATTACAAAGGGCACAGAAGAACAGCCAGATGAAGAGTTACATAGGGCAAGATCTGGAAGTGTCTCCAGCACAAGGGTTTCTTTTTTTTTTTTTGAGACAGAGTTTCGCTCTTGTCACCCAGGCTGGAGTACAGTGGCACGATCTTGGCTCACTACAGCCTCTGCCTCCTGGGTTCAAGCGATTCTCCTGCCTTAGCCTCCCGAGAAGCTGGGATTACAGGCGCCCACCACCACGCCCAGCTAATTTTTGTATTTTTAGTAGAGACAGGGTTTCACCATGTTGGCCAGGCTCGCTCAAACTCCTGACCTCAGGTGATCCGCGCCCGCCTCGGCCTCCCAAAGTGCTGGGATTACAGGCGTGATCCACCATGCCCGGCGGAGCACAGGGGCTTCTATTCCAGTGGAGATGAGGTGGGCCACCCTATCAGCACTGTGGATGCCTTCACCAACCCAAAAATCAAATCTCATTGTCAAAGGGTTTTTATAAGGCCTGATCTCCAATACCCGCTCTAATACTCCCCCATTTCCTTGAGGTTGGTGTTTAGAGCTGAATTCCATCCTTCTAATAATCTAATCACATGGTCTTTCTGGTGGCCAGCCTCATCCTGAGGTTATCTAGGGGTTCCACTCTAAGTCATCTTATTAGCATAAACTGGAGACAAAGGCCAAAACATATACATTTCTTGTTATACAGGTTTGAAATTGGAATGTGTGGGTCCCCCAACTTTGGTCTTCTTTTTCAAGATTGTTTGGGCTATCATTTTTTAAAAATTTATGTTTTTTGGATCTTTTTAAATAAATCTTTTCTCACTCCAAATCCATCAAATATTTTTCAATATGGTTCTCTAAAAGTTTTTTAGTTTGACTGTCACATTCAGGCCTTTCATCTATTTGGAATTTATTTTAGTG
The DNA here is from genome assembly GCF_000001405.40 of Homo sapiens. Lineage (NCBI taxonomy): Eukaryota > Metazoa > Chordata > Mammalia > Primates > Hominidae > Homo > Homo sapiens. Next base: position 52,811,396 of record NC_000014.9, read on the forward strand.
CACAGTGGAAGGTCGGGGTCTAATGTCATGCTTTTAAATTGTATTAACACTTTTTTTTAAAGTCCATTCTTTCTTCCACTAATATACAAAGTAAGCCTGTTACAAAACAAGTTTCCAGTAGGTAAGGATCTGTTTGGGTTTATGATTCTCTTTGGCCATTTTTTCTTTCCCTGAATCAACACCACACTGCCTTAATTACTATAGCTTTTTTTTTTTTTTGGGATGGAATCTCACTCTGTCACCCAGGCTGGAGTACGACAGAGTGGCACAATTTCGGCTCACTGCAACCTCTGCCTCCCAGGTTCAAGCAATTCTTCCATCTCAGCCTCTTGAGTAGCTGGGACTACAGGCGTGCACCACCATGCCTGGCTAATTTTTGTATTTTTAGTAGAGACGGGGTTTCACCATATTGGCCAGGCTGGTCTCAAACTCCTGACCACATGATCTGCCTGCCTCAGCCACTATAGCTTTTTAATAAGGTAATCTGGTAAGGTAAATCTCCCTATCTTGTTCATCTTTAGAAGTGTTTCTGGATCTTATATACAAATGTTAGAGTTTGACAACTTTCACAAAAACAAAACAAAAACTTTGGATTTTGATTGAAATTACATTGAATCTGTAGATCAATTTGAGAAGAATTGGCTTTAAAAAATATATTGGCTGGGCATGGTGGCTCACGCCTGTAATCCTAGCACTTGGGAGGCCCAGGCAGATGGATCACCTGAGGTCGGAAGTTTGAGATGAGCCTGGCCAACATGGCGAAACCCTGTCTTTAGTAAAAATACAAAAATTAGCCAGGTGTGGTGGCGGGTGCCTATAATCCCAGCTACTCAGGAGGCTGAAGCAGGAGAATTGCTTGAACCCTGGGGGCGCATGTTGCAGTGAGTTGAGATCTCACTATTGTACTTCAGCCTGGGGGAAAGAGTGAAACTGTCTCAAAAAAAAAAGTATATATATAATATATATATATACACACACACATACATATATATATATACATACATACATACATACATACATACATATATATATATATATATATATACACACACACACACACACACACACATAGGCTGGGCATGGTGGCTCATGTCTGTAACTCCAGCACTTTGGGAAGCTGAGGTAGGAAGGTCACTTGAGCCCAGGAGTTCGAGACCAGCCTGGATAACATAGTGAGGCCCTGTCTCTACAAAAAATTTAAAAATTAGCGGGATGTGGTGGTGCATGCTTGTATTGTATCCCTGGCTACTAGCAGGTGCTGGGGTAGGAGGATTGCTTGAGCCTGGGAACTCAAGGCTGCAGTAAGCCATGATTGTGCCACTGCACTCTAGCCTGGGACACAGAGTGAGATCTTGCCTCAAAATAATAATAATAATGATAATAATAATAACAATAAGGATGTTAGCTCTTATAAGTATTTTGGTATATAACCTTTATCTGGTTAGAAAGGTCTTTTCTATTCCTTATTTGTGGAGTTTTTTTTTCTTGTTTTAATCCTAATGTGTTAGATTTTATCAAACATGTTGCTAAGGTTTGCATGTGTCCCCCAAAAGTTCATGTGTTGGAAACACCCCAAATTAATATGTTGATGGTATTTGGAGGTGAGGCCTTTGGGAGGTAATTAGGATTAGATGAAGTCATCAGAATGGGGCCTCCATGATGGGATTAGTGGCTTATAAGGAGTGGAAGAGAGACTTGAGCTAGAAGCATTCTCTGTCTCACCATGTGATGCCTTCTGCCATGTAAGGAAGGCCCTTGCCAGATGCCAATGCCATGTTCTTGGACTTCTCAGTCTTCAGAACTGTAAGCTAAATAAACCTTTATTCTTTATAAATTACCTGATCTGTAGTATTCAGCTATAGCAACAGAAAATTGACTAAGACACATGTTTTGTTTCTTTTTTTTTTTTTGAGATGGAGTCTTGCTCTTTTGCCCAGGCTGGAGTGCAGTGGCACTATCTCGGCTCACTGCAAGCTCTGCCTCCCAGGTTCATGCCATTCTCCTGCCTCAGCCTCCCGAGTAGCTGGGACTACAGGCACCCGCCACCGCTCCCGGCTAATTTTTTGTATTTTTAGTAGAGACGGGGTTTCACCGTGTTAGCCAGAATGGTCTCGATCTCCTGACCTCGTGATCTGCCTGCCTCAGCCTCCCAAAGTGCTGGGATTACAGGCGTGAGCCACCGCGCCCAGCCGACACATGTTTTGTTTCTAATATTAATCTTGGATTTGTGAGATATACCCATCCTGGTAATGGGTATATCTTTCTTACATGCTGTCAGCTTCCATTTTCTAACTGAACTTATTTAGGATTTTCAATATTAAGATTTTCAATGTTGCTATAATTGTTCCTCTAGTCTTAGATTGTAGTAATATATTGATATATTATGAGATACAGCTTGTCAAATTACACAAAAATAAGACAGAAACTTTGGAGATTGATTAAAATTACACTGAATCTATAGATCAATTTGAGAAGAATTGGCTTTAAAAAATATTGTTTTTCTATATCCTTGTTGATTTTATGTATTATGTAAGTATATATGTATTTAAGACAGGGTCTGACTCTGTCGCCCAGGCTGGAGTACAGTGGCATGATCATAGCTCACTGCAGCCTCAAACTCCTGGGTTCAACTGATCCTCCCACCTTGGCCTCCCAAAACACTGGGATTACAGGCGTGAGCCACCTGCCCAGCTGATTTTATCTTTTTGTCTGCTTGACCTATCACTAAGAAATAGATGTTAACATCTCTCATTATGATTGTGGGATTTGTCTCTAATTCCTCTCTTTCTTGGATTTGGATTATTTTTATCATATCTAGTGACGCTTTTATCTCTAGTAATGCTTTTGCCTTAAAATATTGCTTTTTTCTTATATTAATAGATCTATGCTACCTTTTTTTTGTTGAGTATTTGCCTGCTATTCTCTTCCTTACTGTTTTCAACTTTTCTATATTATTGTTTTGAGCTATACCTTTTAAGAAGACTGAAAGAATTCAGTTAAACCTTGTTTTGTTACTGTAAAACAGGTGTCCCACATAAACATTAGCAATAATGGCTTGTGATAAAACATGCTTTTTCCTTCAAAATAGTTTTCTTGTTTTATATTTAGTTTTGGAGGTTGGTACAACATAGGGAAGACAATAGAAAGTAATTGAGTATATTATTATAGAATCCAATAAAGAAAATAAAAAGTATAAGAATGGCCAGGCACGGTGGCTCATGCGTGTAATCCCAGCACTTTGGGAGGCTGAAGCGGGTGGATCACCTGAGGTTGGGGGTTCGAGACCAGCCTAACCAACATAGAGAAACCCCGTCTCTACTAAAAATACAAAATTAGCTGGGTGTGGTGGTGCATGCCTGTAATCCTAGCTACTCGGGAGGCTGAGGCAGGAGAATTGCTTGAATCTGAGAGAAAGAGGTTGCAGTGAGCTGAGATCGTGCCATTGCACTCCAGCCTGGGCAACAAGAGCAAAACTCTGTCTTAAAAAATAAATAAATAAAAAAGTGTAAGAACTTTAAAAAGATCAAGCTGTGGAAGTGACTTTAGATGAAATCAGATCTTTTTTTTATTTGCCTCTAAGCTTCGTTAGAGTGTGTCTAGAATAGCCTTTACTGTAGGGCTAGTTTAGCTTTTATTTTAAGCCCTGATCCTTCTGGGGTTTTTATTGATTGCCCTATGGCTCAGTGAGGTCTCTCTGGCTCAGTAGGATTTGAGCACCTCTTAGTCCTCTGTGCTCTGAGAATTGTTCAGTTTCTAGCCTCTGGCAATTGTTCTTTGCCCAGTGTGTGGAGTTTCACTCTATGAATATGCAGACTGGTTATTCAGCCAGAGACCTAAGAAGACCCCTGTGTCAATTTCGGGAGCTCTTTCTCTGTGTAGCTTCCTCCTCTCTGGTACTTTACCCTACAGATTCCAGCTCTCTCACATCCCACAGATCCAGTCTCTAGCTCCTTAATTTAATGACGCCATTGTGCTTTCTTTAGGTTTTTCTTCCCTGTCCTCTAAGCTCAAAGTTGTCCCTAGATAAGAAGCTGGGGCAATTGAAAGGTTCATCTTGTTTTCCCTCTCTTAAAGTTCAGTCTTTCCCTGCCTGTTGTCACAGTATGAGAAAACAGTTGTTTCATATCTTTGGTCCAGTTTTCTTGTTGTTTACCATAGGAGAGGATGTTCTGTACCAGTTACTTCATGGTCAGTAGTGGAGCTCAGCATCTTTACAATGAGGAAGCTTACAGCCCCTGTATATTTATTTAGGTCTTATTTGATCTCTCCATGTATGTCTTACGCAGCTAGTTTTAGATTTATTTCCACATCTTCATGCTTTTATGCCATTAGAAATTGTATCATTCTAAAATTTTATTTTCTACCTACTAATTGCCAGTATAAAGAAAAAAATTAATTGTGTATATTGATTTTTCTATCCAGTAACCTTGTTGATAGTGTATTATTTTGGATTATAAATATCATTTTAGAATAACGATAGCTTTGTTTCTTTATTTCCAATCCTTACATATTTTTTCTTACCATATTTCTTTTTTTTAATTTTTAATTCATTAATTTTATTTTTTCTTTTTTGAGACGGAGTCTTGCTCTGTTGTCCAGGCTGGAGTGCAGTGGCGCGATCTTCTCTCACTGCAAGCTCTGCCTCCCAGGTTCACACCATTCTCCTGCCTCAGCCTCCCGAGTAGCTGGGACTACAGGTGCCCGCCACCACGCCCGGCTAATTGTTTTTGTATTTTTAGTAGAGACGGGGTTTCACTGTTAGCCAGGATGGTTTCAATCTCCTGACCTCGTGATCCACCCGCCTTGGCCTCCCAAAGTGCTGGGATTACAGGCTTGAGCCACTGCGCCTGGCCTCCTTGCCCTATTTCATTGGGTAAGAGTCTATTTATTTCAGGCCAGGCACAATGGCTTACGCCTGTAATCGCAGCATTTTGGGAAGTGGAGGTGGGTGGATTGCTTGAGCTCAGGAGTTCAAGACCAGCCTAGGCCACATGGCAAACCTGTCTCTACAAAAAAACAAAACAAAAAAAAAATTAGCCAGGTGTGGTGGCCTGCTCCCGTAGTCCCCCCTACTTGGGAGATTGAGGTGGGAGGATTCCTTGAGCCTGGGAGATTGAGGCTGCAATGAGCCAAGAGTGTGCCCCTGTATTCCAACCTGGGTGACAGAGAAAGACCCTGTGTCAAAAGAAAAAAAAAATCTATTTCTTTTTAGCTAAGATTTTTTGAAGTCATAAATAGATACTGAATTTTATTAAATGCTTTTTTCTGTATTTATTGAGATACTTGTATGATTTTTCACTTCAATATGTTAATGTAGTGAATTACTGTTTTTTTAAAAAAGTGAAGCCAATCTGTGCTTCTAAAATAAACCCAACTTGGTTACATCATATTTTCCTTTTTTTATACATTGCTTGATTTGATTTGCTATTATTTTGCTTACGATTTTTATATATATGTTTGCGAATGAGATTGGTGGATAATTATCTTTTCTCCTTTTCTTGTAAGTTTTGCACTAACATGCTATGCTATCCCTTGAAACAATTAGGAATTATTTATTTCTTGAATATTTGATAAAATTTGCTTAGTAAGCCATCCAGGATTTCTATTTGTTCAATTTCTTTTTCCCTTCTTTATTGAATTCTTTTGAATTGATTGAGGTTTCTGGAATAATCATTACATGTTTTCCCCTTTGGATTTTATAAGCACACTGTTTCTGTTCTTTAGGGGTTACTAGAAGTTTCAACGTGCATGTTAACTTATCAAAGTCTGTAGCTAAGCAATACTTTACCTTTGGTCTAAGAACCTTAGAACACTTCAACTCCATTTACCTTCCTCCTGATCTATATTATTGTTGCAGTGTATTTTAATTGTCTTTTCAAATTTTACACCATAAATCATTGTTTTTATTTTATATAATCAACATTCACCTATTTGCTACCTCCTTTCTGCATCTCGGACTATCTAGACTGTTCCTTCTGTTAATAATCTCTGTGAGTCCTTTTCTGGGGTCTTGTTTCTGCTGGTTCTCCCTCATGCACTTTGTTTCTTGTGTGGTTGGTTTTTGTTTTGTTTTTAACTGTAAGCTGTTCGTTATCCATAGAAAATTATTTATGGGGGATTTTGTGAGGCCTCAGATGAAGGTGGATCCCTTCAAAGAGTATTTATATTTACTTCTACCAGGTGTTTAGAGGTCTACTAACCCAGGACCACTTTAACGCGGTAGCTGCAGGCTTTGAGAATCATCAGCTGATGTGAATTTGGGCAGAACACCCAGGTGAGGCTCAGGTTTTAGTTACAATTTCTTAGGAACGTGTTCTTATTCTACCTAAGCCTCTAAGCACCAAGACATCTTCTCTTGCAATCTGCTCTGAGTTCCCACTTTCGCATAGATTTTGGCCTGTGATTTTACCCTCCGGTGAGTTATTTTATGTTTTAAAGCATATTTTTAATGTCTATTAAGTATTTTTAGTTATCAGTGGGAGATGCTGTCTGTATAACAATATACCGTTGCTGAGTGTAACATTGTCTTCTAAGAGTTTTTTTAAAAATTGTGGTAAAATATACAAAACATAGAATTTATCATTTTAACCATGTTAAAGCGTGCACTTCAGTAGCCTTAAGTACATTCACTATGTTGTGCAACCATCATCACCATTCTCCTGTAGAGTTTTCATCATTCCCCCAACTGCAACTCTATACCCAGTAAGCAATAGCTCCCCATTTTCTCCAAAACCCAGGCCCCTGGCACCATTCTACTTGCTGTCTCTATGAGTTTGACTACGGGTACCACGTATGAGTGGAATCATACAGTATTTCTCCTTTTGTGACTGACTTCTTTCTTTTAGCATAATGTCTTCAAGTTTCACTGTGGCATGTGTCTTTCTAAGAGTTTGAAAGTGTTTTTTTTTCATAGTTATAGCCTTAGGTTCCCTGGGATTAATCTGTATTTAAGTGTGAGGTGCAGATCTAAATGTATCCCAATATGGACATGCCATTGTCCCGATAGAATGTATTGATTAATCCATCTTTTCCACACTGATCTGTAATGCCGTCTGTCATATATCGGATAGCTATGTAAATATAAACCTGTTTCTCTATCTGCTTGGCCCTGTTGGTCTATTATCTATTTTTTTTATATCTATCATCTTTTTTTTTTTTTTTTTTTTTTGAGACAGAGTCTCACTCTGTCGCCCAGGCTGGAGTGCAGTGGCACGATCTCGGATCACTGCAAGCTCTGCCTCCCCAGTTCATGCCATTCTCCTGCCTCAGCCTCCTGAGTAGCTGGGACTACAGGCACCCACCACCACACCTGGCTAATTTTTTTTTTTTTTTTTTGTATTTTTAGTAGAGATGGGGTTTCTCCGTGTTAGCCAGGATGGTCTTGATCTCCTGACCTCGTGATCTGCCTGCCTCGGCCTCCCAAAGTGCTGGGATTACAGGCGTGAGCCACCGCGCCCGGCCAAGGTCAAATTTCTGATAGGCAAAACTGCAGGAATGGCCAAGCTTCAGCACACTCTGAATGCACTTGTCAACCTGCATCCTTCCCGAAAACACTTCATCCCAGAGAGTTTGTCTTTTTACTTTCTCAGTATGTGAAGTGGGATGGTTTAAAAGAAAAAGGTAAAAACGTTCAGTCTGATCAATACTAACCATTTAATACAAACTAGTGACACACAAAAAAATGAAAATTGCTCATTTGGATAGATGTATGCTGGCTTAGCAGAAGGAAATGACGGTTTCTTTGAATTCAGGTTTAGATTATTTTCCCTCATAGAGAATGGAAAATGTATCACAAAAAAATATAAAAATCTGAATAAGGTGAATGACTTCACTGCTTACCTTAAATGCAGGTGGTGACTTACAAAGCTGGCTTATTTAGGAGATCCAGCTAACACCTGAAAGGCTATACTATACATTTCTGTACAAGATTGCTGTAATTAATATTTATCATAGAAACTAGGAGTTGAGACTCTTCACTTATATGTCATCGAAATTATACTAGTCATGGTAAAAATCATTATTAGACATCTTTCTTTCCTAACAGTTCTTTGACAAATATGTCTCCTAGATTGTAAAAGAGACTGACAAAAAATCAGAGAACCTTTAGCCCAGCAAATGACATAAATGACTTACCTTCCCACCAGATAATACTTGTCAAGAAATATACCAAAATTAGGCTGAAATTGCTTTACTCTATCACCTTTACTGCAATAAATCTGTGTATATCTTGTTAGGGATTAGCCTATCATAACTCACAAAGATTAAAATGTTATTGCCATTTATATATTTTTTTTTTTCCGAGACGAAGTCTCGCTCTGTTGCCCAGGCTAGAGTGCAGTGGCGCGATCTCGGCTCACTGCAAGCTCCGCCTCCCGGGTTCACGCCATTCTCCTGCCTCAGCCTCCCGAGTAGCTGGGACTACAGGCACCCGCCACCACGCCCGGCTATTTATTTATTTATTTATTTATTTGTATTTTTAATAGAGATGGGGTTTCACCATGTTAGCCAGGATGGTCTTGATATACTAACCTCGTGATCCGCCCGCCTCGGCCTCCCAAAGTGCTGGGATTACAGGCGTGAGCCATCGCACCTGGCCATATCTATTTCTTTATTTGAATCTGGGTTCTCAAAATCTTGTGACCTGAAAAAGAAAAAAGAAATTGCCTGGATGCTAAATCTGATATTTGGTATTGGCTCCATGTATTTCAGTGTCTGAATCTGATACACCCTATGACCAAACAAGACAAATGGGAAACTCTTCCTCCTTGATGTTAAATTGAAAATCATTTTAAATATTAAAGCAAAACATATTGAACAGATGCAAAATTGGCATGAATTTTAATTGTTATCCTGCAGCAGGTTGCTTTAGGCAGCTAACGTTAGGTTTCTGAAACTTTTCCCTTAAGTTCCTAGAGAAGCAGGAGAGTGTGGATGAGAGGCTACCTCGGTGTGTCATTACAACAAATTAGGTAATATACCATCATTTGCTGTTGTTGTTGTAGTTTTCCTACCAGAATGGAAAAGCACATGAAGTTTCATTGATTCCACAGCTGTGTATTTGTACCTATGTATGTGCAAGGCTCTGTGCTAATAAGCTCTGTGAATGTAATGGTAAATAACTAAAATATAGTTGGGCACATTGGCTCATGCCTGTAATCCCAGCACTTTGGGAGGCTGAGGCTGGTGGATCACCTGAGGCTGGTGGATCACCTGAGGTCAGGAGTTCAAGGCCAGCCTGGCCAACATGGTGAAACCCCATCTCTACTAAAAATACAAAAATAGCCAGTTGTGGTGGTGCACACCTATAGTCCTAGCTACTTGGGAGGCTGAGGCAGGAGCATTGCTTGAACCCAGGAGGTGGAGGTTGCAGTGAGCTGAGATCACGCCACTGCACTGCAGCCTGGGTGACAGAGCAAGACTCCATCTCAAAAACAAAACAAGACAAACAACAAAAAACTAAAATACATCAAAGTACCCAGAAGTAGATACTTTATCGCCATCTTAAGTAAAAACAAAAACTATCTCAAATTTTTTTGTGAAAATAAATAGGATGGCCTGTGTAGCTTGGGACATGGTAGGTGCCCAATGAATGAGAGTTTCAAAGATGGCCTAGCCATATGAGATGTGTAAATCTAGATTAAACATTGATTTTAAAAAATAAGACTCACGCATATATGTAATCCCAGCACTTTGGGAGGCCAAGGCAGGAGGATCACTTGAGTGTAGGAGTTTGAGACCAGCCTGGGCAACATGGTGAAACCCCATCTCTACAAAAATACAAAAATTAGCCAGGCATGGTGGAACACACCTGTGGTCCCAGCTGCTCAGGAGGCTGAGGCGGGAGGATCAATCGAGCCCAGGAGGCCAAGACTGCAGTGAGTTGTGATCGTGCCACTGCACTCAAAACTGGGTGACAGAGTGACACTCTCATAAAATAAATAAATAAAGCTATAAAGAACATCATTGGGACAATTACAGACATTTCGATTTAAGCTGGATATGAGATAGGGCATTACTGTTGATTTTCTTAGGTTTGATAATGACATTGGGGTTATGAAGGAGAATATCCTTGTTCTTAAATGATGCTTCAGGGAATATTAGGAAAAAAGTGTCATGATATCTGTGACTTACTTTCAATGGGATCAGAAATAAAAATAGATAAAGAAGACTGTTACTAATAGCCAGATGAAGGTGGCGGGTTTATGAGTGCCCATTATTCTATTCTCCCAAATTTTAAGGATGTTTGAAATTTTTCAAAATAAAAACTTGGATAAAAAAAATAGTTCTTTTTACTCTTCCCTGTTTAAAAAAAAAAGTTATTATGCAATTTCCCAGACAGAATCTATTCCCAAACTATGAATTAGAAATTGGAGATCATACAAACTGGAGGAAGATTCAGAAAGGATTTTGTTGTTTTTCTTTTAAATCTAAGTTACACCACTCAAGGGTAAACTTAGATCTGAGGCAACACTGTTCATGAACTTTGTCACAACAAATATTGAATGTTTATTTGCCTGAACTCCGTTTAACCTTGCACATTCACCTTCGTGTTGGCGAAGAGTTGTATTTCATAATTCCTAGCAAGGCAATGCCACCTAGTCCATGTAAGTGTTCATATTATGGCACACCTAGGGGCGTGGTGGGCAGTGGAGCCAGGACAGTTAGAAGATGCAGTTTCACTTGGTGAGTTTACAATTTAATTGGAAGCAAAACATGATGAAGCTGAAGAACACGCTCAGAACAATTTGGAAACTACAAGTTAAAACAGCACAGTTCCCTGGGAGGTGGAGGTTGCAGGGAGCTGAGATCAGCCATTGCACTCTAGCCCGGGTGACAAAGTGTGACTCCGTTTCTAAATAAATAAATATAAAATAAAAAGCACAGTTCCAAAAGTGGTAATAAGGAGGAAGCCATTGCTAACATTGGTGTGGAAAAAAATCTGTGGTGATAATTCAGATGTTAACAATGACCAGACGTTTGCTATAGATGTCACACTTCTGCAGAGATTACATTTTTCTTCAAGTCCCAGTAGATTCAGGGTGCCACCATTGGAATTTTCTGTTGCTAGCCACATTTCCAATTTAGGGATTCCTTCCCTGAAGTTGAACCCTAGAATGGCATTGTGTATCTAACCATGGAGGAACTGTTTTTGTGACCATAGTTTCAGCAAGTCCACAAAGCCCCCAGGGTAAAGAATGTATCCAGTGTACCCAATATATATTGTATATACAATATATCACAGTATTAGGTAGACATCTTTGATCCTTAGTATCAGACTTAAAAGAGAGTGTTACTGATTTTCCTAAGGAATGTGAAAAAGAATAGTTGATCCCCTAAAAAGTCATGATAGGCTGGGCGTGGTGGCTCACACCTGTAATCCCAGCACTTTGGGAGGCCAAGGCGGGTGGATCACCTGAGGTCAGGAGTTCAAGACCAGCCTGGCCAACATGGTGAAACCCTGTCTCTACTAAAAATACAAAAATTAGTTGGGCATGGTGACAGGTGCCTGTAGGAGAATCGCTTGTATCTGGGAGGCAGAGGTTGCAGTGAGCCGAGACCGCGCCATTGCACTCCAGCCTGGGCAACAAGAATGAAACTCTGTCTCAAAAAAAAAGAAAAAGTCATGATAGGGGAAAGAAAATGACCTAGATTCATATAGGAGCTAAGAATTCTTACAGCTACTATTGTCACGCGCGTCCGTGTGAAGAGACCACTAAACAGACTTTGTGTGAGCAACAAGGCTGTTTATTTCACCTGGGTGCAGGCGGGCTGAGTCTGAAAAGAGAGTCAGCAAAGGGTGGTGGATTATCATTAGTTCTTACAGGTTTTGGGATAGGTGGTGGAGGTAGGAGCAATGTTTTGTGGGCAGGGGGTGGATCTCACAAAGTACATTCTCAAGGGTGGGGAGAATTACAAAGAACCTTCTTATGGGTGGGGAGAATTACAAAGAAGCTTCTTATGGGTGGGGGAGATTACAAAGTACCTTCTTAAGGGTGGGGGAGATTACAAAGTACATTGATCAGTTAGGGTGGGGCAGAAGCAAATCACAATGGTGGAATGTCATCAGTTAAAGCTATTTTCACTTCTTTTGTGGATCTTCAGTTGCTTCAGGCCATCTGGATATATAAGTGCAGGTCACAGTGGATATGATGGCTTAGCTTGGGCTCAGAGGCCTGACAACTGTGACATTCATTCTAAAAGTTTTATCCGATGTGATAGACCTATTACAATTCTCATATATTTACCCAGGCACTTTCTGCAAGTATAAAATATATTGACTTAATATTGTATTGTTAAGGCTAAAAAATCATTTTTAATAAATGAAAAATGTACAAAAGTATTCCTTTTTACCTCTAGGTGGTGCTGTGTATCGTTTTTTGTGAGCACAAGTTGCCTAGTTTTTAAATTGGATGGACTCAAAGATTAACCATCTTATTTTACAGATAAACTAAGATTCATTGAAATTTTGTTTTAAGATAAAAATTCTGGTTTGAGGCAGAGCCAGGATTAAAGCCTTTTTTCGGTAAAGTGTTTAATGTACGAATCATTTTACAAAAAGTATTGTCATTCCAAAGTTATTGCAAGCAGTATTACACAGTTGTGACAAGTTTAAAATTTTATTTTATTGATTTATGACATTTTCTTAGAAAGTTCTAAAAGAGGCCGGGCGCAGTGGCTCACGCCTGTAATCCCAGCACTTTGGGAGGCCAAGGTGGGCGGATCATGAGGTCAGGAGATCGAGGCCATTCTGGCTAACACGGTGAAACCCCGTCTCTACTAAAAATACAAAAAAAATTAGCTGGGTGTGGGGCAGGCACCTGTAGTCCCAGCCACTTGGGAGGCTGAGGCAGGAGAATGGCGTGAACCTGGAAGGCAGAGCTTGCAGTGAGCCGAGATCGTGCCACTGCACTCCAGCCTGGGCAACAGAGCGAGACTCCATCTCAAAAAAAAAAAAGAAAAAAAGAAAGTTCTAAAAGAGAATGATTCTCCAAATTAAGATGAAAATAGATAGTAATGACAGATAATGGACTATCATTATGTGTACATCTAAATTACTTTACCAAAGAAACTCCCAATGGTTAAAGAACACAGATAACTTGCTGAAAAGGAAATAAAAATTGGTAATACTTACATGAAAATCTATTCAAAATCACTAAGAATCAAAAACTAGAATAGCAACACGGTCTCCCCTTGTCCCTTTCAGATGAGCAAAAATGTCCATAAAGTGGTCATCTTTCAGAGATGCTGAGTCAGTGGTAAGACAGGCATTTCACCCACGGGCAGTAGGAGCATAAATTAGTACAATATTCTGAAAGTTAATCTGACAGATGTTATCAAGAACCTTAAATTCTTCAAACTCTGACGTAGTAGTTCAACTTCTAGTCTGCTCTCGTAGGAAATAAACAGAAATATGGAAAACTTATGTGCAAAGATATTGACTACATCATTACATATGGTACTTGTAAATAAGAAAATCATTACATAAATTAGGGTATGGTTATGATATCTCACAGCCATTTACAAACTTTTTGCAAATAATTTTAAATGACATAGGAAAATATTCATAATACTATCCTAAATTAGGAGACTAAAATCTATTAGCATGGTATTAGCTGTATAAAAATATTACAGTATTTGGAGAAAAAGAATGAAAAACATTCAAATATTAACAAAGGTTATCTGAATATGAAGAGTATGAGTTATTACTTCTTTCAGCTTTCTTTTATTTTTCGAGTTTTCTATGAAGTATAAATAGTACTTTATAGACAGAAAAAATGTTATTTTTAAAATGAAATAAGTAGCATTTGGAGTGATTTTGAAACCCATCATTCTGAAACTTGTCATTCAATCATCTGCGGCTGAGAGTTTTTCAGCTTTCCCGTTCTCCTCCCTTAGACTGGCAGTGAGAATGAGAAGGAAATGCTACACACAGCTTCATTTCCTAGAGTCAGAATCATTATGTCTCACTGGCTTTCCCTTTTCGCTCTTTGATTATGATTGAGAAAACTTCAAAACCCTAAAATCTAAAGTTTATTTTAGACAGCAGTGAATAATCATGTCTAAACAAATCTCCCTGAATATATATATTATCCACTTTTCTTCTTCAGGGTTTTCCCTCTCCCTCATTCATTTTATTCTATGAATTTTTTTTTTTTTTTTTTTTTTTGAGACAGGGTCTTACTCTGTCGCCCAGGCTGGAGTGCAGTGGTGCGATCTCAGCTCACTGCAGCCTCAGTCTCCCCAGCTCAAGCGATCCTCTCACTTCAGCCTCCCCAGTAGCTGGGAATACAGGCGAGTGCTGCCATGCCCAGCTAATTTTTGTATTTTTGTAGAGGCAGGGTTTTGCCATGTTGCCCATGCTGGTCTCAAACTCCTGGGCTCAAGCAACCCTCCTGCCTTGGCCTCCCTAAGTGCATGAGTCACTGCACCTGGCCTTATTTTATGATTTTTTTTTTTATTATTGACTCAATTATTACAACTTAATTGTATGCATGATAACTCATCAAGTGCTCTAATGTGAAGCTCACACATTCAGATGTCTTGTTAGCTTCTCCTTAGTTTATCCTAAAACCGGTTACTAAAAAGACTCTCAACTTAAACTAGACTCTTGCTAGCTCTCAATACTAAACTTAAAACATTCATTCATTTTTGGAGGAGAAAATATTGGTTCATCTGAAACTTCTTTTTAAAATTCAGATTGTCTTCTTAATGATGAAAATCATAAAATGCATATTCAGTGTAAGTAGTGAAAAAGTCTAGAATTACACTGCAAGAGACCTTCACATGTGTCCTAGAGATTGGTTAGAAGGACAGTTAGGAAGTAACAGTTTAGCATTTCCATCTGGCACTAACTATTTGTGTGATATTTGACAATTTTTTAAAAAATGTTTGTTTTAATATATTTTTCTTTCACCATCCACATTTCCACAATGGCAAATTATTTATGCTCAGTTTCTTTGCCTATAAAATTAAGATGGGGCTGGGCGCAGTGGCTCACGCCTGTAATCTCAGCACTTTGGGAGGCTGAGGCAGGTGGATCACTTGAGGTCAGAAGTTCAAGACCAGCCTGGCCAACATGGTGAAACCCTGTCTCCACTAAAAATACAAAAATTGGCCGGGCACAGTGGCTCACGTCTGTAATCCCAGCACTTTGGGAGGCCAAAGCAGGTGGATCACAAGGTCAGGAGTTCAAGACCAGCCTGGCCGAGATGGTGAAACTCCATCTCTACTTAAAAAAAAAAAAAAAAAAAAATTAGCCAGGTGCAGTGGCAGGCACCTGTAATCCCAGCTACTTGGGAGACTGAGGCAGGAGAATTGCTTGAACCCGAGTGACAGAGGTTGCAGTGAGCTGAGATCGTGCCACTGCACTCCAGCCTGGGCGACAGACTGAGACTCCATCTCAAAAACAAACAAACAAAAAAAAACAAAAATTAGCTGGGCATGGTGGTGTGCGCCTGTAATCCTAGCTACTCGGGAGGAGGCTGAGGCAGGAGAATCACTTGAACCTGGGAAGCAGAGGTTGCAGTGAGCTGAGATCTCACCATTGCACTCTGCACTCCAGCCTGGGTGACAGAGTGAGACTAAATCTCAAAAAATAATAATAAAATTAAGATGGTAGCCCAGGTGACCTATATGGCTCATGGTCTGATGGAGGGGAAGAATATTTGGAATTGTGCTTGCAGTGGAAAATCTGGGTCACATGACTTCCATATGTTTAAGATGCCTTCTGGCCAGGCGTGGTGGCTCACGCCTGTAATCCCAGCACTTTGGGAGGCTAAAGTGGAAGGATTGCTTAAGGCCAGGAGTTCAAAACCAACCTAGGCAACATAATGAAACCCCATCACTACAAAACATTTAAAAATTAGCCGGGTGTGGTGGCATTGCCTCTGTAGCCACAGCTACTCAGGAGGCTGAGGTGGGAGGATCACTTGAGCCGTGGAGATTGAGGCTGCAGTGAGCCATCATCATGCCACTGCACTCCAGCCTGGGTGAGAGAGTGAGACCCTGTCAAAAAAAAAAAAAAAAAAAAAAATCCCTTCTGATTCTGAAATGCTTTTCTGCTGTGTCCCTTCATGAGGATGTCTACAACAGGAACTTCCTGGGCCCTTGTCTTACAAGCTTGCACCCAGATCCCATCAGTTTAGAAGCCACTGTTTGCTTCTGTTTTCTTAGTGATAGGATCTGAATGTTTGTGCCCCACCCCCTGCAAATTCACATGTTGAAAACTTAATCCCCAAGGTGATGGCATTAGGAGGTGGGACCTTTGGGAGGTGATTAGGTCATGAAAGTGCTGCCCTTATAATGGGATTAGTGCCCTAATAAAAGAGACACAGAGAACTCATTTTAATCCTTCCACCATATGAGGCCACAACTAGAAAATGCCATCTATGAACCAGACAGCAGGCCCTCAGCAGATACTGCATCTGCCAGCACCTTGATCTTAGACTTCCCAGCCTTCAGAACTGTGAGAAATCAATGTTTATTGTTTATTAGCCACCCAGTTGATGGTGTTTTGTGGTAGCAGCCTAAAGACTAACACAGTTACTCAGAGAAAACACTGCTTAAGTGTTAGATCTAGGGGCATAGAAACTGCTACTGAACCCCTAAAATACCGTCTTGTCTCAGTCACAAACACCTCTGGAAGGATGCAGCAGTCATGCATAAGGAATTGTTAGCAGAGCTCTAGTGTCTAAATTCCTGCATTGTCTCCCTATTCTTCCCTACCCGGGGCCTACCTTAATGTAGATAGAGTACACAGATGGCTACCTACGTGATGTGATTCGAGGGGACACAAGACAGGGTTCTTCATCTAGAAAGAAATACCTACCACATTGCCGGCTAGGCCAACATTACTATACTTAACTTTGGCTCTTGAAGGCTACTGCAGATTATAAAGACATTCTTCAAAAAGTGGAGAAAATCCAACCCAAGGAGAACAGGAATATTCATAGTGCAGAGAGGATAAAGTTCAAACAAAAACGTTGGTGAGGCTACCATGAGACTTTAAAAAAACAGATTTAAGGCCGGGCACGGTGGCTCACGCCTGTAATCCCAGCACTTTGGGAGGCTGAGGTGGGCAGATCACGAGGTCAGGGGATCGAGACCATCCTGGCTAACATGGTGAAACCCCGTCTCTACTAAAAATACAAAAAAATTAGCCAGGCATGGTGGTGTGTGCCTGTAGTCCCAGCTACTCAGGAGGCTGAGGCAGGAGAATTGCTTGAACCTGGGAGGTGGAGGTTGCAGTGAGCCGAGATTGTGCCACTGCACTCCAGGCTGGGTGACAGAGCAAGACACTGCCTCAAAAACAAAAAACAAAACAAACAAAAATCAGATTTAAGAAATAGTAGACTGTGACAGTGCCTCAGACAGCAGCCAAGGGCATTTACTTTTAACACCATGAGCATCTATCTTTACGTCTGTGTTCATTCCAGTATTATCAACATACCATGCTTTGATGGTAAATCACTAAGTCGTCACTTAGTTTGCCTGGTACGTTCGAGTAGCTGTTGAAGAATAGATTTCAGTTTAAGATTTCCTTTGTGGCTGTTTTTAAAATGATTTCTTTGGACTGAGTTGTATTCCATTTTCGGCCATCAGTGTGTTTATAGGCAGACTTCTTATGTTTATCTCTGGGTGCTTTGTTTTGTAACTATATTTAAAGACATTAATAGTGAAATAATTCACCTTTAAACAAGATATTGTAAAAGTGTGTTAAATAAAAGGGAAATTTTTATGCCTTAGCCTTGTAAATTGTAAACAATGAATAGGCTTTATTTTCTCTCAAAGTTCTTAGAGCTACTCGTGGTTTATAAACATAGTGAAATTATAAACTTACCAGTTTATCATTTTAAATTTAGCTTAATTAGAGATGAAGACAAAAGCAGATTATGAGAAAACAGAATTCTAGGCATCTCAGATAAATATTATAGTGTAACTTTGGCCAGAGCTTGCCTAGGGAAATCTACAATTTACTTGACGTTTTTGGTTGATTTTTCTGTGATTCCTCTTCTGTATTTTAAAAGTATTCTTAGATGTTGTAGATATGTATCCATTTGTTCGACAAATTATCTATTTGAACACAGACACCCCCTGTGTTCTGAGAACTATGTTTGTGCTTGAAGCTACTAAGTGGAATAAGACAAAGTCCCTCTCAGTGTCAGTGGGAGACAGAGATAATTACAGAGTCTTGCTACACACACAGAAATATGCTTGAGGTTCCAAGAGATCACCTGGGAAAGAGCCCCTGCTTCTGTCTGGAAATGTCAGGGGAGACCTGCCCAAGGAGGGAACACTTACCGGAGGGAGTGCCACCTGTCCTCGTGGTCTAGACGGGGAGAAAAGCAGCTGTGAGGCAAGTGCTTGGCTTGAGGGAGCCCTGGTGCTCTCCACAGCCTAAGAGGTTCTGGGGAGGTGCTCAAAGAAGGACCACTAAGAGTTAGAGGAAAAATATCTAGTAAGAGACATGCAGAGCCAAGGGTAAGGGCACAAACATGTTCACGTAGCTTACTCAGAGAAAGACAAGCAGTTCAGAAAGCCTGGGAGGCGGAATTTGTCAGGGGAGCTGATGCAGGAGGGTGTGGTGGGATATAAATTTGAGATTTGAACTCAGGCATTCAAACTCCATAGTCTGTGCACCTAAATGCTATACTATCCTGCCTTGAAAAGGCCTCAGGGGCCTTCTCTGGAAATCCAGTGCTTACGTCACATGGACACACAACACACATTATCTTTTATGTATATACATATAAAGACTTAATTTGCCAGTGATAGGGAACCACGGAAAGCAATTGTATTTTATTATTATTATTTTTTGAGACAAGGTCTCACTCTGTCACCCAGGCTGCAGTGCACTGGCACGATCATGGCTCCCTGTAAGTCTTGACCTCCTGGACTCAAGTGAGCCTTTTGCTTCAGGCTTCCAAGTAACTGAGACCAGAGGTGGACACCACCATAACCTGCTAATTTTTTTTTTTTTTTTTTTTTTTTTTTTTGAGAGAGAGTTTCACTCTTGTCTCCCAGGCTGGAGTGCAATGGCATGATCTCTACTCACTGCAACCTCTGCCTCCCAAGTTCAAGCTATTCTCCTGCCTCAGCCTCTGGAGTAGCTGGGATTACAGGCGCCTGTAACCATGCCCAGCTAATTTTTGTAATTTTAGTAGAGACAGGGTTTCACCATGTTGGCCAGGCTGGTCTTGAACTCCTGACCTCAGGTGATCTGCCCGCCTCAGCCTCCCAAAGTGCTGGGATTACAGGTGTGAGCCACTGTTCCTGGCCAATTTTTTTTTTTTTTTTTTTAATTTTAGTAGAGATGGGGTGTGGGGCTGGCAGGGGGAAGTTACCAGTGTGTTGGCCAGGCTGGTCTCAAACTCCTGGGCTCAAGTGATGCTCCTGCCTTGGCTTCCCAAAATGCTGGGATTAGAGGTGTGAGCCATTGCCCCCGGCCCTAGAGTCCTGATTTTAAGGGGCTGTAATAGAAATGAGGAAGAACAGCGTCAGGTGATGAAAGTAATCCAGACAGGCATATAATAAATGATTGTTGAATGAGTAAATACTTAATATGGGCAAGGCACGGGGTAGTGCAAGGTTTTTCTCTATTTGTAGATGCAAAAGTAATTTAAGAAGACTTCTCAATACTCCCATTGACTTGTATGAAGTTACTCCAGATTTTAAAGGGTGTTTGTCTTCTGTAGAGGCACATATTTTTTTTATTTTTCTTGTGGAAGAGCTATTGTTGACCAAAAAAAAAAGGAAAAGAAAAAGAAAAAAAGCAGTCAAAGGCCTAGATTCCAAAATTTTCCTGGTATTTTAAAATTGAATTGACAAATGCAATTGGAAAGTTAACATACATTAAGCTGAGATTTTAAAGAGGGCTTCTGTAATGGCAGAAGCATCTTTCAACTCCAGCTGTTCTAATGGCAGCTTCCTGTCCATCTGTGAGTCATTATTTTAAAAAGTTGTATTTAAGTTAAATAATGTCACTACTTAGCTTTTTTGTAATTAGATATAGTGATTAGACTCTTTTAAAATTATGCTTGAGTTTTCAATTAAGAAAACCACGACAAAGTAATAACAAGTTTTAAAGGTCTGAAAACGTTTATTGAGTAAAAAATACTGAATTAGAAAATTGAATTATATGACATTCCTATTAAAGGCAAACAAAGCTTCTAAAATTTTACATATTTAAGTAATTAAGACAATCGGAAAATTATGAATCAGGCTCTCAATTTTCTAGTCCTTTATAGTATGAAAGTTCCATTATAAATCTGCTGGATTTATGAACTGAGGATGCTGATTTAGTAGGGCATAAAACCCTATAACATAATGCTACTTACTGAGGGTTATGTTTCTTTGCTTGTTTAATACTTTGAGAAAGTAAAAAGAATAGAGTAAGGGGCTGATTGAGTTCATCTGGAAGAACCCGTGGCCCCATCCCCCAAAGGAAGCCTTCTCATCCTTAAATCTTGCCTACTCGTTTGCGTCTGAGCCCTCTCCCTTTCCCGACCCTTCTCACCTGTTGTGAACCCCTGTGCTCCGCCCCTTGGCATTGAGGGTTTCGTTCTGTCATTTAAAATTGTCATATAGTTATTTCGTGTGTACTTGGTACAGGCTTGTCCCTAGAGTTTGCTTTTCTTGAAGGCAGGGAGCATGCTAGGTTTTATTGCCATTTTCCTACAAGGGCTTAAATCACTCTGATCCTGAATACCCTGTTTCCAGTAGTCTGATAGTTAATTTTCTATGTCAGCTTAGCTAAGTTCTAGTGCCCAGTTGTTTGGTGAAACACCAGTCAAGATGCTGCTGTGACGGTATGTTTTAGATGATTAACATTTAAATCAATAGGCAGGGAGTACAGAAGATGACCCTCTGCAATATGGGTGGGCCTCATTCAATTAGTTGAAAACCTTGAGAGCAAAGACTGAGGCTCCCTAAAGTATAAGGAATTCTCAAGACTGCAACACGGAAACCCTGCCCAAGCTTCCAGCCTGCTGCCCTGTGGAATTAATTCTCCGGACTGCAACAGCCTCTCTTGTCTGCATTTCCAGCCTGCTGGTCTGCTCTTCAGATTTCAGACTTGCCAGCCCCCACAACCACGTGAGTCAATTCCTTAAAGTCAATCTGTGTACGTGTGTGTGTGTGTGTGTGTGTGTGTGTGTGTGTGTGTGTGTGTGTGTATCTCCCCTATTGGTTCTGTTTCTCTCCAGAACCCTGGCTAAGAGGTATGAGAAATCTACAATAGCCGGGCGCGGTGGCTCACGCCTGTAATCCCGGCACTGTGGGAGGCCGAGGCGGGCGGATCACGAGGTCAGATCGAGACCATCCTGGCTAACACGGTGAAACCCTGTCTCTACTAAAAAATACAAAAAAATTAGCTGGGCATGGTGGCGGGCGCCTGTAGTCCCAGCTACTCAGGAGGCTGAGGCAGGAGAATGGCGTGAAGCCGGGAGGCAGAGTTTGCAGTGAGCCGAGATCACGCCACTGCCCTCCAGCCTGGGCGACAGAGCAAGACTCTGTCTCAAAAAAAAAAAAAAAAAAAAAAACTACAATAAAGGATAACAAGACTGTAAGATATTTCACTGGGCTATATCATTTTTATAGTAACCTCTGAGGAAACTACTAACTAGTTATCAATTTGAAAAAGTGACAGATCTTAAAGGAGAAATAACTTAGCCAGTCAACCGCTGTACTTAAAGTCTCCTAATCAGACTATACTTGTCATTGATTTTTTACTTTTTACTTGGAAATAATTTTACATAAAAGTTGCAAGAATAATACAAAGAAAACCTGTATATTCTACCCAGCTTCACCTAGTTTACCCATTAACTTGATCATTGTGCACATACTCATGTATGAAACTTACAATATTTCTTTTTCTGAATTATTTGAAAGTCAGTTGCATATACTACAAGTCTTTTCCTCTAAATGCTTTGGTGTGTATTTCTTAAGAATAAGGATAGTCTCTTGCTAATCCAATACAGTTAACAACTAAAGTAATTTTAACATTGACATAATCTGTATTCCAATAGTATCTATTAGTCTAATATTACCCTTTAAAGCATTTTTCCCCCTTTATTTGGTATAAGATCAAGTTACCATGTCTTTCTAATCTGGAACATTTCCATGACCTTCCCTTGTCTTGTATAACATAGGTGCCATCAATTTTTTTTTTTTTTGGGACGGAGTTTTGCTCTTGTTGCCCAGGCTGGAGTGCAATGGCACAACCTCAACTCACCGCAACCTCTGCCTCCTGGGTTCAAGTGATTCTCCTGCCTCAGCCTCCCGAGTAGCTGTGATTACAGGCACGCGCCACCACGGCCGGCTAATTTTTGTGTTTTTAGTAGAGACGGGGTTTCTCCATGTTGGCCAGGCTGGTCCCAAACTCCTGACCTCAGGTGATCCACCCACTTCGGCCTCCCAAAGTGCCGGGATTACAGGCATGAGCCCCCCCACCCCACCCCCCCCACCCCTCCCCCCTGCCGGCTCGCCCGGCTCCAGGTGCCATCAATTTTGATGCAAAATTTCTAGGGAAATTGTTCAGTTAAAGGCAGTTTTCACAAAACTCAGAGTCAAATCAATATCAGATGTAATTTCCCCACTAGAACTTCATTAGGATCGCACAGGATCCTTGATATGAAACATATACCCTACTGATGCCTGACTAAATGAATCTCGTGGCCCCATGGTTCTCTACTACGCTTTCCTCATCTAGGTTTTCCTCTTTGCCTTGGGCACAGTCAGTGGGTACGACAGACTTTTCGTCTGAGGTTTAGTGACTAAAGAGTTCATTCTGAATTAGAGCTGGACTTGGGAATTAGAACCAGATCTGTTCTTCAGCTAATTAGTCCATAACATAAGACAAAACTAAGGGCTTCAGTTTTTAAAAAATTAATGAGAAGACATTGAAGTCACTGGCAACAGGCTTTTCCAAAATATGTTCTCTTAAGCCTTATCTAATGTATTTTATAAAAAACTAAATATAATTAAGCTACATTTAGCCCATAACAAGCTCTGGCTTTTTTTTTTTTTGTTTTTTTTTAAACAGAGGGGAACATTTGATTAAATTACTATTCATCTGAAAACATTTGATGGGGGAAAAATCCATTAGATGCATGAAGACAGATAACATTGAATAGTTAATTGGAAACAATCACATGATGTAATACAGATAACTAAGGAAAGGGGTCTTGCATCTGAAATACATTTTTATGTGCTGGTTGCAATATATTTTATAGTCCAGTTGAAATTGCTGTCATGGAACTCTTTGGACCAAAAATGGAAGTCATATAGTGTATCACATTACATCTTCATTTTGGCTGACTCATTGTGTTGGCATGTTTTTGCTACAGATGAATGTAGAGATGGTTCACATCATACTTTAGAAAATATGTCTTTGGATAACAGAACAGAACGTGATTAAGGAGAATTCTGAATTATTAGGCATTAAAAAAAAACTAAAGGCATTTTCTTTTGGCCAATGAAAATAGCTTAGTGTTTTTTTTTTTTTAAAAAAAAAGAAAAAACAACAGGAAAAATATTAGAATTTGATGAGGGGGGTACATATTTAGGTTATTACCAGTTAGCTAATTACCAGGCAGAAATCCCCAGGTAGCAGATGTTACTTTTGTGAAAAAGAAAGCTTTTTTGTGTTACTTAGAAAACTTAATGAATAAAACAATTGCCATTGAAAAACCTAAATACGATTCTCCCTTAGAAACAAACTAATTGTGGGGCCTATAACCAGAGTCAGGAAGTTAGTGATAAAGTTAATGAAGACAAATGGCCCGGTTACCTAATCCCATCAATGCCTCTTCCCTGGAAACCCAAATGGCCTTGGGCCAAAGGGAGATCTGCTAATACTACCTGCAGAGAAGAGGTTTCCAAGCACTTTTCTAAAGTACTTTCCATTATTTACCCTACAGGAGATTAGGTGTGATGTGAATGCAAAGCAGTTATTTTCATTAATGAGAGCCACCCGTGACTCCCTGGACACCTTGACAGAGGACAAAGGCATGTTTCTTTCTCATGGTTTGAAGGAAATAAATTGTTTCCATCTGAATGAATCTGTACTGGCCAAATGTAGAAAGCAGTTGCATGTCCAGGGATAAATTCTGGCCTTTGCCTTCCTACTTCAAGTGGTTTTCCACCCCTTAATTTACCTAAATGAAATTTAGAGAGGCTGCTCCACACTTCCTCCCAAGGAGACAGCTTCTCCAGTGAGTCATGCAGACAGACACCCTCCAGCCACCAGGGCGTGTTCTCTTTTAAGCACAGACAGGGCGGCGTCTCAATGGCCTCCCACGTCACCGACAGTGACGGCAGCCCCCTCCAATTTCTTGGAGTGGGTTGCAGACTCTGCCAGGTGCCACAGCCCTGAGAAACCAAGGAACATGTCTAAGGAGCCTACAGAGTGGGAGGGAAATGCGGGTAACTGAGGACTGTTGCGCCTCACCTGTCTAACAAGAGCAGCATGTGTGCCCGTATGTGGGGGCGAGGGTTGAAAGGGTACTGGGCCTGGGGTGGGGTAGGCAGGTGGTGATAGTAAATGGGTGTAGGGTTTTGATTGCCTGCAACAGGATTTCAAGCCTTAGGCATTGTTTTTTAAATCCCTGATTTAATTAATTAATTAATGTATTTATTTATTGAGACGGAATCTCTCTGTGTCGCCCAGGCTGGAGTGCAATGGTGCAATTTCAGATCGCTGCAACCTCCACCTCTTCGGTTCGAGTGATTCTCTTGCTTCAGGCTCCCAAGTAGCTGGGATTACAGGTGCCTGCCACCACGCCCAGCTAATTTTTGTATTTTTAGTAGAAACGGGGTTTCACCATTTTGGGCAGGCTGCCCTCGAACTCCTGACCTCAGGTGATCCGCCTGCCTCGGCCTCCAAAGTGCTAGGATTACAGGTGTGAGTCATCGTGCCCAGCCTGAATAATTTTTTTTCTATTCTCCCAGGAGGGCTTGGATATAATCACTAAATTTTCTAGCTTTTAGAAGGTCATGAACCTATGGGTTCTATGGACAAATACTGTTGGATTTTATTTACCAGAATGCAATTAGATGATCAGATAAATTATTGGTTACTTTGCCAGTAACTATGATTCCCATGGGACTATTGCTTTTGAAATGCCAACATTTTAAAGCCTTCCAAGGTTCCTGCTGTGTATTAAAGAAAAAACTAATCTGACACACTTATTAAAATAGTAAGGCAGGCCGGGCGCAGTGGCTCATGCCAGTAATCCCAGCACTGGGAGGCCGAGGCGGCGGATCACGAGGTCAGGAGATTGAGACCATCCTGGCTAACACGGTGAAACCCCGTCTCTTCTAAAACTACAAAAAATTAGCCGGGCGTGGTGGCGGGCGCCTGTAGTCCCAGCTACTCGGGAGGCTGAGGCAGGAGAATGGTGTGAACCTGGGAGGCGGAGCTTGCAGTGAACGGAGATCACGCCACTGCATTGCAGCCTGGGCGACAGAGCAAGACTCCATCTCAAAAAAAAAAAAAAAAAAAAAAAAAAAAGTAAGGCAGACTTTGTTCAGGAGAATTGTAGTAAGAGCTTTGAAACAGAGAGATTGAGCTCAACTCTGAATATAATCCAGACAGCTGAGGTTTTATGGCCAGGAAGCAGAGTGAGGGGGTCAATGGATGGAAATTACTAAGAGATATCAAGGATAAGGGGATTCTTGCTAAACTAATAACGTAGGATTCTTGCTGAAGACAGGTCGAGGACTTACATGTCAAAGGTCGGGGATGAGGAACTTGATCAGATATTGAGGGGTGGGGATTCTCCAGGATTCTTGCTAAAACTGGGTTTATGGAGACCCAGCAAGGACAGGCGAATAGGGTCTGGGGCAGGGAACCTAAGGATTTCCTAGAGCTAAATCCAACAGAAAAACCCCAGCTTTCTAAGACCAAGTAAATATCTTTGTAACTCTACTTCAGTTACGACAGGAAACATCCTCTTCATTTGCATAGGAGGTACACCAACTAAATAACTTTGTAACCTCACTTCAGCCTCTTCATTTACATAGGGCATACACCAAGTAACCAGTGGGAAACCTCTAGGGGGTATTTAAACCCCACAGAATTCTGTAACCCCGCCCTTGAGCCCCTTGTTCAGGTAGCCCCCATCCTGTGGAGTGTGCTTTTGTTTCATTAGATGTGTGCTTTTGTTGCTTCATTCTTTCCTGGCTTTGTTTGTGCGTTTTGTCCATTTCTTTTTTCAAAACGGCAAGAGCCTGGACACCCTCAACTGGTAACAACAGGGGCCAAGGTCCAGGCATGGTTGAGAAGAGGACTCAGAGGAGTCTGACCAAAGCGTGGCGAAGGAGAAGGCCGTTGTCATATGTACTAAATACGATTCTCCACTGCAGAAATGGGGAATGAAGGCTCTGGTGCAGTTAATCTGAGAGGGGGAAAAGCATTTCTCAGACTTGTGCTTGGGAGGTAATAAACACAGGGCTTCTATGCGAGGGCCATGATGTCTCTTCTGAAGGGTAGATACTAGTGCTGCTGGGGCCAGCAGGGTCAGCCATTGGGCCAGTTATTTCAGGTGCCAGCCAGAGCTTCCAGGCCTTCTAGCAGCCCAGCCAAACAATTTGCTGTTAAACTGGATCCAGAGAGACTTGGAAGTCTTGATTTATATTCTAGGGTCAAAATGGACTAATCAAATCACCTTGTATTAGTTTTAGATATTAAAAAGTTGAAAATGCATTTTAGATTATAAACCTGACCTTGTGGGGTGAGATAGTTATCTTAAAAGCTCACGTAGGTTTTGTGTGTGAGTGTGTGTGTGTGTGTGTATGTGTATGTGTTAAAATATACAAAACATAAAATTTACAATTTTCACCCTTTCTGAATGTACAATTCAATGCCATTCAGTACAGTCACATTCACCACTATCTCCAGAACTTTCCCATCACCCCAAACTGAAACTCTATACCCCTTAAACAGTAACCCCTCATTCTCTCCTTGCCAGTTCCTGGTATCCACCATTCTAGGTTCTGACTCTCAGAATTTGATTACTCTAGGCACCTCATAGAAGTGGAATCATATAGTATTTGTCCTTTTGATGAGTTCATGTCCTTTGTAGGGACATGGATGAAGCTGGAAACCATCATTCTCAGCAAACTATCGCAAGGACAAAAAACCAAACACTGCCATGTTCTCACTCATAGGTGGGAATTGAACAATGAGAACACTTGGACACAGGGTGGGGAACATCACACACGGAGGCCTGTTGTGGGATGGGGGGCAGGGGGAGGGATAGCATTAGGAGAAATACCTAATGTAAATGACGAGTTAATGGGTGCAGCACACCAACATGGCACATGTATGCATATGTAACAAACCTGCACGTTGAGCACATGTACCCTAGAACTTAAAGTATAATAATAATAAAAAAAAATTTGTCCTTTTGTGACTAGCTTATTTCATTTAGCATAATGTCTTCAAGATTCATCCCCATTTTAGCATATGTTAGAATTTCCTTTATTTTACTTTGTTTTATTTTTGAGACAGCGTCTCACTCTGTCACCCAGGCTGGAGTGCAGTGATGCAATCTTGGCTCACTGCAACCTCCACCTCCTGGGCTCAAACAATCCTCCTACCTCAGCCTCCTGAGTAGCTGGGACTGCAGGCGAGTGCCACCATGTCTGGCTAATTTTTGTATTTTTTGTAGAGGCAGGGTTTCACCATATTGCCCAGGCTGGTCTCAAACTCCTGAGCTCAAGCGATCCCCCCACCTCAGCCTTCAAAGTGCTGAGATTACAGGTGTAAGCCACCATATCCATCCTAGGGGTTCTTTATATATTCTGGATATTAATCCTTTATCATATATGGTTTGCAAATATTTTCTTTTTTTACTTTTTCCACAGAGATGAGGTCTCACTATGTTACTCAGGATGGTCTTGAACACCTGGGCTCAGTGATCCTCCCACCTCGGCCTCCCAAAGTGCTGGGATTACAGGTGTCAGCCACCATGGCCAGCCAATTTGTGAATATTTTCTCTCATTCTGTGGGTTGCCTTTTCAGTCTGTTGATAGTTTCCTTTAAAAGGTTTACAGTTTGATGAAGTTCAGTTTAGCTATTTTTCTTTTGTTGCCCATGCTATTGGTGCCATATCCAAGAAATTATTGCCAAATCCAATAATAGCATGAAGTTTTATTCTCCTGCCTCAGTCTCTTGAGTAGCTGGGACTACAGGTGTGCATCACTGTGCCTGGCTAATTTTTTTTTTTTTTTGAGACAGAGTCTTGCTCTGTCACCCAGGCTGGAGTGCAGTGGCGCAATCTCGGCTCACGGCAAGCTCCGCCTCCCGGGTTCACGCCATTCTCCTGCCTCAGCCTCCCTAGTAGCTGGGACTACAGGCGCCTGCCACCACGGTGCCTGGCTAACTTTTTGTCTTTTGTAGCAATGGTATCTTCCTACGTTGCTCAGACTGGTCTTGAATTCCTGGCCTCAAGAAATCCTCCTGCCTCAGCCTCTAAAAGTGCTGGGATTGTAGGTGTGAGCCACTGTGCCCAGCCTACTCCTATGTTTTCTTCCAAGAGTTTTATAGTTTTCACTCTTACACTTGAGTCTTTGATCCATTTTGAGTTAATTTCTGTATGTGGTGTAAGCTATGGCTCCAGTTGCATTCTTTTGCATGTGAATATTCAGTTTTCCCGCCACCATTTGTTGAAAAAGATTGTCCTTTTCTCCATTGAATGGTCTTGATATCCTTGTTAATCATTCTGTTTTATTTGACATTGAGAAAAGAAAACTGTTAGAATTAAATCTAACCTTTTAGATTTATATTTCACTTTTTAATACATTTTCAAAATCCATGCATTTGCTACAGTTTTTTCATCAGCCCTTTGCCCAAGAGTCAATGTGGGTCACGAACTTGCCTGCAGTAGGGGTGAGGAGACCTGGTCTAGGGAATGACTCTATTGGCTCCATGGCCTTTGGATGGTTTGAGGAAACTCAGGCCTCCCCAGATTTTTTTTGCTGGGTATCCTACAGATGGAGTTTTCCTTCTAAAGGAAACATTCCTTTAGCTTAACAAACATTTTGTTTGTTTGTTTGTTTTTGAGACAGAGTCTTCCTCTGTCTCCTGGCTGGAATGCAGTGGCGTGATCTTGGCTCACTGCAACCTCTGCCTCTCAGGTTCAAGCAATTCTCCTGCCTCAGCCTCCTGAGTAGCTGGGACTACAGGTGCCCACCACCACACCCAGCTAATTTTTGTATTTTTAGTAGAGACGGGGTTTCACTATGTTGGCCAGGATGGTCTTGATCTCTTGACCTCATGATCCACCTGCCTTGGCCCCCTAAAGTGCTGGGATTACAAGTGTGACCCACCGTGCCTGGCCCTGTCTTAACAAACTTTTAAAATGCCAGTACACATGGGAGGAATAAAGAATATTAGTGACTCACATGCCGGTATGAATTCATTTATATTACTTTCCTGCCAGGCAATTAGCTGAGAGGGGGGAAATTTTAACTTTAACTTTAGTGGAGGGTTGCGGAGAAGGAGAAGGAGAGCAAGAAACTTTGCTTTGGGGACAAGGTCAGCTTCCAAGGAGGAATGTGGGTGCCTGGGTGTGGTGCTACCCTGGACAGCACGAGGCATTGAGTATCTCAGATGGAACCAGGAGAGAGGACCAAGACCCAGAAGGGGAAGTAGGAGAGTCTAAAGATAAATTTTGCCTACTTCACAGCTGTGCCAGGGAGAGGCCCTGGGAGTGAGCATGAGTAATCCAGAGATGTGCATGCATGGGGCCCGGCCCTCTTTTGTTTATTCTAATGCTGTCCTGGCAGCAGTAGACACTTCCCCAGGCCTGGCAACATTTCTTTCAGATATTGTCTGGCCAGTCCATCTTTGAAGGAAAAATGAAAAGATGGTAGTGCTGAAAAACCTCTAACTAGAGAATTTTCTTCCTGTGACCCTCACCTCCACCTCCAACACATTCACACACACAATTATCTCCTTGTGGGATTTGTCATGATTTTATAATGATTCTAATTTGAGTTGATTGCACTTGTTTAAATACCAGATATTTAAAATGTAGAGTGTGTTATTGATGCTGGTGAGTACTGGATGGCTTGTTGTTTGCTTTGAGACAAGGTCTCACTCTGCCACCCAGAGTGCAGTGGCAGTCACAGCTCACTGCAGCCTTGACCTTCCAGGCTCAATAGATCCTCCCACCTCAGCTTTCCAAATAGCTGGAACTATAGGCACATGCCACCATGCCCAGCTAATTTATTTTTATTGATTGATTGATTGAGACAGTCTCACTCTGTTGCCCAGGCTGGAGTGCAGTGGTATGATCTTGGCTCACTGCAGCCTCTGCCTCCTGTAATCCCAGCACTTTGGAAGGCTCAAGCGATTCTCCTGCCTCAGCCTCCTGAGTAGCTGGGACTATAGGCAGAAGCCACCAAACCCAGCTAATTTTTGTATTTTTAGTAGAGATAGGGTTTCACCATGTTGGCCAGGATGGTCTTGAACTCCTGACCTCAAGTGATCCACCTGCCTTGGCCTCCCAAACTTCTGGGATTACAGGTGTGAGCCATTGCGCCTGGCCAATTTTTTATATTTTATATTTTATATATTTTAATATAATATTTAAAATATATATTTAATGTTTTATATTTTTTTGTTGAGATGAGGTCTTGCCATGTTGCCCAGGCTGGTCTGAAAATCCTGGGCTCAAGCCATTCTCCCTCTTCAGCCTCCCAAAGTGCTGGGATTACAGGTGTGAGCCACCACACCTGGCTAGAGTACTGGATATGTTAATAGTTCCATTCATACATTTCAAGAATTAAGGTGTTTTTTAACTTACTAAAGGCTGGCTTTTTATCCTGTAAACTTCTAGCCCAAATCATCTCTACTACACAGTAGAGAAAAGTAGTTTTAGAATTTGGTTTAGTTATCCCTAAAGCACCTTTTATTCACAAAGGGAAAGATGTATCTGGATCACATTCAAAATGTGTCTCATTAATGCCTCCTTATTCTAATTAATTTGGCCATGGGGAACTTAACCATTACTGAATGTTAATCTCATAAAAAGTACCAAAACCATTCTCTTTTTGTTCTCTGATAAGGATTTTCCCTTTTCTATTTCAGAACTAATTATCTCTCTCTCCTTAGTCTTTGTACAGTTTCAAGAGTTGACGTGTGAAACTATACAAGATATCACAGGCTGGGTGCAGTGGCTCACGCCTGTAATCCCAGCACTTTGGGAGGCTGAGGCGGGTGGATTACCTGAGGTCAGGAGTTCAGGACCAACCTGACCAACATGGTGAAACCCCATCTCTACTAAAAAATACAAATATTAGCCAGACATGGTAGTGGGCACCTGTAATCCCAGCTACCTGGGAGGCTGAGGCAGGAGAATTGCTTGAACCCGGGAGGCGGCGTTTGCAGTGAGCTGAAATCGTGCCATTGCCCTCCAGCCTGGGTGACAGAGGGAGACTCTGTCTCAAAAACAAACAAACAAAAAGATATCACAAATCACTCTAGCCAATGATTTTCTCTTTGACAAATCACACAACTCTCTTTAAGAAGTTAATGAGAGAGGCTGCCCTGTGTTATCACTAGGAAGCTGGAGTTTCTACTTTCCATTACCTTTCATTCAGCATCTACTTTTTTTTTTTTTTTTTTTTGAGATGGAGCTGGCTGTGTTGCCCAGGCTGGAGTGCAGTGGCATGATCTCGGCTCACTGCAACCTCCGCCTCCCGGATTCAAACAATTCTCCTGACTCAGCCTCCCAAGTAGCTGGAATTACAGACGCGCGCCACCACGCCCAGCTAATTTTTGTATTATTAGTAGAGAGATGGGGTTTCACCATGTTGGCCAGGCTGATCTCGAACTCCTGACCTCAAATGATCTGCCTGCCTTGGCCTCCCAAAGTGCTGGGATTACAGGTGTGAGCCACTGCAACTGGCCTAGGAATAAGATATTTCTAATAACAGTTTTTCTCTTAAAGATTCCAATAAATGGAAAGAAATACCATACCCGTGGATTGAAACATTCAATATTAAAATGTCACTTCTCCCCAAAGTAAAATAGAGATTTGGTACAATCTCAAGCATAATCCGAGCAGTCATTAATATATTAATAGGAGCTGAAAAGATGATTTAAAAATCTATGCAGGCCAGGCTTGGTTCATTTACTTTGCATATATTTGAATGTTTTCATAATAAAAAGTTTTTAAAAGCATTCATGAAATATAAAAACCAACTGATTGGATAGATCGTAGTTTGCTGCCATCCCTGTACCTTTCCTGGACAATGTTCAATTATCCATGTAAAGGGGACAGAACACATTGTACTATTACAAGCTTTGGAGCCATTTTGCAGCTATGTGGCTTTGAGAAAATTTCTTGACTTCTCCGTAGTCTGGTTCCCTCTTCAGGCTTGTTGCGTTCATGTGAGATCACACACCTCTGGTGTCGAGTGCGTTGTCAAGCCCCTGATGCACCATTGCTTGTTCAATAAGTGTTCATGACTGCTCATGGAGGAAAGTGGGGCAGAGATTACCTTTAGAAAAATGTATTCTTGGCCAGGTGCGGTGGCTCATGCTTGTAATTCCAGCACTTTGGAAGGGCGAGGCTGCCAGATCACCTGAGGTCAGGAGTTCGAGACCAGCCTGGCCAACGTGGTGAAATCCCGTCTCTAATAAAAATACAAAAATTAGCCAGGCGTGGTGGCGGGCACCAGTAATCCCAGCTACTCAGGAGGCTGAGGCAGGAGAATCGATTGAACCCAGGAGGTGGAGGTTGCAGTGAGCTGAGATCACACCACTGCACTCCAGCCTGGGTGACAGAGCAACACTCTGTCTCAAACAAACAAACAAAAACAAAAACAAAAAAAAACACAAAAAATTATTATTTGGTTTTGGAAAAATCCTTTTCTGTTTATTTTGAATGTGACTGATATTTGGGAACTGGCATGATAGGGTCATACTGCAGGAGATTTGGGTAAGAATAAATGAGAAAGGGGCTCTGCCCTTGCAGTAGACTCTTCACCTTCACACTTAACTTGAGAATTAACTCCTGAACTTTGTCTCCATGACATTGCCTCCACATTCCTGACAAATAGCACATAAAGGGATAATGCAGATGACCCTGACTTTTTTTTCTTGTTTGCCTTTTGAATTTGAGAGCACCTATCTCTGGATTGTTTTGATTGGGTCAGTATTTAAATTGGCTCTATTTCCTGTCTTTAAAACAGCTAGTAATAGAGAAGGCTAAGATTTTAGACCTAAAAATAGCAGAAAAAGGAAAAAAAATGTATATCCAGCTAATAAAAAAAAACTAAGCATATAATCACATCAAGCCCGGGCCTGGAATACTGTTCTGAGTTTCTTTTATTAGCAACTTTCACTTCCGTGTTCTCACATTGTTACGGGCTGATCTTTTCCTTTGGCTGGAGTTCTTTTCTTCTTTCAGTCAAGGAACTGGTTTAGGCACCTTCTCTACGCCAGGCCCTGTTAGGCACTGGGGACGTGCGGCTGAGGGTGGCCTCCTAGTTCTCAGGCTGGGAGACAGACACTGAGGACATAATAAGACCCCTGTGGGGACTCTTTAGAGAGGGTTGTCAGGGAAGGCCCCTCAAGATGTCTTGAGTGCAGACCTGTGGGATGAGAAGGGCTCTGCTGGTCTCTCTTCCTTGCTTTGCATAGTGTTGGTTATTGGTGTCATTTTTTTCTCTAGAGGACCTAGATGGAATTTACCAGAAAGAGCTGTCTTTGACGATTTATTTAGGGTCACGGTGTTTCCAAATCCCTTCACAGAAGTTGCTCTGAGCACCACAACATATTTTGTTTTAGAGAAGCAGATTTAAGCACATCTGCTCCGGGTCTAAGGTCTCTGTGCACTCCTAGCCATGTCACAAAAAGATTCCCACGCTTCAGCTCTCTTGCTGGTTATCTGTGATCTCGTTCCTTCCCTTTTGTCCTCCCCTGAGGATGTGCTCATGTGCTGGTGTCTGTTTCTGGCCCATCTCTCTCTCCTCATCCTAAATGTAAGGAGTGTCTTTAATGGACATTGGGCTTCCCATGGGTCTTCTCCATGACATCCTGTTTGGGAAGCTTCAGTGTGTTATACCACTTTATCTTAGACTTCTGTAAAACTTTTTTTGTTGCTTTCTCATTTTTGTTCCTCCACTGCTTTTTAAAAATACAAGCATTCAGCTGGATGCGGTGGCTCATGCCTGTAATCCCAGCACTTTGGAAGGTGGAGGCGGGTGGATCACCCGAGGTCAGGAGTTTGAGACCAGCCTGACCAACATGGTGAAACCCTCTCTCTACTAAAAATATGAAAATTAGCTGGGCTTGGTGGCGCATGCCTGTAATCCCAGCTACTTGGGAGGCTGAGGCAGGAGAATCACTTGAACCCGGGAGGCAGAGGTGCAATGAGCTGAGATCATACCATTGCACTCCAGCCTGGGCAACAGAGTGAGACTCCACCTTAAACGAACAAACAATATGAGCATTTAAACTAATTTAGGTTACAATTGATGCTTCACATGCATGTATTTTTAAAATGTTATTTATTTTAGAGATAGGGTCTCCCTCTGTCACCCAGGCTGGAGTGCAGTGGTGTAATCATGGCTCACTGTGGCCTTGAGGTCCTGGACTCAAGTGATCCTCCTGCCCCAGCCTTCCAAGTAGCTAGGACTACAGGTGTGCACGACCATACCTGGCTAATTCTTTTTTTTTTTTTTTTTTTTTTTTTTTTTTTTTTTTGAGATGGAGTGTTGCTCTGTTGCCCAGGCTGGAGTGCAGAGGCACGATCTCAGCTCACTGCAACGTCTGCCTCCCGGGTTTAAGCAATTCTTCTGCCTCAGCCTCCCAAGTAGCTGGGACTACAGGCAAGCACCACCACACCCGGCTAATTTTTGTATTTTTAGTAGAGACAGGGTGACAGGGTTTCACCATATTGGCCAGGCTGGTCTCGAACTCCTGACCTCATGATCCACCCGCCTCGGCCTCCCAAAGTGCTGGGATTACAGGCATGAGCCACCACACCCGGCATACCCAGCTAATTCATTCTTTCTTTCTTTCTTTCTTTCTTTCTTTCTTTCTTTCTTTCTTTCTTTCTTTCTTTCTTTCTTTCTTTCTCCTTCCTTCCTTCCTTCCTTCCTTCCTTCCTTCCTTCCTTCCTTCCTTCCTTCCTTCCTTCCTTCTTTCTTTTCTTTTTTTTGTACAGTTGGTCTGGAACTCCTGGGCTCAAGCAATCCTCTCACCTCAGCCTGCCAAAGTTCTGCGATTATAGGTGCGAGCCACCACACCTGGCCACAGGCACATATTATTTTTCTTGTGTTTCTTCAGGATGATTTTAAATGATAGGGTCTCCCTCATGTTCTGGTTTTCCCATCTGCACTTGGGAAATAGTTGGCTAAGTTTAGCTTCATTTGAATAACTCAAACATGTGCTACATTGTTCCACATGACTTCGTTTGTGGATTTTCTCCAATTTCTTTTTGTAAAAAATCCCTCTTGGAGGTTTTCACAAATATTTATTGAGCACCTACCATTTTTTCATGTCAGGGTGTGGAGCTCCTCGCTGACCTGGAACCTGGCTTCCCTGCCTCGTGCCTGTGCCTTCCTGCCCTCTCCCCTGGCCCGGGTCGCTGTGGCCCATGGCCTCTCTTTGCCCACTGAACACTTATCCCTGCCATCATGTGCTCAGTAGCTTATCATAATCAGCCGGCCCTGTGACATGTATCAAACTTCTTGTGTGCTGTCTTCCAAGAGTCTTTTCACCCCTGGGCCCTCCCTCACTGAATATAGTATTCTCTTCCTTCTGGACACTAAAAGTACCCAATTTGTTAAAAGGATAATGGCCCCTTGCTTTCTACCTCTCCCCACTCAACTTTAGTAACCTGCTGTGGTCTTCAGCTCTCCAAGGGAAGTTTCTTCCTTTCTCAAAAGAATATGTTGACCAAACAGCTTTACTTGCTTCCTCAGAGTCAGTACAGACTGAGGAAGAGCTCTGAATTTGTAGATCTCTTGGAACAATATGAACTGACTGGCCTCCTTGATTTGTGACCTCTTATATAGAGACATCACTCAATTATGTAATAAACATTTAGTTATTAAAACCTCTGCCCCCCTTTTAAAAAATAGTTGCCTTAACAGATTGCAAAAGACTATGCCCTAGGCTTTTATGGAATATGGACAGCTTCTTAGCTTAATTTCTCAGGATATAAATTAAGAGCAAGTTTTTTTTTTTCTTTTTCTTTTTTTCTTTTTTTTTTGAGACGGAGTCTCGCTCTGTTGCCCAGACTGGAGTGCAGTGGCATGACCCCGGCTCACTGCAACCTCCGCCTCCCCGGTTCAAGCGATTCTCTTGCCTCAGCCTCCTGAGTAGCTGGGATTACAGGCGCACGCTACCACGCCTCGCTAATTTTTGTATTTTTAGAAGAGATGGGGTTTCACCGTGTTGGTCAGGCTGGTCTCGATCTCCTGACCTCATGATCCACCCACCTCAGCCTCCCAAAGTGCTGGGATTACAGGCATGAGCCACCACACCCAGCATTGTTGTTTTTTTTTTTTTTTTCGAGACGAAGTTTCGCTCTTGTTGCCTGGGCTGGGGTGCAATGGCACGATCTTGGCTCACTGCAACCTCTGCCTGCCCAGTTCAAACGATTCTCCCACCTCAGCCTCCCGAGTAGCTGGGATTACAGGCATGCACCACCATGCTTGGCTAATTTTGTATTTTTAGTAGAGATGAGGTTTCACCACGTTAGTCAGGTTGGTCTTGAACTCCTGACCTCAGGTGATCCACCCACCTCGGCCTCCCAAAGTGCTGGGATTACAGGCATGAGCCACCGTGCCTGGCCTTTTTTTTTTTTTTTTTTTTTTGACAGAATTTTGCTCTTTCTCCCAGGCTGGAATGAAGTGGCGAGATCTTGGCTCACTGCAACCTCTGCCCCTTGGGTTCAAGCAATCCTCCTGCATCAACCTCCCAAGTAGCTGGGATTACAGGTGCTCGCTACCATGCCCGGCTAATTTTTGTATTTTTAGTAGAGATGTGGTTTCACCATGTTGTCTAGGCTGGTCTCGAACTCCTGACCTCAAATGATCCATCTGCCTCAGCCTCCCAAAGTGCTACGATTACAGGCGGTAGCCACCGCTCCCGGCCTCAAGAGCAAGTTTTACAATCAGATCTTACAGGTTTAGAAATCGTTTTTAAGGATCAACATAATTTGCTCTCAAGCAGCTCTTGGAAGTAGAGGAGACATTGTTCATTCATGTTGTTTGCCTAAAGAACAACAACAACAAAACCCTCTAGAAGTTCTACATTGCATGGATTTGTCTTAACCAATGAAGATTAAAGAAAACATCTGTCCAGTTCCCTCTTTAAAGATCTTCATAGGAGGAATTCTGGGCATGTGAAAGAGGTCAAGGTCACAGTGTAGGCTCCATCTATAGCACCGCAAGGTCTGGAATGGGGCCTTGCAAGGAACTTAGTTCCGGCTTCCTGCTAAGAATAAGCAGAAGACATTTACTTTTCATTATGTGGTTGCTTTCAACAGAATCTATGAGAAAGTAAAAGGAAATTTCTAAAGTACTGCCAGATGGCGAGTACTTGGAGCACGGAAGCTAGAGACTAAAGCCCAATCAGAAAGAAACGTGACACACAGGACAAGACAGGCTCTTTTGAGAATACCTGAAACTAAAGCATTATAAACCTTCCATGAAGACATTTAGGCTGATTATAAAAAGTTGTTCCTTGGGTATGAGGTTTAGAAACAAAAGTCAAATTTAAGTGACAAGGAGGATCTCAACAGTAGCCTCCTATTAGCTACCTATTTGCTCTTGGCAAGTAAGTTTCTTCCCTGTTGAGGCTGTTTTTGAAGAGTTAGGGCTTCCTTTCCCCATCTTTGGTACAGATCAACTGGTATTGCCACTGCTGGTAAAAATTATGGCTTTTCATTCAAAATAAACCCTTGTAGACAAAGCTCAGGTGTGTTTCCTTTAGTCTATGATACTCTGCCTTTTCCATTTTCACTGAAGCTGCCCGGAGCTAGTTTTACCAAATATATATGTATATCTTTAAGCCTTCTAATGGTTTTACGTACCTGTAATTACTGCTTCTGCTGGTACTCTCTATATGAACCAGGGACTTTTTTTTTTTTTTTTTGAGACGGAGTCTTTTTTTGAGACAGAGACTTGCCTTTTACTCTCTATAGCAGCTTCATAGTTCTCATAGTTCCACTGGTGTGCAGTGGCGCAATCTCGGCTTACCGCAACGTCTGCCTCCCAGGTTCAAGCGATTCTCCTGCCTTAGTCTCCCAAATAGCTAGGATTACAGGCGCCTGCCACCACGCCCGGCTAATTTTTTTTTGTTTGTGTTTTTAGGAGAGAAGGGGTTTCACTATGTTGGCCAGGTGGGTCTTGAACTCCTGACCTCATGATCCACCTGCCTCGCCCCCACAGCATGCTGGGATTACAGGCATGAGCCACCGCACCTGGCCAAACCAGGGACATTTTAAAAGCAAAACAAAATAGATTC
Organism: Homo sapiens; assembly: GCF_000001405.40. NCBI lineage: Eukaryota > Metazoa > Chordata > Mammalia > Primates > Hominidae > Homo > Homo sapiens. Next base: position 52,849,890 of record NC_000014.9, read on the forward strand.
TAGGTGTTTTCAAGATTGCTTTGCTATACAGCAATAATCTTTAACTTTCCTATACTGTTGTCTTCATGTTCATACATCTATAAAGCACTTTCTTTTTTTTTTTAGACGGAGTCTCGCTCTGTTGCCAGGCTGGAGTGCAGTGGCGCGTTCTCAGCTCACTGCAACCTCTGCCTCCTGGGTTCAAGCGATTCTTTTGCCTCAGCCTCCCAAGTAGCTGGGATTACAGGCACGCGTCACCACACCCGGCTAATTTTTTTGTTTTTTTTTTTTAGTAGAGATGGGGTTTCACGGTGTTTGTCAGGCTAGTCTTGAACTCCTGACCTCATGATCTGCCTGCCTCGGCCTCCCAAAGCACTGGGATTACAGACGTGAGCCACCATGCCCGGCAATAAAGCACTTTCAAATCATGAAAGTGTAGGATAATTTCTTGAGAGTCAACATCATTTTTAGAATTCCTATTTGCTAAAGTTAGCATTTATGGAAGGCCTGGATCTAGAGTACAGCAACGCCTTTAAAATCCAGGCTGCAAGAGAAGGTGTCTGGTAAGCTCCTTGACTTCTCAGCCATGACTTGGGCCATTTAGTAACATTTGTGTTGACCTTTTCATACAATGAGTCACAATATTGTGATTTGTATACTGACCAGATCTTTGAGCTTAGAGTTGATTTTCTAATAGAGCTGATAGGTCTGTTCTTGTCTATTCTCTCTTATGGGATTTACAGGATAGTGGTACAGCCTGTGAGTATGAAACAAAGAACAAAGCCAACTGGACCACAAGGAGACTGAACCCCTGACCCGGGGCTCATTAGCTCCATTCTTAAACCACGGCAGCTAAACAGTCAGCCAATTAGAGGTTCACTTGGCAGCAGAGGCCAGAGCCATGTGCTGATCTCATCCAGGCTCAGGAAAGCACATCAAAAGGGCAGAGTAGGCCGGGTGTGGTGGCTCACGCCTGTAATCCCGGCACTTTGGGAGGCCGAGGTGGGCGGATCATGAGGTCAGGAGATCAAGACCATCCTGGCTAACACAGTGAAACCCCGTCTCTACTAAAAATACAAAAATATTAGCTGGGCGTGGTGGCAGGTGCCTGTAGTCCCAGCTACTCCAGAGGCTGAGGCGGGAGAATGGCGTGAACCCGGGAGGTGGAGCTTGCAGTGAGTGGAGATCGTGCCACTGCACTCCAGCCTGGGTGACAGAGCAAGACTCCGTCTCAAAAAAAAAAAAAAAAAAAGCAGAGTGGCAGCTGTCAAGAGCAAGACTCACGTCCATTAGGCTGCACTGACTTTTAGTGTCACTTTTGCAGTGGATTTCAGAACCACCAAGAGTCTTTTAAAAATACAGTAGTTTTCTACACAATAGAAAAAATTTAAAAATCTTGGACTATAAATAAGTTTAATCTTACTATGTATCTTCTGCATCTAGATGTTTTGGTTCAGCATCAGATTGAGATTCATCTGTGCTGTTTTGTGTATTGGCATTTTATTCATTGCTGTTTTCATTCCATCTTAGGACTGGATTATAGTTGAGTCTACTGTTGAGACATTTGATTGTTCCTAGTTTCTTCCTAAGTTGTGCGCTTTGCATATTCTTGTGCTTGTCTCCCGGTGTGTATGCGCAGGAGTTTCCCTAGGGTGTTTGTATACCTCGCAGTGGAATTTCATGGGGGTAGGATAAATCTGTAATTTTACCAGATGATGTTGAAGTGTTTCTGAAGTGCTCTGTTCCAATTTATACTCCCACCAACAATACGTATTCCAATGATTCCATACTTGATAGTCAGATTTGAAATATTTTACTAATATGGGTAGACCTGAAACTGTATTTAAAATTTATTTCTCCCAAATTTTCTAGAATACTAGTGAAGTTAAACAGTTTTTCATAGATTTATTGGCCATTTCAGGTTTCCTCTTTTGTGAAATACCGAATGTTTTGTCCATTTCTCCTTTGATTGATCTGTGTGCGGGTTCATTTTCTGGATACCAATCCTTTGTCAATTATGTGTTGCAAATATCCTCTCAACTGGACTTGCCTTTTACTCTCTACGGCAGCTTCATAGTTCTCATTAATGTAATCAGTTTGTACTATTTGTGCCTCTACACGAAATATCTTTCCCCAATGTCATATAAATGGTCTGTCATCTTTTTAAAGTTGTGTGGTTTTGCCGTTCACATCCAACACTGTGACCCATTTGGAATTGATTTGGACTTATACATACAGGTATGAGGTTGTGGTCCAAATTCTTGTTTCATAAAGATAAGCACCAGGGCCGGGTGCGGTGGCTCACGCCTGTAATCCCAGCACTTTGGGAGGCCGAGGTGGGTGGATCACAAGGTCAGGAAATCAAGACCATCCTGGCTAACATGGTGAAACCCCTTCTCTACTAAAAATACAAAAATTAGTCGGGCGTGGTGGCGGGCGCCTGTAGTCCCAGCTACTCGGGAGGCCAAGGCAGGAGAATCGCTTGAACCCAGGAGGCGGAGGTTGCAGTGAGCCAAGATCACACCACTGGACTCCAGCCTGGGCGACAGAGCAAGACTCCGTCTCAAAAAAAAAAAAAAAAAAAAAAAAAGATAAGCACCAGCACCATTCATTGGGAAGCCCTTTTGTTTTGTCCCAATCTGCACGGCCACCTCTCAGAAACCAAGTGTCTGTATGTGGGCATATGTATTCTGGAGCTTCTGTTTGGATTCTCTGGTTGTTTTATTGATCTCTGTGCCAACGCTACACTTTCAACATACTTTATACTAGTTATGTGGTAAGGCGAGTCCCCTCACCTATTGTTTAGGAACGTTTTGGCTATCCTGGCCCCTTGCTCTTCTGTTTTCCAAATGTTCCTTCTAAGGCTAATTGGATTTATAATTAGGCCAGCACGACATAAACAAGGTTGTTTAAATACGCTTATCAGTAAACCTGACAGTAAACGTGTTCACTTGAATCTTACTTGTCATAAAGGTCACAAAATTTAGATCTGAGATGAGAATTTTATGCTCATACCTCCTCTTTATCATGCAGTATCTGCAAACTGTATTAATACGATACAATTTTAAACTTGTTTGGTTGGCTGTGCTGTTTTTAATCACAAATTTAATTAACATTGAACTTGGACCACTTCCCTGAGCAGTAAAACAGATAATGCCTGGCCAGTGAAGCCACATGAGACTAATTAGATCTCATGAAATAATGGTCTCAAATTATTTTAAGTGCTTGTAATTTTTAGTAATATGAAGGCCCATGAACAAATATCAAAAGGGAAACCCAACTGAGAGTGTGTGTGTATGCTGATAACTGTTTATTTAGGGAATTTTAATGTACACAATCAGCCTGGGAAACTTTGTACTGTTTATTAAATAAAGCAGAGAAAACAAGAGAGGATCAACACAGTGGGAAATAAGGTCACCAGATAAGGCTTTTTGGCTACTGCTTCCTGTTCTGGGTAGCTCTGCAATTCACTCTGAGAATTTTACTCCCTTTACCCAGATTGCAAATTTCCCATTTCCTGTCACTTATCTCTGCCACCTCCTTCATTCTTGAGCTGCCAGACCAAAACAGTTCAAACAGATAAAGACACAGTTAATTTGTTGAAGAGAACAGAGCTCTCCAGTAAACAACTTCTTCCTAGATCTTACTTTGTAGAGATGAGTGGAAATATATCAGCAGAGTAAGAGTTGGATCAACTTATTGTACCATGTTCATTAGGTCTGCACCGATGTAGCAAGTTAACTCATCCTTGCCTTTCTTCTGCCATTTATAGGACAAAAAGAGGTGATGATGCAATAGCTACAAAAACATTTTGTGAGTGATGGATTTGTAACTCAGTGTCTCTGTTTTTAGAATTAAGGAGAGAGAAGATGGCGGCTGTGCAGGGTTATCCATTCAGTATCAGTGATGTAGTATGTCACACAGGGATGGATTTCAGAAAGCCTTGTGCTCAGACTTTCTGAATTATTGACGTGATGAGTGAAGACGTTACCATGTTTTAAGTGATGAGTATAAAACAGCTGTGTCCGTTATCAAACTTAGTTATAAGGGTGGCTGTGCACGGTGGCTCATGCCTGTAATCCCAGTGCTTTGGGAGGCCGAAGAGGGAGGATCACCTGAGGTCAGGAGTTCGAGATCAGCCTGGACAACAAGACGAAACCCTGTCTCTACTAAAAATACAAAAATCAGCCAGGTGTGGTGGTGGGTGCCTGTAATCTCAGGTACTCAGGAGGCTGAGGCAGGACAATTGCTTGAACCCAGGAGGCAGAGATTGCAATGAGCTGAGATCGCACCACTGCACTCCAGCCTGGGCGAGAGTGACACTCTTTCAAAAACAAACCCAAAACAAAAAAAACTTAGTTTTAAGGAATAGAAATTATGATCTCACTGCATCACTAACTGATCTTTAAAAGCATCTTAATAAGATTCAGCATGTTTTTTAAAAAGTAAAAATACAATATACAGAATAACAGTATAGTCTGTGATGTACTTGCTTTTTGGCCTCTGTAAGAGTAGAGGGTCAAGAATGGCATGTGGCTTTTCCTTGATAAAGTTCATGTCTCTAGCTCCCTGACTTTGAAAGTTCACAGTATGTAAAACATAATTTGTACTGAGTTGAACTTACTGATTAATTACATCAGCATCAGGGGGCTTCCAGCACGTTTCTTTTTTTTTTTTTTTTTGAGACGGAGTCTCACTCTGTCGCCCAGGCTGGAGTGCAGTGGCAGCACAATCTTGATTCACTGCAACCTCCGCCTCCCGGATTCAAGCAATTCTCCTGCCTCAGCCTCCTGAGTAGTTGGGGCTAATTTTTGTATTTTTAGTAGAGACGGGGTTTCACCATGTTGGCCAGGATGGTCTCGATCTCTTGACCTTGTGATCCACCCGCCTCGGCCTCCCAAAGTCCTGGGATTACAGGCTTGAGCCACTGCGCCCTGCCAGGGGCTTCCAGCAGGCTTCTAACCTGATGATTTAAGGGAAAGAATTGGATGGGAGCTAGGTTGGGGTTCTGTCACCAGTGCTTTCATGTCCAACTGAGCTTGAGTCACATGGAGCAGAAAGCTGAAGCTACGTCTCTGGAAGTCCCAGCTAGTATTCTAACAGACCTATGTTCTCTCTAGAGAGGTCACTACTAATAGTGGTCTCAGAATTCATGAAAGGTTTGTTTTTACTACTACTAGATAGGGATATGATTGGCCTTGGCAGTAATCATAGATGTGTGACTTTAAACAGGTCAATTGGCCTCCCCGAGCCTCATCTATAAAATGAAGAGGCTGAATTGTATGAATCCTTGAAAGAGTGAGTACTTAGCACGTTTCCTGTTGCATAGTTGGTGTCCAAGTTAGTTTGCTCTGTATTAAACTATACTGAGGCTACAAAAATTCTGAGTTCTAATAATAATTCCTTTGGTTATTTGGTTTGGTTAATAATTTGGTTATTTCCAAAATAACCATCATTATATTCAATAAACCCATGTGTAACTGATTCTAAGTAGAAACCATAGCACTAAGATCCAGTCCTCAAGGATGTAACAATTCTATGTTAGGGGCAACATGATATACTCAACCATAATAAGGACGATTACTCTTTAGTTCCACAGAAGGACCAAATTCAATGGCAGTTCAGGAGGAAGAGAGTTTTTGGCTGCAAGGAAACTTGGAAGTGTTTATGGAAGAAAGAGCACTTGAGTCTTTTGGTTTTTTTTTTTTTTGAGATGGAGTCTCACTTTGTCACCCAGGCTGGAGTGCAGTGGCGAGATCTTGACTCACTGTAACCTCCACCTTCTGGGTTCAAGCGATACTCCTGCCTCAGCCTCCTGAGTAGCTGGGACTACAGGTGCGCACTACCATGCCCAGCTAATTTTTCTATTTTTAGTAGAGACGGGGTTTCATCATGTTGACCAGGATGGTCTTGATCTCTTGACCTCATGATCCGCCTGCCTCGGCCCCCCAAAGTGCTGGGATTACAGGCGTGAGCCACCACGCCTGGCCTTTTTTTTTTTTTTTTTGAGATGGAGTGTTGCTCTGTTGCCTAGGCTGGAGTGCAGTGGCACAATCTCAACTCACTGCAATCTCCGCCTCCTGGGTTCAAGCAATTCTCCTGCCTCAGACTCCCGAGTAGCTGGGATTACAAGCATGTGCTACCATGCCCAGCTAATTTTTGTATTTCTAGTAGAGACGGTGTTTCATCATCTTGGCCAGGCTGGTCTTGAACTCCTGACCTCGTGATCCACCCACCTCGGCCTCCCAAAGTGCTGGGATTACAGGTGTGAGCCACCACCCCAGGCCCACTTGACCTTTTTCTAAAATGCTAGACAGATGAGGTGTAGACAGATACAAACTGGATGAAGGTCCAGGACTAAAGACATTCCAGACTTGGGGAATGATGGATGGATGAGTGCAAAGTGGAGAATGTGAGCTGCCCAGCTGGACTGGAATGCAGATTGTTGGGAGATAAGGATGAAAATGTGGGCTCGGAGACCATACAAAACCTCTGAGCACTTTACTTTGGCTTTTATCCTGTAGGCAATAAGGAGTCATTAGCGCTGAAATGCAGCTAGCGCTATGTTGGGGCTGGATTAATCTCAAGATCACTGGGAAGGCAGCGGGGCAAACCAGAGGTGTGGCAATCAGCACAGAGGCTACTCTCACTTGTGTGGAGGCCATGGGACTAGAAAGCACTTGAATAGGTGTGGTTTCAATCAAACATGTTTTGGGGCTTTTAATAAGTGACATGTAAGTTGGTGACTTGCACAGTCACTTACTAAAGATGAGGAAAGGGAGTATATTTTAAAATGTTTAGTGGAAAGGAGCTCTTAGATTTAGGAGCAAGGCCTGTTATGGCTTTGGAGTACAAAGAAAAGTCATGGAGAATGTCATCACAGCCTTGTCTTAAGATGGTGCCACACTACAGCAGGCACAGGACAAAGAACTGAATTTGGATGACGGTGACAGCAATGACAAGAGAAAAGATGCAAGGCTGTGTGAGGGGAAAATCAACAGGAATTGGTCTAATTACATGCAAAGGGTAAAGGACTAGAAATCTGAGTCTTGAATGATGACAGCAGTAATGACTGGGAGTAAATTCGTAAATGTATTTTTTTTTGTAAACCAAGAATAATTTTGTTATTTAAAACAAATTCTGCCACAGCCAACTTCTATTTATAAGTACATTTCTAACATTTAGATATTACACATTCATTTTTAAGTATTAAGAAAATGAGGGCTTTTCAATTGAGGTGAAAGACTATCTTTGAGATAAAGTATCTCTATCTGGCAACGCTGTGGAATACTAACCAGTTGTTCTCACAAAATAACATGCAGGCAAAGCAATTCCAAAAGGCAGAAGTTCATTTCTACTAAATTAATACTATGTAAACATTAAAAACAAGTACAAAAATAAATATTAAATAAAAGTTTTGCTTTTATTTAAAATAAAATGCATTTATACAGTCTTTGAACCATGGATTATTGAACAATACTGGTAATCCACCTCTCCCTCGCACCCTTTTGGGCTATGTGAGCTAGGAATTTTCTGACTAGCACCAATACAGATTGTAACAGCGCAACAGACTAGAACATGGCCAGTCCAGGCATTAGAGTTAAGGACATTGTGGCAAATCATGATCATAATGAAGTCATTCTTAATTTAGTAGATATTAAAACTGCACGTTAATTATATCTCTTAAAGGCATTTAATTAACGCAGAGATTGCTACATTTAAGCCATCTGCTAGTTGTGAGTAGTTTTTAAAAAACTGTACAATTTTATAAAATTTGTGTTTTTACATTAGTTACACAAAATGCATACTTCATAGAACTTTACTTCATATTGTAATGCAAAGAGTTGCATATTTTAGGCAGACAGTGATTATGCTGGTGAATACTAAAAGTGTAATACAATATGGTGTAAAAATAAAAACACGAGACAATATACATAACATGCTTATTCAAGGACAAAAACAAATCAAGCACGACGGACTAATAGCATTTTCCTTCAAGGTCAAACACAATGACATTACTAAATATCAGGCCTCCTGCATGCCTGATTTATTTGGGGGTAGGGGGAGGAATTAAATGGCTACCAGAAGTAGGATATTTTAAAACATGATATCAAATTAAACATACATTAAATCACATGCATTAGACATGATAAATAGAGTTCATATAGGTTAAGCCCTGGATAGCTTTAAAATAGATGGCTTGTTTCTTACAGTTTGGCTAGCTTAAATCAGTAAATCAGTGATGGTTTGTTCCTGATTTGCCCACTATTTCAGTTTTCAATTCATGGCCCTAAGGAATGTGTGACAAATTCAAGTTTATTATATCATAACATGATAGATTAATAGTCGTGCTTGTTTAGTGCACATATTAACTGGTCTGGTAAGGCAAAGAAGTTTTCATGATAAAATGATAAATTTCAAGCTTACTTTATTAAGCAGCATATAACAAACAGCTTTTAAAGTTAAATATTGTTATGGCCGTGGAGTTTCATTAAACAGTATTCCTATTCACACCCAACCACTGGTAAGTTTGTAGAACATCTCTTCATCTAAACTCTCGTTTTGGTCTTTTGCACGTGTTGAGAGAAATATGTAGCCACCAATGAATTCATGAACCACTTTGCAATCTACTTCAGTACAAATGAAGGACAATCGTACTTCATCTGCAAACTCTACGGTGACCTGGAACAAAGACAAGAGCCATCAGTGCTGTCCCAAATGCTAGGTGGCTGGGTCCACACAAAACTACTGTGCTACTTAAAGTCTGTCATATCACAAAACACTTGTTGATCCTCAAATGATCAGTCTGTCTAAAACCTAAACGAATAATGCCTTTAAGTCCCAAAGAAGAAGCTAAGTTTATTGCCCTTCCCCTACACTTTAAGTTTTCATGTTCTGAAAAGGAAGACTAGGAATGCAAGGGTTTTAGGTCGTTCAGTTCTCAAATGGTCTCTGGTGATTGATTCAATTAATGAGAATGCCTCTCTTCAAGTCGTGCAGGAAAGCCTACTTCCTGTGTTTTAACGTTCGCTTCAGATACTTAAATTTTAGGTATCACGTTTGAGTATTTCAGAAATATAAGATTCTTTGAAGTAATAGGAATTGATACAATAAATCCAATATGATGCTAAACCAAATGACTTATTAGTAAAAGATGGTTCATTTTAAATGATACTCGTATACTCCAAGACTGGGGGCAACATGATGTACAGTGGTAAATGTGCCAGGTTTTTAAGCCTAAAGCATCTGAGTTTGAAATGATTCTGTAGTTACTTTGTGCGTGGTCATAGACAATGATGGCCCTCAGGTCTCTCTATTGCAGTGTCTTCATTTGTCCAACTGCCTTAAAAGGCTGTGATGAGGTTTAGAGACAGGGTACTAATGTAAGCCTCTAAGTATCATGTCTGGCACAGGGTAGGCATTCAACAAACAGTAGCTGCTATTTCAGAGTAGATCGGCTTTATCCATTACAGAAAGACAAAAAAGGCAACATTCTAAGCAAATTATGCACTTAGAATTTTAGTAACTGGGCTAATTATGAAATAGGCAAATTTAAGTGAGAAATGAATAGTCAACCATGGTCTGTCTGTACTTTAAGAGGTGGTGGTACAAATAATCATCAGAATTTATAGGCCTTTTTATTCTTAATGTACTAATTTGTATCAGAGAAGGACTATATTCAAGTAACATTGTTATGAGTTTACCATTTTGATTTCCCAGTTGACATTCCACTGTTTCATGTTGCTGAAACGCCATGTTTTAATTGCATCTCCAGTGCTGGCATCCATCCGAATCAGTCTGTTGTATGCAATTCCAATAAGTTCTTCTTTTTTGCCCCCTTGGAACCTATAACATTTAAGAAAAGAACGGTTAAAAACATGTTGTGGGGGAACATGTTGGACTGCTTTTCTTCAAGATAAGTGTTCTCTCTAACCCTAAAAGAGTACTATTCTTTTTTTTTTTTTTTGAGACGGAGTCTTGCTCTGTTGCCCAGGCTGGAGTGCAGTGGCGCGATCTCAGCTCACTGCAAGCTCCGCCTCCTGGGTTCACGCCATTCTCCTGCCTCAGCCTCCCGAGTAGCTGGGACTACAGGCGCCCACCACCATGCCCCACTAATTTTTTGTATTTTTAGTAGAGACAGGGTTTCACCGTGTTAGCCAGGATGGTCTCTATCTCCTGACCTCGTGATCCACCCACCTCGGCCTCCCACAGTGCTGCGATTACAGGCGTGAGCCACCGTGCCTGGCCAAGAGTGCTATTCTCTTAGTAGTAAAACAAACACAATTATCTTGAATTTTTAATGTAGAAATTAAAAGCTTACAAAATACATTCTAACAGTCTTTGAATTCTATTGTAATATGAGTTAATGGGTCTACATAGGTATGCTTTAGATGTTTAATATCTAATTACATGAGGTAGATTAAGCAAAAATGCAGATTAAGGTTTACACATAGATGCTTAGAACCACTGACCTTGCAATGAAGTGAGTGATGCCAAATTCAGGTAGTGACTGCCAAGCTTGAATAAATCTCATCTTGGCTTCAATTAGACTCATCTGAGCTACATTCTGATGGGCCTCCAAGATTCTCGCTGTTATCTAAACATGAGTAAACATCACCTTTACCATTGAACATTATTCTCTCATGGGAGAACTGAGACAAAAGATCAAAAGATTGAATTACGCACCCCGTACCCCAAAATCATATTGTAAGAGTTGAAATCAAAATATCTGAAGCTACATTTGGACACTGTAATAATGTAATGTATAAGGATTTTTCAAAATAAGTCTTAATTTCAGTTTTCATATATCAACAAAAAGTACTATTAGGAGTACATAGTTGCCACACTTGAGACATATTCCAAATGCATACACCTAACGGTACTACTATTACAGAACAGCACATTCTAATCCACATATACACGAGTTTTAATTAAATTTAGCACTATGTCTATAATCAGAATGAATACCTGGAATACATGTTTCTAGCAGGAATATTTGTTAGCAGCTTTAAGGTACTTGAAATCACCATAATCATTTCTATTTTAAATTTAAATTTCACTACTGGGGTAAATTCCATGAGGGAAGGTTGTGGCTATGAATTTTTATTTATTCTTTTTCTTTTGTGGTAAATATGGAGAACTTACCAAATCTCTTATATAGCCTGGCTGTAGATGGCAATGCGAGGAAAGAAAAAGGAAGCAGAAAGAAAAAAAAAGGCAATCAGAAAAAATGGCAACGAAGCAAAGAAAAAGTTGCGGTCACCTGCAAACCAAAATTCCAGCCAAAAGTCATGCAAAAAACTACTTTAGGTAGAAACCAAGCAAAGTAAATGCAAGAATGAAAAATGAAAATGAGGAAGCAGCAATTACTTTCCATTTAGAACACTGAGAAACACTCCACATTATTTTAGAATGTTAAATGTTGCTAAAGAACCTAAGGGTAGAAATTTGTAGGGAGAAGATAAAAAGAGCAAATATTTCTTTCCCCCTACATCGTGTACCCAGTTACATCGTGTACCCAGTTCTCACCGGTTAAGGTAAAGCCAATTATTTTAGTAGCAAAATAAAAGTATCCAAAAGCCTTTAAAGTCTTCTCAGATTTAGTCAGATAATATGATCCATGCACTGCTTTTCAGAAATAAGAATTTGAAGGCATAAAATAAGTGCAGTGCCCATCTGTTTCTTTTTTTACACAAGAAAAGCAAACCCCTCAGTTACCATGTGTTTTTTGCATCCTTTTTCCTGGAAGGGAAAACAAAGAGATGCCGTATACTACATGAGGAATTTCGGCTTTATGGCATTAGTCATTTCCATTTAGATTAACATAAATCAACATATAGAATAATTCTTCAAAATTTAAAAATCCAGTTTGAGAGTCATATTTATTTAAAAATACCCACAGCATGTTTAGTTAATATATATATAATTGAAGGGAATTAAAGTAGGTTAAATACAACAGGTTATTTTGATAGACCCAAAAGAAAACTACGAGTCTATGCCCAGGTAGGGAAGAATGTCCTTGTGGCCTGCACATCTTCCTACAGCCTCCAGAACGCAACTGGATACAGCTTAATAATTACTGAGCACTATGTCCAGTGTGACTAGTGTGGTATCTGACACACAGTAGCAACTAAACTTCTGAATGTCACTACTTACTAGGCACCAGGGCAATAACATCATGGTCGCTATTCTCTGGAAACAATTTTTTTTTCTGAGACAGAATTTCACTCTTGTCACCCAGGCTGGAGTGCAATGGCGCCATCTTGGCTCACTGCAACCTCCACCTCCCGGGTACAGGTGATTCTCCTGCCTCAGCCTCCCAAGTAGCTGGCATTATAGGCGTGCACCACCATGCCTGGCTAATTTTTGTATTTTTAGTAGAGATGGGGTTTCACCATGTTGGCCAGGCTGGTCTCAAACTCCTGACCTCAAGTGATCCACCCGCCTCGGCCTCTCAAAGTGCTGGGATTACAGGCGTGAGCCACTGTGCCTGGCCAACAATTTGTAAGTCTATTCCAGCAGAGTGTGGTGGCTCACACCTGTAATCCCAGTGCTTCGGGAGGCCAAGGCAGGCAGATCACTTGAGCTCAAGAGTTTGAGACCAGTCTAAGCAACATAGCGAGACCCCATCTCTACAAAAAATACAAAAATTAGCCTGGAGTGGCAGTGCGTGCCTGTGGTTCTAGTTACTAGGGAGGCTGAGGTGGGAGGATTGCTTGAGCCTGGGAGATGGAGGCTGCAGTGCGCTTGAGCTATGATGGTGCCACTGCACTCCAGCCTGGGAGACAGAGAGACTCTGCCTCAAAGAGAACAAAATACACACCAAAAAATCTAACCTATAGCTCTAGTGAGAGAAAGGAGGGTTAAAAATGTGCATTTGATTAGATGGCAACATGAAAGGCAAGGCCAGAAGGATCTTTAACCACGGACCACACACAAACTGTCCTCCTGTCAGTTAAAGATAAATCTTCAGTTGATAGTTTCTAGTCAAGAACTATCATTTAAAAGGCTTCTGAGAAAACAAATAGTTGACAGTGAAAACAATGTGTGGCAGCTCTCGTTTAAGCTCTTTTATCTCCCTGATACCTTACTGTGAAATGATAAAATTGGTCAGGTTTGAAATTACTTATTGCCTTTGAAGGCAAATAAGTTCACTTTTAGAAACAAGATTCTGTATAAATAATTTTAAAAAACTACGAATGAAAAATGAAATTAGCACTTGCTTTACTTTCTCTTTTTAACTTACAATCTACATTCCATACAGTTCCCCAGGGCAGCATTTCCTCCATTCCTTACTACTCCCACATCATATGACCACGGGATAAACAATTTCTAGGCTTACACAACCTCTGAGACTTAAAGACAAATATTCTGTCATTAAAATTCTGAACATTTAGGTAGAAATAATTTTAGACCCATATAATAAATATTATACTTAAAGTTAAGGAATTAGTAAGTGTTCTGGGCATTTCATTGAGCCTTTTTAGTATGTTTTAAAATTATTCCTTAACAAAGATTAAAGCAAAATTAGATAAAAACAAAATGTTTATTTTAAAGGTCTTCGTCTCCCCACCCCCAAACTAAAGCCTTTTCCTTTTATGGCATGATGTTGGGGGCAGAGAATACCAGGGCCTATACCAAGTGAAATTCCCCTGTAAAGGACTTTTTATGTTGTACCAAAGAACCATTTTCCTAAGTAGCAGCCCTTTTATGGTATTAATTTCCAAAGAAAAGAATTCTAAACAGAGTGAACAAAAGCAAATTTCAATGAAAATTTACCAAACTGTGTAACTATGTGTAAAATTGTGGTTAGGTTCTGACTGAAAATGTTAAGAAAAGACACGGCTAAAAATGTACTCTTGTAAAGTTTCTTTCTAAAGCTGGAAAAGCCAATTTCAACAAGAGCAGGTATTACAGATTTTGTTGAGAAATGCTGGCTGCACTTTATGTCACATTTACTTAATTATATATGGAATAAAATTAAATAAATTAAGGAACACAAAGCATTGAGACCATATTCAATTCCCTAAAATGTCTGAAAGAACACCATGTTAACAGAATGATTTCTGCAATTTGTTTAGAGTAAGTTCTCAACTATTCTGTGTCCTTATCTGTTCTATTAAAATGATAAAGATTTTTTTTTTTAATGACCAATTTAAACTGACTAAAGGTTACTTTATTTTCTACAGATTGAGTATCCATTATCCAAAATTCTTGGGACCAGAAGTATTTTGGGTTTCAGATTTTTTTGGATTTTGGAATATCTGCATTATACTTACCAGTTGAGGATCCCAAATCTGAAATCCAAAATGTGCCAATGAGCATTTGAGAGTCATGTTGGCACTCAAAAAGTTTCAGATTTTGGAGGATTTCAGAGGTTCAGATTAGGGATACTCTAACTGTATTTTATATTCTAACCATCTGATACAAAATTAAGACTAAAAAGTTTTGTTTAAGAGGGGAAAAACAAAGTTATGTACAAAATTATAAAAACAAACCAGCACAGTAGATGAAGTAAAATGAAGTAAGTACCTGCTTGTTCTTATACTTTTTTAGATAGCGGGGAGACACCAAACATTCAGGAGTTATATCAGTCGTGATCTGCTCTGGTATTAACTGAGGATCTGGGTTTAAATGCTGCATCTTCAGAAAGGAAAGAATATTCTGAACTTCTAAGTTGTAAGAACTGTCCGCCATGGTCTTGCCTTTGGAGGCTAATCTGCAGGCTGCCATCCAGTGTGCATACTGTTTTTCCTGGAGAAAAGAAATACTGATGTGTGCAATGTATCACGAGGTGGGTCTTTCAAGTATAAAATATAAGGATGACTGGTCAACTCATTTAAGAAAATTGAAGTGTATTTTTAACTGGAAAACTTACATTGTCACAACGAAGCCAGATTTCATTCATGCCTTCTGCAACTGGAATCAGGAGTTTAATGTTAAATTTTTGGCCTGAAATGTTTACATCTGGGGTAACTTCACATCCTGTAACAAAAAATTTTTATTAAAATGGCTAAATTTACTTTTAAGAAATCTCAAGTCAATACAAGCAGCCCTCATTCTGTGGCATCTTAACATGTTGGATTTTGCCATAGTATTTTATGAAGGCATCTGCTGCAGAAGGTAACATACACATATACTTGGGAAGCTGGAATGAAAACAACTGTATTCAGGCCAGGTGTGGTAGCTCACGCCTGTAATCTCAGCACTTTGGGAGGCCGAGGCGGGCGGATCACCTGAGGTCATGAGTTTGAGACCAGCTGACCAACATGGTGAAACCATGTCTCTACTAAATACAAAAAATTAGCCGGGGGTGGTGGTGGACACCTGTAATCTCAGCTACTTGGGAGGCTGAGGCAGGAGAATCACTTGAACCTGTGAGGTGGAGGTTGCAGTGAGCTGAGATCGCACCGTTGCACTCCAGCCTGGGCAACAAAAGCGAAACTCTCTCTTCAGAATTTCACTTTGTAGGAGGCTTTACAGAAGGGAGTGCAGATTTA
The DNA here is from genome assembly GCF_000001405.40 of Homo sapiens. Taxonomy (NCBI): domain Eukaryota; kingdom Metazoa; phylum Chordata; class Mammalia; order Primates; family Hominidae; genus Homo; species Homo sapiens. The sequence continues at coordinate 52,865,369 of NC_000014.9, forward strand.
CTGAACTAGGTGTTAGATAATGGCATAACAGCTGGCATAAACAAGTAGTAACAGTATAATAAATACAGTGAAGTAGAGCTCTGCAGTCAGAGAGACTTGGGTTGCAGACCTTTCTTTGTCACTTATTAATAATAATTATGGGCCATTTAACTTCTGTAAGTCGACATTTCCTGACCTTGGACTCTACCTCACAGGGATGATTTAAGGATAAATAAGATAATACACTGTCAAAGCTTCCTAAAGCTTATTCCAATTGTCCAAGAATGACATGAACAAAGCACAATGTCATATGATCATGCAGTAGGCTCTACGAAGAAAATTTTAAATTGTTAGTAGGGCTTGCTTTTTCAATTCCTCTTGGCACAGAATATAAGATCATACACACTCCATATTCAGAAGAACAAATGTTAAAATTGTCATTTTCCCTGTCTACATAAATATTTTAGTATTAAATAAAAAGAACACTTTAGATAAAGGAGAGGCCCTCTTTATTCTCCTCCCCAGAAGCAACTCCTACCATGAATTTTGTAGATTCCCCCCTGCCCTTTGTTTTCTTTTTAAAATATTTACTACATATGAATTTCTTCTTTTATATCTCCTTTTATACAGGCTTTAGAATGATGAGAACATGTGTGACGAACTGTTTAATGTGCAAAGTTGAAACAGTTGTTTGAAAGTACACAATCTTTTGCACAAATATCATTAATAATTCAAGAGGATTTACAGTACACAATTCCATAATAATTAGGCCTCTTTTAAAAAAACAAGAAAACTAAACAGGGAGAGACAAAGTGGGTGGTAACTCAGGCACTAGTGTAGGCTCAGAGGCCTACAGGGGCCACATCTCAAACACCCATTCCATGCCACCTCAGCTACCTACTTCCACGGCAACCACTGGACTTCCTCAGTTACCCAATTAGTGTACATCTGAAAGATGAAATGCAAACAGCCAATTCTGGTCACAATCTCTAATCCTAACTCTTTGAGGAACCCTATGCTGCAACCCCTCCACTTTCTCCCCAACAGCAACAGAAGGAAGCAACAGCTCCCTCCTTCCCAACCAGCCTGGACCACATTCACTGGACATCAACTCCAACTGCCGAGACTCACTGTCTTCACATTATACATTCTCCTAGCAAAATCTGCACCCTAGGTAAATAAATCCCTCTAACTTTTCCTTGCCTATACTCAGGCTGCTTAGCACTGCAAGATGGGAAGAAGCAAGAAAAAAAGGTTTCACTACAGATTCATGGATACCAACCTCAGCTGGGCCCTTTATGCTTGCATCCTTCTGTGCTTATACAGACATTTTCAACAATGCCTATTTCAAATCTTCTCAGACATCCTACAATGTCACTTGGTCTCAAGGGACAACTCCACCTCTTATGTCTCCAAGAAAATGAAAGCCACCAGAAGTTAAGTCCATCCATTTCCTGCCACCGTACAAGATAAACTTAGCTGTCCTTGCTTCCACGCAGTGCAAGAGGCATCCCTCATCCTCCAGCTTTCCTATCCAAGTGGGCTGAGTTCATTACCATCCGAGCAACCCTGCTCCACCACTGAGATCCTCCCTCTCAGACACTACATTTCCTTCTTTCTACTGCCACATTTCCACCAGCATTTAATTTCCTTGAGTCTCTCCCATCTTACACCACAACCTACCTCCCTTTTCTGTTACCTCTTTCCCCCTTCCTTGTCATAGATAAAGTTCATTAAAAAGCTTTGCCTCCTTTTTTTTTTTTTTTTTAAATAGAGACAGGGTTTCACCATGTTGCCCAGGCTGTTCTCAAACTCCTGGGCTCAAGCAATCCACCACCTGCCTTGGTCTCCCAAAATGTTGGGATTATAAGCATGAACCACCGTGCCCAGCCATTTTTGTTTCTTATTTACTTCTCAGTGACTGTACTTTGGCTCCATACTCAATAAACCACTGAAGTCTACTTAACTTGTTCTTATCAAGGTCATGAACTACATGGCTAGATACTATGTTGGCCTAACTACCTTACTTTACTACAGTACTGGACATTGTTGACTACTCTGTCCTTTTGAAACAACTTTTATCTTAGCTTTCATCATACTTCACTGCCATAGTCTTCCTATGCATTTTTTTTTTGTTTCCTTTGCAAGGTCCCCTTCTTCTAACCTGCCCTGTCTCTTAAACATGGGTGATCTGCAGGGTTCTATTCTTCATCTTGTCTTCTCACATTACAGACAACCATTGCAATGGCTGCACTTACCATTACTGCTAACTGTTACCCTATCAGTATCTGTAGCATGTGCATCTCTCCCCTAATCCAATGTCTACAGGCTAGCTCCAAATAGACATCCCACAGGCACCTCAAATTCAAAATATCCCCAAATTAAACTCATCTTTCCCCCCAAACCCAGCTCCTTTTTCTACATTCTTCTCATCTTCTACATTCTTATCTCAGTATCACACTATCCACCCAATTGCACAAATCAGAAAAATGACCCCACTTCAACCTCCTCCCAAATAAGTCACCCAGACTATTGACCAAACTTCCTCAGTATCTATTCAATCTGCCCCTTTTCTCATCCCATGTTGATTACCTTAATTTGGATTACTATCATCTCTCTAAAATGACTCCTCTGCACCATAACTGGTATAAATATGGATCTTGTCATTTTTGTGTTAATGTTCTTTCAGTGACACGTCACTGCTGCCAGTTCAAAAAGCAATCTCCTTACCATTTTTATCATCTAATGTCTGCCAGTTTCTTCTGCGACTACCTCTCATGTTAGCAGGAATCAGATTCAATAGCTATTAAGAAGTATTCATCCTTCCCCTTAAATTCTATTTTCCAGCAGCACAAAACTCTCTAGGCATTTTTTTTTTTTTTGAGATGGGGTCTGGCTATGTTGCCCAGGTTGGTCTTGAACTCCTGGGCTCAAGTAATGCTCCCACCTCAGCCTCCTGAGTAGCTGGGATTACAGGCATGTGCCACTGTGCTTGGCTCTCCATCCCCGATGAAGTCTCTCCATCCTCACTGAAGATTAAGTTATAGAACACCCTTACCCCTTGCTCTTTTCCTTTCCTTTCCAAAGTACTATTTATTACCCCAATTGTAATTTTATCTCGCCAACATGCTCTAAACCATCCTGAGGATTGAGACTGTAAGTGGTTCTTCCTTGTATCTCTAGTACCCAGCACAGTTTGTGGCACAGGAGTTCACTTAGTATTAGCTGAAATGAATTTTTAATAACTTTGCATTTTAGATCTCTATGAAGCCTTGGCATCCAGTCTAACACTCTCATTTCTCAGAAGAAGATACTATAGGCCCAGATGTGCTATCTTTCCAAAATCACAGATCTAAACCAGGTGTAGTGGTGTGCACCTGCAGTGTCAGCTACTCGGGAGGCAGAGGTGGAAGGATCGCTTGACCCCAAGAGTTGGAGATAAGCGTGTACAACATAGTCTCAAAAAACGAAACAACAAAAATCATAGGGCTTGTTTAGTAGAAGAGCAGCATCCAGACCATTTGATTCTTGGTCAAGGTGTTATCAGTGCGGTGCCTGTGATGAGTGCAATGATCAGTGTGATGAGTCCTTTGAGAGGACTTGGGAGCAGTGGGATGAAAACTGAGAACAGCTTATAAACTTATTAATTCCATGCCAGGACCTGACCTCTTAGTTATACAGGAAGAAGGTTAAGATATAACAGGGACAGTGAGAACAGGGGCCAGAAGACAGATTTAGTCTCAAAGTCAACAGTGGATCATTTACGCTGGTCCTGGGCAGCTGAAGAGGGAAGCAGGAGAAGGTTGCAACAGATCCTGAGAGCAACAAAGAATGACAGAGACCCAAAAGTGAAACGCCCGTGACTGAGAGAGGAAGGTAGTGACCCTAATTAAGAGTTTCAGGTAAATTACAGAATTCCAAAATGTGGGAATAGCAATTGTTTACCCAGGACTGAGTTTTTCTATTTTTTAAAAATTTGTGTAACTTTAAAAGCAATAGTTTAAGTGACTACTAGGCAGAGCTCATGTACTAGGGTACAGATTTCAACACTGTGTTGAAATACGGTAAATCTATCCTAATGTACAATATACAGTCACGCATTGCATAACAGCATTTCGGTAAACAACGAACTGCATATACGACAGCGACAATGCCCTCATAAGACTATAATGGAACTGAAAAATACTGCCTAGTGACACTGTAGCTGTATCATAGCTCACATCTGTGTAAACAAACCTATTCTGCTGCCAGTAATAGAAAGATGTAGCATGTACAATTATAAGTAGTACATAATACCTGATAATGATAAATGACTATGTTACTGGTTTATGTATTTACTATACTATTCTTTTCATCATTATTTTACAAAGTACTTCTACTTAAATAAAAAAGTTAACTGTAAAACAGCCTCAGACAGGTCTTCAGGGGTATTCCAGAAGAAGGCATTGTTACCAGAGGAAATGACAGCTCCATGCTTGTTACTCCCCCTGAAGACCTTCCAGTGAGACAGGATGCAGAGGTGAAGGACAGTGATATTGATGATCCCAATCTCGTGGAGGCCTAGGCTAATGTGTGTGCCTGTGATTTAAGCTAACAAAAGGTTAAAAATAAAAAATAAAAATCTAAATACAAAAAAACATATAGAATAAGGATATAAAGAAAATATTTTTGTATAGCTGTACAATGTTTAAGCTACGTGTCATTAGAAAAGGGTCAAGATGTTAAAAGTAGTTATAAAGTTACAGTAAGCAAAGGTTTGAAGAAAGAAAATTATTGAATAAAGTCTATAGTAGCATATAGTAATGTCCTAGGCCTTCATATTCACTCACCACCCATTCACACCCAGAGCAACTCCCAGTCCTGCAAGCCCCATTCATGGAAACTGCTCTATACAAGTGTACTTTTTTTTTTTTTTTTTGGAGACGGAGTTTCGTTCTTGTTGCCCAAGCTGGAGTGCAATGGCGTGATCTCAGCTCACCGCAAGCTCCACCTCCCAGGTTCAAGCAATTCTCCTGCCTCAGCCTCCTGAGTAGCTGGGATTACAGGCATATGCCACCATGCCCAGCTAATTTTGTATTTTTAGTAGAGACGGGGTTTCTCCATGTTGGTCAGGCTGGTCTCCAACTTCCGACCTCAGATGATCCGCCGCCTCAGCCTCCCAAAGTGCTGGGATTATAGGCATGAGCCACCGCGCCCAGCCAAGTTGTACCTTTTCTAGATTTAGATATGTTTAGATAACAAATACTTACTATTGTGTTACAGTTGTCTACAGTATTCAGTACAGTAAAATGCTGTACAGGTTTGTAACCTAGGAGCAATCGGCTATACCATATAGCCTAGGTGTGCAGTCAGCTATACCATCATGGTTTGTGTAAGTACACACACTCCATAATGTTCACACAATGACAAAATCACCTGGTGACACATTTCTCATAATGTATCCCTACTGTTAAATGATACATGACTGTACTAAGTACAATTTAGGAATATGAATCAGGAAAAGCACCTCTGTGTTTTAAGTGTTAAATGAAATTGTTTTGGGAGTCATTTTTGTGAAATCAGTCTGGAGCCCTTTTCCCTGGTGCTGTTGTCCACATCGGAATACTTCGAGTTAGAAAGGCCTTATCTACAAAAATATGTGTACGTACAAATGTACCCAAAGAAGAGATGGGCTGGGCCACTAGGAGTAACTCAGAACTGGCTTGCCAAGGGTGGCGCAACCTTTGCTATAATCAAGCAGGTGGGAAACCAGGAGACTATGGCTGCAGGTGTTAGCTCCAGCGCCTAGTAATACCTCCCTCCTTTCATTTTCTGTGTCTCTAACCCCTTAGCTCTATTCCGAATTTAAGTCTCCCATGAATGCACCTGACTGGAATCTAAGTCTCATTGGAAATGAGTCTAGAAAGTGTATTTTAGTTTTTTAGTCTTTGCTCTTCTAAGGGAAGATACAGTGAGAGGACTGTGGAACAGACAGTGCAGAGCCAGCTGATTGACTGCATCATCCAAAAGGCATGCCATGTGCCAAGGGTGTGTGCTCACGGGAGAGTGGTCCTCAGGGGATACAGCTTTCTGGAGAAGTGGTATCTACACTGAAAGTGAACCAGGTGATTTTATTGAAAAGTATTACCCCAAGTGAGAGGCTCATTAACGCTCTGCAAAGAAATCACAGTGAGCAGCAGAATGCCATCTACCTGCAGAAGAACCAGACTAATCTGGAGAGGAAATTCGCCTACCAGCTGAGCCAGGGCATCATCAGATGAAAAAGGTGAAAGAGCAGTATGAAGAACCAATAGAAGAAATCACTGAAATAGAAAATTAAGCTGTAGGTCATAGACCTTACTGAAGAAAAGGAAAAACAAAATCCAAAACAAAGCCAATAGCTGAGGCTTCATCCAGGCTTAGCCCAGGCTGTAGGAAGCAGGCCTGCCACAAACGCCCTGAGGGAAAGGAAATGAGCAACCCAAATACCAGACCCTAGTTCTGAGATAGCTTTGGATTTGAAAAGACAGGACAAGAGAAAACCAGTGAGACTCAAGGTGTCAGCTAGAAGCCTCCGAGGAATATCCTGAAGCGGCCTCAAAAGCCAGGATGAGAGCAAAGACAAAACTGTGTGAGGAAGAGGTGTTGGGGAAGGGGAAGGGGAAGGACTTGCCCAAACCCTGAAAGTGTCAGCTACTCTACTGGCGAGCCAGGAAAATTCAGAGGCTGAGGACCCTGAGTGGGACCAGCCTGTCATCAGTGAGGGTGAGGAAGAGCAGGATGTCGAAGAAGAAAGCCCAGGGATGACTACAGCGTGGCTTAAAATAAGGCAGAATCCAAAACAGACAAGGAGGCAGCCCCTGCAGAATAAGGAAACTCTAAATGTCCTTAATGCTGAAGATCAAAAGACAACGTAAGCTTACTTGACAAGTTAGAAATGCAGAATCAGCTTGGTGTGGTGGCTCACGCCTGTAATCTCAGCACTTTGGGAGGCTAAGGTGGGCAGATCAATTGAGGCCCGGAGTTCGAGACCAGTCTGGCCAACATGACGAAACCTTGCAGCTGGGTGTGGTGGTGCACACCTGTAATCCCAGCTAGTGGGGAGACTGAGGCAAGAAAATCGCTTGAACCCGGGAGGCAGAAGTAACAGTGAGCCAAGATTGCACCACTGCACTCCAGCCTGGGTGACAGAGCAAGACTCCCTCTCAAAAAACAAAAAAGAAAAGTTGAATCATACATTTCAGGTCAAGTCTGCACAAAGAGATTACAACAAAATATTTATGTGGAATTGAATACTTCAAACCTGTGAAAAGGACTATGTAAAAGAGACATATCTAAACATTTTTCAAGTACCCAAAGGAGTAAAGAAATTGATTTTTTTAAAAAACTTGTTTATCCCAGCAAGTGGCTCATTGACTATTAGGCCAATGGGGATGCCACCATCAACAACAGCCGTGCCAGGCTCTCCTTACCCCTGAGGTTCATCTGATGAGCTGGTGTGCCACTGGATTCTTCTTTGCTCTTATAACAAGAAATGGATGTGTCTTTGAAGGTGCACCAATATTGTTTGTAACCTTTCAGAGTCAGCTTTTTTGGCCTATGTATCAAAGAGAATTAACAACAAAATCACTTGGAAGTAACTTTATTAACGCTGTATTAGCAAAGTTTCACAATATTAATTTAAGTCTGGGGTCAAGTTTTACACGTGCTGAAATTGATCCCCCTTGGTCAGCGTCTTATTAGTCAGTGCTACTGTTACTGGATGCGAGCCTCCCTTCTCAATCTACTCTAGAAGATCCCACAAACAGCGTTCCGAGGAGAAAGGCAGTAGGGCCTGTGTTCCAGTATTCTGCAGCTGTAGCCATCACATCTATCACTAACTAGCAGGTCACATGGGAAGGGTAGGAAAAGAAAGGTGAAGTAAATGTCAGTAATTGGAAAATTCCTAGATCCTGTAATTACCTGCAGGTTTATGGGTGTCTGCAGGATTGCCTTGGAGCCTCTATAAAGATGCAAATTTACCTGGCAGGACTGAAAGTGGGGGATGTGCTTCTTTCTCCGGGGTAAATTCCAATGGTGACATTAACTTGCCACTCCAATATCAAACACAGAAGGAAGATGACAGAGCAGTCATGAGGATGTGTAAGGAAAGGTGCAGGTAGATGAGAAAGGTGGGTCAAGGGGGAAGGAGAAAGGGTAGGGTAGTGGATCTGAAATCATGCCCTTATCTCAGAAGTTCCATATTTTGAACTGCTGTATGTTCAGCTATGGTAAATGGTTTATTCTAGAGTAGTTTTGTATCTTATATAGTAGAAAATAGTACTTTCCACATCACCTCCTTTTCCTTTTTCTCCTCTCTGCCTTAATGCCGAGCTCTCTTGATTCTGTGGAATATAGCTGGATAGAGTGTTAAAAATCTTGATCAGATATACTAGAACTTTACATAAAATGTTCCATGAACAAATGAACAGAGTTCAATAGAATCTTGCGCTCTGAACGAGGAAATAATCGCTGGCAGTGACACAGTTCATTATGTACTGCTTCCAACTGAGGCCCGGAGGGGCTGTGCCACTGTATTACTATGTTTCAGCATCTGTATGATGCAATCTAGGTTTCACAATCTTTTTTTTTTTTTTTTAAAGAAAAATCTGATAAAAGAATGAGCATTGTGATTTTAATTTTGTAAAAGTGGTTATTTTCTCTCGTGGTAATTTGGTGTTCACCTAACTGGTAAATCCTTTTACAGTAGATGCGTTTGTTAGTCAAACTTAACAGTTAGTTTCAATAATGTGACCATGACTATAAAGCTGACAGTTATTAATATTTGGCATCCCTCCTTTTTGTACTTACTTGAAAACTTTAATGTAGTCAGCAAGTTCAGGAATGGAAGTAATGTCACCCTAGGAGAGAGTTAAATCCTTTTTTAATTTTTTTAATATTTGAAATTCTTTCTAATGTTTGGTATCTGATATCAAGAACTAGCTTACTTAATAAACAGAATGACATAAAATACAATGATAAAGATTTAAACAACAAAATCACATTACATAGTCTTGTGGACCATATTCTTCTTGGTACAAAGGCATTTTCAAATAGCATAAAAGGTTAACAAAATTTTCATCAAAATGGCAATTTATACAACCCATGAGAATATGCTATCTTTAATAGTGCTGAAACTGTTTGTAGGTGCATATAAATCTGTACATTGTAAAAGGCCTGAAGTGTTTCTTCAGCAGTAACTAATCCCTATACTTAAAAACCAAACCCAGTGTTTCACAATTTTCCCGAGATCTATTTTCTTCTTTTTGTAGTATTTCAAATGTGCACATCACTAAGTGGATTTTTACCATGACTTGAGATTATTTTCCTCTGCAGAAATGTCTTCCCACCACTTGTAAAAGAATTTGCAGAGTATTAGAGTATTAGATCTATTCTTACTGTATTGAATGCACTAGAGACTAATACATTATTACTTTAAAAACAAACTTCCCAGTGGTGGCGGGAGCACTGCTTAAGGCCAGGAGTTTGAGATCAGACTAGACAACACAGTGAGACCCCATCTCTTAAAAAAATAAAAAATTAGCCAGGTGTGGTGGTGCATGGTTGTAGTCTCAGCTACTCAGGAGGCTGAGGTAGGAAATGGCTTGAGCCCTGGAGTTTGAGAATGCAGTGACCTATGACGTGTGCCACTGCACTCCAGCCTGGGCAACAGAACGAGACCCTGTCTCAAAATAAACCACTTTGCTCAAAGTTCCTGAAAAATTAACATCTGATTTCTCTCTCTAAAGCATTAAATATTTCTCTCCACCACCCCCAAATACTTTGAACCTAAATCCACAAAATGGAATGCATCAATTCAAGCTAAATTAGTAGGTAAAAAAAAAGATTCACCCTACCAAAATTGTTGACGTTTTACCCCCTTCCAGAGTAATCTCCAGGTCTGAAAGGGCAGCATCAACTTCATCAACTTCTTTGTCACTGTTGTTCAAATGATTCTCTGATGTCATGATTGACAGCTTATTGATATGATACTGAAACCAGAATTATTTTATTAAAATAATTGCTATAACTGTAAAACTCTAAAATGAAATTACTATCTGAATCTATATTTAATGCTTTTCAGGACCTAATTTGAAAAGACAGAAGCGTCTAGGAACTAGAACGATAGGAAATAAATACCTGAAATCAATATCCTAAACCTGCTAATAAATACTTATCCAAAAGAAGTAGGGTCTTTGGACACATACCAATGAATTCATCATTTGCGGGCTCTAAGACTTAAGAGAGTTAACTGGTCCTCAACTGTACTTCACATTAACAGAGATTTTTGACTTTTTTTTTTTTCATTGTAATCTGCCCTGTGTCTATAACAGGGCCTGTTATCAAGAAATATTGAATGAACATACAGAATATGCATAAGGTCTTTTGTAGAAACTGATGAACACTGAATGCTGTACACTGCTCCTATTACCCAGGAGAAAGTCATCATTATTATGTCGAAAGCTAAAACTCCACTTTTTCCCCATCCTTGCTTCATGTTCTGTATTCTCATATCTAAGAATGTTTGTACGTGAGTACGCACATGGACACCCACATATACGTGGGTGGGGTGGGGGCAGAGAGAGAGTAGTGAGTAGTGATGACTACTCATATGTAGACAGGAAAATTTTTGGATACAGAATAGTTACTGATTTTAAATATACTTCAGTAAGTGACTTAGAACAAATATTATGTTAAGCCTTAGGTTTTCTACAAAGGTCAGCAGAACCTTTAAATCTTAATCAATTACCTTTCAAAGCAACAAGTGGCACTCCAAATGTCTAAAGTATTCATTTAATACATTCATTTCATGGGAACATTTAGTGAACTAATCTGAGGCCACTTACCAATGTTCTGTGTTTTAAGATTTAGTGATTGATTGGTAATGAATAGTCTCTGACTACTTCAATTGTGCTGAAATGAGATCTTACAATTGTAGAAATGTCAATGTTCATAAATTATGGGAAATGAGGTAGAGGTTGAGGCCCTCAGGTCCCAAATGTCAGAGTATATTAAGAGTCTGGTGAAGAATTGGTCAAAAATACAGATCCTTAGGTTTACTCCAGAGATCCTGATTCAGGAAGTCTGGGGTCCAGCCTGGAATCTGCATTTTTACTCACTGCTCTGGGTAATTCTGATGCAAAATGTCTTTATGAGTCATACCGGAGAAATCCTGGCTGTGAATGGGACTTAAAAAATCCAGCTTTGCTTTCAAAAGTGCAAGGGATATCTTAAATTTCTTAATACATACTCTGACTTAAATGCTTTAAAAACAATGTTACTAATTCATCTACTTTACTTTTTATCCCCACCTTCTTGTTTTGTATTATTCTGCTTCTTTTTACTATTGTAAATTTACTTTACACAAGGATCCAGATGTCCCAAGGAGAGTATACTTCGGAGTATAGGTTCTCTCTGAAAGAAAAAATTCTAGGCATCTCCTCCTCACCATACTTTCACAGTTTCCTTATTCTGGTACTAGTTGGCTTCCTACAACCTTAGGGTCAGTCTCTGAGAAAGCCTCCAACAACTCAAATCTGTATGTCAAAATACTCTCATTATATCTAGATTCTAAAATGGTCTTGGAGGGCTATGGTTTGAGACCATTCCATTTCCATGAATTAAAACCTGTGGTCTCTGAGGTGTTCCTTCTGTAGTGATATGGAATGCCCAAGATACACTCGGGGAGGTGGGCTGCAGAATCATGCCATTCCTGTGAGAACACAACTGTGTGTACTCTCATTTTACAAACACGTTTTGAGCACCTACTATGTGCCAGGCATATAATAGGCATCTGTTGGTTTTAAAAACAATAACCATAAACATGTACTATTTTTTAATACAAAAATAAAGCAACAGTATAAAATCTGTGGTCTTTCACACATATTTTACAGGTATTATTATTCTATCATTGGCAAAACCTCCACTAGAAAATCATAAGCCTGTATCAAAGTGAGGAGGATGCAGGAAGAAAGCCATAACCACGTGAGGGGACTCCCAACAAACTGCTCCAGAATTTAATTCAAGAAATTCACCAGAGAGTCAGAATTATCTGGAAACACAATACGGGATCCTAACTGGCTCATTAATCAAGTTCCTAGAAAATAACTGATTAATCCATCTGTCACCTGGGATTTATTTTCCTTGTCTATGCTTCTTTGCCACTCCTTTCATTATGTAAAACTAAGGTGAAAATTAGCTGTTCTTGCTTTTTTTTTTTTTTTTTTTTTTTTGCTAACCTCACTCCCCATTCTTGCTTTCTAATGTCAACTTTTTGGGTCACAACTGAAAACTTTTCTGGATGCATAAAGGAGGCATTTGGAAGACTGAGAGCATTTTTGTTTGTGTTCTAAGGAAAAACAAAATCCCTTCTACAGTGAAAAGTTCTTCAACTGAATGTCAACTCTGCTTCCTGTACTTCTGTTATTTATAGAACACCAACTTCATCAGGACTTTAGGCTGAACCTAGAATCCCGTCATAACTGGGAATACTTGCCAAAGCATTACTCGGGTATCTGAAATTTAAGAAAGATGAATTAATTTGGTCATCAGACCTCAGTATCTGTAAGAATGTGGATGTGTGGATGCCACCTTAAAGTTATTCATGAAGTGGATAATTAATTTTTAAATAAGCTCCCCTATAATTCTGAAGGAGGTGGTATGTAAGAACCACATATGAAAAAACTGGTTTAATCTAAGGACAATGTTAGCTATCTACTTAAGGATTATCATTGTAGAAAAAGGTTTGGTTCCACTAGTCTCTCTAAATCTTATCACCTAAAAGCATCGCTTTGCTACAGCCCATTTTATAGTGTGTTGTATCATCCCTGGCTATTTATGAAATTATACAGGTAAGCTTCAGATTAGATTTCAGAAATCTGATTTTTAATAAATATTTTCTTTCCAAGGAAAAACTGAGGAGCTTTGAGCAGATTTATATTTGGGGGTGAGAGGATAATTTTTTTCCTACAAAATAGGATAATTTTTTTCCTACAAAATAGAGAAAAGTACTTAAGTATACCACTGAACTCTTGGAAAAGATAAAAAATCAAACTAAAATGTATTTGTTTTGCTTTCCTAAGTGTCTACTCACTTTCTTCATGGCAAAAATTCTGTCTCGTGAAATGTTACTGGAATTACTATTCCACTTTACTGTTTAAAAATACCTCCCTACCCTTTACCGGAATAAGTCCCATTTACTAGACCTTTCAACTACCTGCAGGGCTGCAAACATCATCATTTCTTCTTCTGTGCATTCAATCTCTTCCAGGAGAATGGCCCATTTGGCCTGCTCGTAAAGCTGATTGATTCTGATTGCATCATACTGCAACAAGAGAAATAGTTCTTTTGTAATATATAACCTTTACCATTGAAAAATTTCAAACTCTGAATATTCAATTGACAAGAAAAATTTAATGCTTTTTTTCCTGGGATCTTAATTTACAAGCAAGAATTTTTATTTACAATCAAGTATTATTAGAAGGATACCTATGGGGTCAGACATGCCTATATATGCCCACATCTAATTTTCCATTAAAAATGACATTAAAATATGACAGAGAATAATTGATTGTACAGTATTAAAAAGTAGATTCTGTATGTTATTTTTCAGGGAAATAACCACTAGACATTATAGCCTTTAACATAAGAAATCTAATTTGATGACATTAAAGTAAGGCGGAACTACCGATTATTTTTCAGTGTTATTACTGCAACTTGCCATACAAACATGTAATCAGAAAGCAAATTATTCTGGGGAACATTTTGTTCACTGTGGAGAAGCATACCCAGATAAAGTGGCAAGTCCTTGGAAACGGCAGTTATTTTAAGTATGCAAAATACAGGGCAAATATACTTGTGGAAAATGTTTACTTATATGTTATTCAATTATCCATTTAATTATATAAATAAAAGTCAATAGTAATGCCTTAAGAATACTGCAGATTGAGTATCCCTTATCCAGAATGCTTGAGACCTTCTGTGTTGAATTTAGAATTTTTATAGATGATGGAATATTCCATTATACCAGTTGAGTGTCCCTAACATAAAAATCCAAAATGAGCATATCCTTTCAGCATCATGTCAGCCCTCAAAAGTCTTAGCTTTTGGAGCATTCTACATTTTCAAATTAGGAATGCTCAACATGTATTTTAGAACGTTGACAAAATACATCTCCATTCCCCTCACAAATGTAACTATTCCCAAAGTAGCTTTGGCTTTACTAAAAGTAGGTATGATGTGGCCTGAAAATGAATTAAAATTATTTTCTATAATTTTATTATAGAGATTTTACTGTTGTATAAAGAATTACTTAAGCATATAATAAAAGAATGTAAACATAACATTAAAATCTAGACTATACTCTAAACATGAAAAGGATGAGAGGGTAGCCAAGAGAGGTTTCTTTCCCCAGGCTGAAAGAGAAGTAAAAGATTCAAACCTCTGTGCCAAGTGTTTTCTACGGGGGAAAAAAGCTCCAGATATTTATGGTAAAGTTAAATCTTACCAGAAAAGTGAAGTACTATGGTAGCAGAGATAATACCAATCATAGTAAAGACAAGTAACAGTGTTTGTCTGTTACAGAGGAAAAAAATGTAGACCTAAGAAAAATTTGGCTGAGCATGGTGGCTCAGGCCGGTAATCCCAGCACTTTGGGAGGCTGAGGCAGGAGGATGGCTTCAGCCCAGGAGTTTTGAGACCAGCTTGGGTGAAATAGTGAGACTCTGTCTCTACAGAAAATAAGAAAGCCAGGTGTGGCTGGGTGAGCCTGTAGTCCCAGCTACTTGGGAGGCGACGTGGGAGAATGGCTTGAGTCCAGGACTTTGAGGTTACAGTGAGCCATGATCATACCACTGCATTCCAGCCTGGAGGACAGAGTGAGACCCTGTCTCAAGAAAAAAACGTTTTTTTGAAGCAACATCTTTTGGCACGTAATTAGTAATCTAAAAGTAATTGAAAAGGTAACCTTTTTGAAACTTTTATTTAAATATAGTTGAAGAGAGGTCTTATATTTTAAAAATGAACTTTGCCAATTCTTTTTTTTGTTTGTTTGAGATGGAGTCTTGCCCTGTTGCCCAGGCCGGAATGCAGTGGCATGATCTCGGCTCACTGCAAGCTCCGTCTTCCAGGTTCAAGTGATTCTCCTGCCTCAGCCTTCCAAGTAGCTGGCATTACCAGCGTGTGCCACCATGCGTGGCTAGTTTTTGTATTTTTAGTAGAGACGGGGTTTCACCATGTTGGCCAGGCTGGTCTTGAATTCCTGACCATGTGATCCGCCCACCTTGGGTTCTCAAAGTGCTGAGATTACAGGCGTTGAGCCACTGCACCCGGCCTAAACTTTGCCAGTTCTATAGTACCAAAAGAGTACCTTTAAAATACAAATCATGACACTCTAAGAGCTTAGAGATTAAAAAAAAGATAAAACCAAATCAGCCAAAAGTTTCATTATCTTAATAACAACAATAAAAAGGTTTAGTTATGCTTCCAACCTACTAAAATAGACTTATTTAAAATACAAATACCTTTGCCTAAAAGTTTGGGTTTTTAATAATTATTCAAGATTTCCTATATACAAATAATTCCTTATTCCACCGACTTCCAAAAACAAACATCCATGTGAACAAAACAAATTAATGGGGAAAAAAAAAAGATCCCTTTAAACCCTCGGTACCTTTGGATTCAAATCAAAAAAGCTGTAATACTTGAATCGGAGCAGCAAGGCCTCATTTTCCTTCACATCTTGTTCCATGAGAGATCTTGAGGAATCAAGCCATCTGGACAAATTAAGAACAGTGGAACAAAACAACACAGAATGAAGACAATATTTCTACCTCTAGCTGGATGAAGAAATTCAATTTTATCTATATCTTAAAACTTACCCTTGGTTGATTTTTGCTTTATCAAGAAGAGCTTGAGGCTTGAACATTTTTGCCAAGATTTCTGGTGACGTGATTGGTTGACTGACAGCAAGTATACCAGGATTGCCTTCTGACAAAGCACTGTCACCAAACCAAGCAGAAGTTGGTGACAAGGGGCTTCCATCATGAGCATCATAAGTGGGGGTCATTGTTTTACTATACAGTCCTGGGCTTGAATATATACTTCCTAATAAGTAACATGAAAAACAGGTAGTAAGTATGCAGTACAGCATCTTATTTTTCAATAATAACACATATTATGATATAAAGCACATTGTGAAACAAAAGTTTTATTCTGAAAGGAAAGCTTAGTATATTATTTTACCTGTTATGAAAACATGTGTAATTAATTCTCCTTGTATAACATTAAAACACGTAATAAAGCCTTAAGAATATAATTAAGTTGGCAGAAATTCTGGGGAAAAAAAATCAGTTCAAGAGAATTAGAAAATAAGGATATAGCTGAAGCAGACAGACCAACACTTTTTGTCTTTAAATTGTGGCAAGGCTCACCTTTCAGAGGGCCAATGTAAAGAACATCAGTGCCTATAGGAAAGGAAAGAAAGGAATTCAGAAGGTAAAGGAAAGGCCACAACAGAGGACAGAAACAAAAGAATGAAAAGAAAATGAGAAAAAGAAAAAACAGATTTTCCCTAATTGTGAATCATAAACTGAAGTACACATTTCAAGTGGATTTCAGAGTAAAGAACCTTAGAAGCTACAACCTAAGTAAAACGGTTTTTTTTGTTCAATTTAAAAGAATGAAGTTGTGCTGTAGTCAAGTATATAGTGACAAATATGTCTACAACTTTTACCACCATTTGAAATCCATACAATTTGAAGGTAACACAATAGAACTGAATTCATATAGATTAAGAATAATTTTATAGTAAAGTCTTCTCAGTGAATAAACAGGTTTCAACAATTTTACAAATAAAGTTTTTTTTAATTTTTAAGTTCTGGGGTACAACAAATAAAGTATTAATGTAAAAGGGGAGATAAAAGTCTGCCCTAGAAAGAGTCTAAACAGAGATATATTTAATAGTCAAATCTCAAAAGGAAGGGATATTGCCTTATTTATCTTCTGATTTCTTAGTATTAGGGCTAGACATATAGTAGAGGTTACGTAAATAACAATTTGTTACATTAGTCAACAGATGGTATGTGCTCCTTTATTTAAACTACAAAAATTAAGGAGATGAATTTAAGGCATCTAAAAATGTTCAGAATGACATTAAGGACAAGCAGCTCCCCCAAGTCCTAGCTCTGTTAAATTATATTTTGTCCTGTTGTCATAATTTTTCAAAAGAAAATGTGCAATGGGCATAACACTGTTAATGTAAAGAAAATGGCTTTTCCATTCCCTAAATTTAGGGTTAAGCTTAGAAATCCATCTCCTTTCCTACTATTTTTAACTCTTCTCCCCATGCAATGATAGAAACACTGCCTGTGAAAAAGTGGTGCTAATGCTAGAGATTTTTGTAGCTGTCATGACCTAGTCTAGGAAGCAAAGTTAAAAAAAAAAAGTTTTTACTGAAAATATGTAATCTCTTGCTGGACACAGGATATTTGATTTTATGTCCCTGACATGTGTTCTTCCAATGTTAGTACTAAAAAAAACCTGTAAAATCTAGGCCAGGTGTGGTGGCTCACTCCTGTAATCTCAGCACTTTGGGAGGCTGAGGCGGTTGAATCACTTGAGGTCAGGAATTCGAGATCAGCCTGGCCAACATGGAGAAACCCTGTCTCTACTAAAAACACAAAAATTTGCCAGGAGTGGTGGTGCACGCTATTCGGGAGGCGAAGGCTGCAGTGAGCCAAGATTGCATCAATGCACTCCAGTCTAGGCAACAAAGCAAGACTCTATCTCAAACAAACAAACAAACAAACAAACAAAAAACCCTCTAAAATCCGAACACTGTTAATCCTAAAACACAAAGCAAAGTTGTGAACTCTTTATCAGCATTTAAAGAATACTGGGATCGTTAGTCCTGGGGCTTTAAAAGCTAGATCCTTAAACTAGACAGGTATTTTTCAAACTTAAAATTGTGTGACACCTTTTGAAAGGACTAATTGGGCACCCCACACTTATTAAATGTGCTGAACACATTACTCCAACTCAGTTGGGCAAAGGGTATTTCTGCTACAGAGTGTGCATGTAGATAAAGTGTGAAAAAACATTAACTTCTAGGCAAAGTCTTGTTTCTTTCAAAGATCTATTAAATAAATCTGTTACGAAGAATGTCAGTATACTGAAAATGTGCACCTGGTGAGATTATAATTTCTATCCAAAACTGAGTCAAGTTAGAATGGACAATTTGCTTTATAAAGTTTCTAATATAGAAAAGATACTCCCCCTAAATCACTGATATGGTTTGGATCAGTGTCCCTGCCCAAATCGCATGTCTAATTGTAATCCCCAATGTTGGAGGAGGGGCCTGGTGGGAGGTGACTGAATCACAGGGGTGGAGTTCTCATAATGGTTTTGCACCATCCCCGCTTGGTACTGTATAGTCAGTGACTTCTCATGAGATCTGGTTGTTTAAAGTGTGTGGCACCTCCCCACTCCCACCCCTACCTCCTGTTCCAGCCACGTGAAGTGCTGGCTCCTCCTCCGCCTTCCGCTGTAATTGTAAGTTTCCTGAGGCCTCCCCAGGAGCTGATGCCACCATGCTTCCTGGACAGCCTGCAGAACTGTGAGCCAATTAAACCTCTTTTCTCCTAAGTTACCAAGTCTCAGGTATTTCCTTATAGCAATTCAAGAATGAACAAATACAATCACACATTTAATAGAATCAGCCACCCACCCAAATCTGCGTTTCAACTTCCTATAGTTTGTATCTTCTTCAATTCATACTTAATCACTTCGTTGTTCTTATTTGTTCTGTAGGCACTATGTGATAATAAACTCACTTAGCGTTCACAACAACTCTATTATTCTCACTTCAGAGGAGCAAACTGAGGCAAAGCAAGGTTAAATAACTTGTCCAAGGTCAAGAGCAAGTAAGCTGCAGCCAAGCTATAAATCGGCCAGTCTGGGCAGGCGCGGTGGCTCAAGCCTGTAATCCCAGCACTTTGGGAAGCCAAGGTGGGCAGACTGCCTGAGGTCAGGAGTTCGAGACCAGCCTGGCCAACATGGTGAAACCCCGCCTCTACTAAAAATACAAAAAATTAGCCAGGCATGGTGGCAGCCTGCCTGTAATCCCAGCTACTTGGGAGGCTGAGGCAGGAGAATCACTTGAACCCGGGAGGCGGAGTTTGCAGTGAGAGACTGCACCATTGCACTCCAGCCTGGGTGACAAGAGCGAAACTCCGTCTCAAAAACAACAAACAAAAAAACCCCAGCCAGTCTGGCTGTAGGGCTACACACTGCCTCCATGTACTATAACTTACGTAAGCCATTCCCAATTGGTGTGCACCTATTTTTTAAAATTCTGTTACTGTAAGGTGGCTCATGCCTGTAATCCCAGCACTTTGGGAGGCCGAGGCAGGCAGATCACCTGAGGTCAGGAGTTCAAGACCAGCCTGGCCAACATGGTGAAACTCTGTCTCCACTAAAAATATAAAAAATAAGCTGGGTGTGGTGGTGCACGCCTATAGTCCCAGCTACTTGGGAGGCTGAGACAGGAGAATCGCTTGAACCGAGGAGGTGGAGGTTGCAGTGAGCAGAGATTGTGCCACTGCAGTCCAGCCTGGGTGACAGAATGAGACTGTGTTTCGAAAAATAAAAATAAAAAAATAAAATTCTGGCCAGGTGCGGTGGCTCATGCCTGTAATGCCCGCACTTTGAGAGGCCAAGGCGGGTGGATCACCTGAGGTTAGGAGTTTGAGACCAGCCTAGCCAACATGGTGAAACCCCGTCTCTACTAAAAATACAAAAATTAGCCAGGCATGGTGGCATGCTCCTGTAGTTCCAGCTACTCAGGAGGCTGAGGCAGGAGAATCGCTTGAACCCAGAAGGCAGAGGTTGCAGTGAGCCAAGATCACACCACTACACTCCAGCCTGGGTAACAGGGCGAGACTTAGTCTCAAAAAAAAAAAAAAAAAAAAAAAAAAATCTGTTACTAATGTCATTATTGCAAACCAATGCTTCAACAAACATTTTTGTAGTTATTTCCCAATTCTAGCAGCACTGCTGGGTCAGAGGGTATGGGTATTTTAAATTCCTTCATCGTGGTTCAGAGACAATCCCAACTAAGTTGTTTTCTTGAATGTCTGGTTTAAAATGCATCTGAGGCAGCAAACTAGTAAAGTGTAAGATAAAGTAGCAGATTTAGCAACAAAATATGAGCTTACTAAATGACATGGAAAGATAACTTAAAAACTCTAAGGGGGAGAAATAGAGTTCAAAAAGCACTACAGTCTGAGTCCACCTACTGTAGATATTTAAAACCCGATATAATCAAACAACTCCTAAATATTGCTATATTTTAACACAGTAAAATTTACCTAACTTATTATAAATTGTATATTTTTTAAAAAGAGTACTAAAGTAATACATTTTAAAAAATTTTCACCAAAATACCTATCTTATACCATATTTTATCAAAAGAATTTTTATGGTATTATTTTTATATTTTTGGAGAAAATTTTCCCAAGCAAGAGTAAACCTAGAACTATAAAGTAAATGGCTAACAGATATAAGACCACATAAAAATGTAAAACAATATGGTTTTAAAAAAAAAAGGCCACAAACAAAATGCCAGTATATAAAGGGAAGTAACACATTAAAATTTTAATATCACTAAAAGCAAAAATATAAATAAAATAAAGAATCTATCATTTGAAAATTAATAGAATATAAATGGCTAATAAACATATAAATTATTCAACTATCCTAGTATTAGGGAAATGCAAAATAACCGAGATACTACTTATTGTCAAACTGGCAAAAACACAGATTTACAACATTCAATATTGAGCAGAATGTAGGAAATGGGGCATTTTCATGTACTACTGATGGAAGTATAAACCACAGAAACTCTTGGGGGGGAGAGAGAGAGAGAGAGACAGACAGAGTGTGTGTGATATAATGTATAGATATATATGTATCTACACATACATGTATTTTTTTAGAGACAGGGTCTTGCTCTGTTGCCCAGGCTGGAATGCAGCAGTGTGACCACCCAGGTTGAACTCCTGGGCTCAGGAGATCCTCCTGTCTCAGCCTCCCAAGTAGCTAGGACTACAGGTGTACACCACAACGCCCAGCTCTGGGATATATGTGACAGAAAAATTAGATACCACCTAGGTAGAAAAACAGGTAAATATACTTTTTCTATAGGTAAAACTCTGAAGTCATTTATAAGAACTAGGGAGACTTCTCTGCTTTGACACAAATCACTAAAACACTGATCACCAAAAATCAAATTGCAGAGCATAAAATATATATTAGGATCTCATTTATGTTATTAAAATAAGACTAGATGTGCAAATTTTATACCCACTTGTGCATATAAACACACAGAAACGGTACTGTCAAGTTGGACTCCAAACTTACAACCTCGTTATA
This sequence comes from Homo sapiens, assembly GCF_000001405.40. Taxonomy (NCBI): domain Eukaryota; kingdom Metazoa; phylum Chordata; class Mammalia; order Primates; family Hominidae; genus Homo; species Homo sapiens. Next base: position 52,886,795 of record NC_000014.9, read on the forward strand.
TGTAGTAATCAAGAAATGGCTCCCTCTTGAGAAGGAGTAGCCAGGGAATAAGTTTAAAAGGAACTCACCTTAATTTTAATACATTTTTTATATTACTTGAGTTTATGATAAAGAGACTGTATTCATGTATAAATTTTGTAATTAAAAAATATATGAGGTCCATCAGTATGTATCATCAAGTGAGAAAACACAATGTGTGTATAACACAGTCCCACTTTTGTTAGAAAAAAAATGAATATGTAATCCTGTAATATTTGAATATTTACTATAAGCATGTGATACTTTTGTACTTAAAAGAATAGTTTTAAAAAATGTTTTGAGGCTAGGTGCAGTGATCCCAGCACTTTTTTTTTTTTTTTGAGATGGAGTCTCGCTCTGTCGCCCAGGCTGGAGTGCAATGGTGCGATCTTGGCTCACTGCAACCTCCCCACCTCCCGGGTTCAAGTGATTCTCCTGCCTCAGCCTCCCTAGTAGCTATCCCAGCACTTCTGAGAGACCAAGGCAGGAGGATTGCTTGAGACCAGCCTGGGAAACATGGCAAAACCTCATCTCTACAAAAAATACAAAAATTAGCTGGCCATGCTGGCATCTGCCTGAAGTCCCAACTACTTGGGAGGCGGAGGGAGGAGGATCACTTGAGCCCAGAAGTCTGAGACCAGACTGGGTAACATAGCAAGACCCTGTCCCTTAAAAAAAAAAGAAAGAAAAAATTTAGCAAACATTCCTATTATAATTCATAAAATAAACATTATGGCCAGGCATGGTAGCTCATGCCCATAATCTAGCACTTTGGGAGGCTGAGGTGAAAGGATTACTTGAGGCCAAGAGTTGATGACCAGCCTGGGCAACACAGAGAGACCCTGTCTCTTAAAAAAAAAAGAATTGGTTACTTAATGGTTAGAAGCATGAGCACCGGAGCCTGGATGTGAATTCTAGCTCTGCTCCTTATTACCTTTGTGACCTTGGGAAAATTACTTAACTAAGTAACGAAAATTACTTAACTAAAGTTAACTAAAATTACTTAACTTTAGTTAAAAAAAGTTAAACTTTATTTAACTAAAAGGTTAAATAAAATTACTTAACCTTGGGAAAATAACTCCACTTAACCCTTGTGGAGTTATTTCCTCAGAAGTAAAATGAAGACATCACCAAAACTGCTGGTATTTTGTGGCGATTAAGTGAAAGATTATGTATTCAATAATACTTATAACTTATTTACTATGTATGTAATTGTTGACCATGGAGGAGGAAAAACCTGACATTATATACGTTTATTTCTATGTGGCTAAATTTTCTCCTAGAATATAAATTCATATATTTATTTTGTTTATATCAACAATATACACTACTCTCCAACCATTAAAAATCAGAGACAACCAAGAGGAAAAAAACAAACCATAAGGCTTATTTGTGATTTTGGTTTGCAACCCACTTTCCTACCAAACGAAAGTATTTTTAAAATACGGATTAGTATTCGTATTAGATGTGACTTATAAAAGGAAAAGTATTAGTGGGTTGCTCAATCTAAATTACTATGTCTTAATCAAGGCAGCCCAGCTTAAGAATTCAGTGAAAAGACTGATGCTAACTCAATCACGATTATTCATTAGCTTAAGTTATATACTAACCAGCTTTCCTACAATTTGTCATTATCACCAAGCTGAAGGGAAGAGAAGCAAAATTTAGTAAGTTCTGGAACTATTACAAAATTATCCAATGCTTCCAATTCTACCAGTAGCTTCTTGTCTTTTTGTTTTGTAAGATCTAAGCTGATAATTTTATTTTTCATACTCACAGGGTTTGCTTCTAGCCATTTCCGTATGATGTAAAAATTTTAAGATTTCCTGCTTCCTGGACTAGCATACTCTCAAGAATTTCTATGCATACCGGTCTTCACCTATGGTTTCCAGGCAACAAAACCTCCTCAGCTTCCCAAATTCTAACTCTCTAAGACTTATAGAAACATTCAGCGTTATCGCTTCTAATATTGATATGGGATGACTCTGATTGCCACTACTCATGTAGAGTACAGTATAAGGATTTGTTGGAGAATTTAAATTTTAATTAATTTTTTTTTTCTTTAAGGTAAACAAGGCTACAAAAATTAAGTAAAAGCTAGGTTGTGGCATCTCTGGCCACTGACGTATTTGCTAAAATTATGGGTCTGTGTGTACTCATGAGGGACAGAAGGGAGAAGGAGACGGGTGTGTGCACAGTGCAATGGTGAAAGCTCTAGCTTGGAAGCGGGATGAGCCTGGGCTTACAGCTCAGCTCTACCAGTTACCAGGGATTAGCTCCCAGGCAAGTGATTTAGCCACTCTGGGTTTCTCTTCTCATGCTACCAATTTTTCAGAATTGCTCAATTAATTAATATATTTTACTGTGTGGATTAAATATATTACATGTAGTGTTTTGGACAAGAAGTTGCTCAATAAATGTGGTTGTCAGTAATAGCAACGTTTTAATAAAAACATTGGTTTTCTTTCTGAAAAGGATCTCTTACAAATAAAGAGGCCACAAATGTCCCTTAGGACATTCAAAGCTGTCCAAAGGTCTAGCCTCTGAAAGGAAAGAACTGAGGAATAGTACACAGACCAGAAATAAAAGCAGCTGCAGTCTGGGTGAAAAGGGAACTGGGTGAAAAAGAACAAGGGAAGCCAAGATTGGGGAGTGTAAGAATTGGTAAGGATGCTCTGCTTGGGCACAAGCTAGCCAAAAACTGGGCAGCACAGGAACAGCCCAATGATGCAATGACAAAGGTGCAAGTTAGTACAGTCATGCACCTACTAACAATAGGGATAAGTTCTGAGAAATGTGTCGTTAAGGGATTTCACTGTTGTATGAACATCATAGAGTGTACTCATACAGGCCTGGATGGTATAGCCTTCTACACACCTAGGCTATACGGATGGTATAGTCTATTGCTCCCAGGCTACAAACCTGTACAGCATGTTACTGTACTGAATGCTGCAGGCAACTGTAACACAATGGTAAGTATCTGTATCTGTGTATCTAAACATCTCTAAACATAGAAAAGGTAGAGTGAAAATACAGGGCCAGGTGTTGGCTCATGCTTGTAATCGCAACACTTTGGGAGGCCAAGGTGGGTGGATCACTTGAGACCAGGAGTTCAAGACCAGTCTGGCCAACATGGTGAAACCCCATTTCTACTAAAAATACAAAAATTAGCCAAGTATGGTGGTGTGCGCCTATAGTCTCAGCTACTCAGGAGGCCGAGGCAGGAGAATTGCCTGTATCTTGGCTGCAGAGAGCCAAGATTGCTCCACTGCACTCCAGCCTGGGTGACACAGTGAGACTGTGTCTCAAAAAAAAAAAAAAATACATAAAATAAAGAAGGCTGGGTGCGGTGGCTCACGCCTGTAATCCCAGCACTTTGGGAGGCCGAGGCAGGTGGATCGATCATGAGGTCAGGAGGTGAGGAGTTCGAGACCAGCCTGACCAACATGGTGAAACCCCATCTCTACTAAAAATACAAAAAATTAGCCGGGTGTGGTGATGCACGCCTGTAATCCCAGCTACTCAGGAGGCTGAGGCAGGAGAATCGCTTGAACCCAGGAGGCGGAGGTTGCAGTGAGCCGAGATCGCAGCCACTGCACTCCGGCCTGGGCGACAGAGTGACACTCCGTCTGAAAAAAAAAAAAAAGAAAAGAAAAAAAAGAAGACAGTATTTTAATCTTATGGGACTACAGTCATATATGTGATCTGTTATTGACCAAAACATCACTATGCAGCACATGACTATATATATTTCTTACTATGTCACAATATTACATAGACATAATCTTTTATCCTCTTTTTTTTTTTTTGAGACAGAGTCTTGCTCTGTCGCCCAGACTGGAATGCAGTGGCACAATCTCGGCTCACTGCAACCTCCGCCTCCCAGGTTCAAGCGATTCTCCTGCCTCAGCCTCCAGAGTAGCTGGGATTACAGGTACCCACCACCACGCCTGGCTAATTTTGTATTTTTAGTAGAAATGGGGTTTCACCATGTTGGTCAGGCTGGTCTCGAACTCCTGACCTCAGGTGATCCACCCACCTCAGCCTCCCAAAAGTGCTGGGATTATAGGCGTAAGCCACCCGCGCCTGGCCCCTTTTATTCTCTTTTACCTCTTCCTCAACCTACAGGCTTCCACCAGTATCGGCAACCCTTCCCCATATTCCCTCCTGTACAAATTACTGACTGGAAGTAAATTTGATACTCTTTCTACAATAATGATTTGATAATTTTGTAAAATATTCAGAAACCAATGGTTCTACAATGCCCTAGTCTAAATTCCATCGTCTGTTGTTAAATATGTTCCAATGTTATCCTGAAGGAGCTCGGAGGTCTCTTCCCCCATAAACTGGCTCAACTCATTTATTCACATCTTGTATTTTTGCAAGGATGTTCTTTGTTAGTATCATTCTTTCTGCTTGGACTGCCTTTTCCCATCAAAAACCTAGCCACTGGAACTTAAAAGCTGAATTCACAAACTTTGTTTGGAATTGTTTTCTGAATTTCAAAAACACTATCTTCTATAAAAGTCATTTAACATTTATATATTACCTCCTTAAGTATAGTAACTGTTTTTCCACTAACCTATAAACTACTTAAGAGTAAGGATTGTCTTACTTCTTTGTATCTTTCAAAATGCAATCAGTACATAAAACAGAAAAGTTAGAAGGCTTGTGACCTTAGAAGACTTTTTACTGTGCCATAATTTCTTATCCTTATCCTCAAAATGTGGGTATTAACAATATCTACTGCAAAGAGCTGTAGTGAGAATTACATGGGTTTCCATGGGTAAAGTGCATGAAATAGTGGTGGGCACTGCACAGTAAGTGCTCTGTGAGTGCTGCTTTCATTATTAGTATCATCATCATCTCAGAATTTAAAAAACCAGAATGAACTAAATTAGTAAGATTAATTTAGATATTTGCTGAGGGGACCCATCCTAAGTAATGGATTTATACATTTGTGGCTGATGGAAATGTAGGAAACTGCAATGTTCAGTCCAGGTATATGCCCACGATTAAAGAACAATATAACCTAATTAATTAGCCACTTAGCTTCCCAACAGACATCACCTGCATGCCTGCTGAATGCCATATGCTGAGTTAGGTTCTGGTGACAAAAAGGTGACATAGCCCCTTCATGCAGTGAGCTCACATTAGCAAGGAAGAACACACAGTATAACAATACCAAACACAGAAAAGTCTGCTGACTCATGACAGAAAGATGCCTAATTCAGATTGGAAAAGTAATGAAAGGGAATCTAAGAAAGCTCCTCAAAGGAGCAAAACCTTTAAGGAAAAAAGGTAGGAAGGCCCGGAAACCAGAATATGCAAAGCAGAGAGAAGGCTGTTTTTTGTTTTTTTTTTTTTTTTTTTTTGAGACGGAGTTGTCACCCAGGTTGGCTCACTGCAACCTCCGCCTCCTGGGTTCAAGCAATTCTCCTGCCTCAGCCTCCCAAGTAGCTGAGATTACAGGTGCCTGTCACCACGCCCAGCTAATTTTTGTATTTTTAGTCAAGATGGGGTTTCACCACGTTGGCCAGGCTGGTCTCAAATACCTGACCTCAGGTGATCTGCCTGCCTTGGCCTCCCAAAGTGCTGGGATTACAGGTGTGAGCCACAGTACCCCGCCTGGTGCTGTTTTTTGTTTTTTTTTTTTTTTGAGATGGAGTTTTGCTCTTCTTGCCCAAGTTGGAGTGTGGTGGCACGATCTCAGCTCACTGCAACTCCCACCTCTTGGGTTCAGGTGATTCTCCTGCCTCACTCTCCCAAGTAGATGGGACTACAGGCACGTGCCACCACGTCCAGCTAATTTTTTTTGGTATTTTTAGTAGAGACAGGGTTTCACTGTGTTAGCCAGGATGGTCTCGCTCTCTGACCTCGTGATCCACCTGCCTTGGCTTCCCAAAGTGCTGGGATTACAGGCGTGAGCCACCGCGCCTGGCCTTAAGTAAGGTTTTAAGGAATAATGCATTAACCAAATAGTGGTGGTTTTCATGAACTAGATACTAAAAAAATTTCCAATTTCTGCCTGAGTCCAATTATGATACTATTCCTTTTTGACTCTCTGAACAAGAGAACTGGGCTTCCTCTTTATTGATTCAACTATTAACACCTGACATGATGATTTGCACATGAGAGAAACTGACACTGGATAGTGATTTCAGGACAGAGAAAAATGCTGAAGGAGAGTTTATGTTTTTTTTGAGACGGAGTCTCACTCTGTCACCCAGGCTGGAGTGCAGTGGCACGATCTTGGCTCACTGCAACTCTGCCTCCCGGGTTCAAGCGATTCTTCTGCCTCAGCCTCCCAAGTAGCTGGGACTACAGGTGTGTGCCACCATGCCTGGCTAATTGAAGTTTTTGTTTTTTTAACTTGACCACTCTTCCTGACCTACATGATCCATTTACCCACCACCAGAAAGACAAAGGTACACAGTCCACAGTTCTTACTTTGAGTCCATTGCTTGGTAAAAGTCTTACCTGATCCAGGAGTGATAAGAGGCCCCTCTAATTCAAGTGCCTCATCTTCAGACTGGTCATCTAGCTTCTTCTTTTTTTTCTTTGTTGGATCTCTGGGTTTCTTTAAGAGAGAAAGTTCTTCGGGGTGTCTGATATCTGTTAATAAAATAGATTGTTTTACTAGAACAAAGGAAAATTTAAACATTTTACACTTAGTAAATCTATTGTTTCAAGATAAGAATGTGTAACTTCCTTCTGTATGTCTGAGTTGTGTCAGACATTGATGTCATGCAAAACACTGATTATGACACTTAAACTACCCAAAGCATTCTTAATTCGTAACTATATAATAAATGTAATGACCTCAAAGTGGAAATAACAATCTACTAGGGTACGGAAAGAAAATATTAGAAGCCCTTATTTATATATTTATTTTTTATCTAAAACTGGAAGAAAAATTGAGTTTATATGTCCTTCACTCATTCTGTATGTCATAAGGTACACGTGATAAATGAAGTAAATGTAATGATACTTTTAAATCATTACCAAATCCCAGTTTTGTTTTTTTTTTTTTGAGACGGAGTTTCACTCTTGTTACCCAGGCTGGAGTGCAATTGAGCAATCTCGGCTCGCCACAACCTCCACCTCCCAGGTTCAAGTGATTCTCCTGCCTCAGCCTCCTGAACAGCTGGGGTTACAGGCATGTGCCACCACGCCTGGCTAATTTTGTATTTTTAATAGAGACAGGGTTTCTCCATGTTGATCAGGCTGGTCTTGAACTCCTGACCTCAGGTGATCCGCCTGCCTCGGCCTCTCAAGTGCTGGGATTACCGGCGTGAGCCACCGTGCCCGGCCCCAAATCTCAAATTTTAATTGATTCAAATATTCTGCCCTGTATCAAATGGCTACAAGTTTCTGATCTATTTTCATTTGAGGAGTCTGATAACAAGGAAAATGGTTAAATGAAAATAACAAAAGAAATTAAAAATGACCCAATTAAACACACACACACACAATATATATTGCACACGATGTTCACAAATTTCAAGACTCAATTTTGTTAAGAAGTCAATTCTCCTCAAATTAAGCTAAAGATTTAATGAGATGCCAGTCAAAATTCCAATTTGCTTTTCTGTAGAAGTTGACAGATTGTAAAATTTATATGAAAATGAGAACAATCCTAGAATAGTCAAAGACATTCTTAAAAAGAACAAAATTGGACGACTTACACTAACTGATTTTAAGACATCATAAAGCTGTATCAATCAAGACACTGAACTTACTGGCTAAATGATAAGACGTACAGATGAATGAAACAGAAGAGGGCCCCCAAAACAGACCTACATATGGGTGATCAGAATTTTTTGACAAAGGTACCAAGGCAATCCAAGGAGAAAGAAAAATCTTTTCAACAAAGTGCTGAACAATGATTCATATATATATGTTTTAAAGACCATTAACCCTTATAACAATAGCAAAAATTAATTCTAAATGACCACTGATCTAAATGTAACAGTCAAAATAATGAAACTAGAAGAAAGCATAAGACGACAAAGATTTCTTAGATAGGACACACAAAAAAGGAACCACAAAAAATTGCCCTTTATTTAAAAATAAAAAAAAAAAAAAAACCCCAACCTACCTACTCTTTAAAAGACACTGTTGAGAAAACAAAAAAGGCAAGCATACAGTGGGACAACATATTTGCAGCACACATATCTGACAAAAGTCTTGTATTCTGAATATAAAAAGAGCCCTAACAACTCAAGAAGACAAATGAACTAAGATCTGGACAATCACTTCATCAAAGAAATATGACCAAGCAGCACATGAAAAGATACTTGACGTTATCAGTCATCAGGGAAATACAAATTAAAACCACAATGAGATAGCAGTACCCATACATCAAAGAGGCCAGCATTAAAAAGACGTTACTACTCAGTGTCAGTGAGGATGTGAAGAGGAACTTGAACTCTCATAAGCAGCTGGTAGGACTATTAAATGAGACAATTTTTTGAAAACAGCTCAGCAATTCTGTATAAACATACATGTACCACACAACTCCAGACATTCTACCCCTAGTTATTTACCCAAGAAGATGAAAAGCACATTTGTAATAACTTGATTCATAAAAGCCAAAACTGAAAATAACCCAGATGGATAAACAAAAATGTGATATTTGCAAACCAACGGTATACTACTTAGACAATGGAACACAACTCACCAATCAGTAAAAAGAAACAACTGACACATGCAATAAAATGAATGACTCTCAAATTTATTATATTAAGTGGAAGATAAATTAGAAAAGAGTATATGTGATTCCATTCACAAAATTCCAGAAAATGCCAACAAATCCATAGTGACAGAAAGCAGATCAATTTGCTGGTAGCTGAAGTTTGACAGGTGACAGAAATATTCTGAATCTTGATTGTGGTGGTTTCAGAGGTATAAATATCTGTCACAACTCAAATTTCACACTTTAAATAGATACAGTTTATGGTGTATCTATTATACTACAATAAAGTTAATTAAAAAACTGTGAAACGATGAAGAACCCAAAAATTAACAATAAAAAAGAAAAGCCGCAGAAAGGAGAAGCAATAGGTCTACAGTCATGCGTCACTTAAGGATGGGGATGTGTTCTGAGAAATGTGTCCTTAGGCAATTTCATTTTATTTTTTTGTAGAGATAGGGTCTTGTCATGATGCCCAGGCTGGTCTCCAAACTCCTTGGCCTCCCAAAGTGATGGGATTATAGGCGTGAGCCACTGCACTTATTTTTAAAATGTATTTAAAAAATAAAGTAATCGCACTATGATGTTACAAAAGCTACATCATCACAAGGAGACGGAAAATTTTCAACTCCATTATAATCTTAAGGAACTATCACTGGATATGTGGTTCATCGTTGACCAAAATATTGTTATGCAGCACGTGACTGTGTATCACAATGTCTGGCAGCACTATACTATATGTCAGAGTATGAAGAGAACAGACAACACAATTCATATCACTACAAAACTTGTAAAGCTGTAGATTGCTAATTACTGGATCAAAATTTTACATGTGGCAGTTTACAGCTTTAGGAGCCCATGACATCCACTAGATTCAACCCAATATTATAAATTCAGAAAGCTTTTTGTTTGTAGGGGACCTGAAACTAGGATCCTACCATGCTGCTACAGAGTTGATGAGGCACAATTTAAGGTGGAAGCACACAGCCAAACTACCTAGATTCAAATCCTAGTTCCACTATTTATTAGCTGTGTGACTCTGGACAAGCTACTCAGCCTGTCGGTGTCTGAGTTTCCTTATCTAAAATGACAACAGTGCCTCAGGAGGTAGTTGTATAAATTAAATGATACATAACAAATGCTTTGTAAGTATTTGTGTCTTAATGTTTTTCCTCTAATTATAAAATGGCTAACAACAGAGACCTGGCACAGTGGTTCACGCCTGTAATCCCAGGACTTTGGGAGGCCAAAGTGGGAGAACTGCTTGAGCTCAGGAGTTCAAGACCAGCCTGGGCAACCTAGGAAGACCTTTTCTCTACAAACAAAATTTTTTTTTAAATTAGCCAGGCATAGTGGTGCACACCTAGAGTCCCAGCTACTCAGGAGGCTGAGGTGGGAAGACTGCCTGAGCCTGGAAGCTGCAGTGAGCCGTGACTGGGCCACTGCTCTCCAGCCTGCGTGACAGAGCAAGACCATCTGCAAAACAAATAAAACACACACACACACACACACACACACACACACACACACACACACACACACCATGGTAGAAATTTGGAAGTTACCTCCCTCCTCAAAAAATATAAATAACTGAATCATTTAAAATGTGTTCTTTCAGTACCATAAGACAGGGCAAAAAATAAAATGTTTTCATAAAAGGTGAAACATGACTAGCAAATCATTTTAACAACTGCATAATATTCTATGTAAATAAATCATAATTTAATCATTCTTCTAATACTGAGCCCATTATAAATAATATTTAATAATTCTACAAACATCTATGTCCATCTTTTTCCATATTTTATTTCAGAATTCACTGGAATAGAATTACTGGATTAAAGGTTATAATAATTTTAAGGCAAAGATGGAACAAGATGGATATATGTTCTTGTTTTATGTCTTTGATTAGTAGTAACGTACATCTCGTGTTTTTAATAATTTATATATATTTTCTTCCTTTTCTCATTTTTCTGTAAGATTTCTTCAAATCAAAGTTAATTTGCATGTAAAAATTAACATGGGAGCAATTACTGCAAACCACACTGGACTTTCTTTTTTAAAAAGAATTTTTATATAAACATTGTCCATGTTTAAATAAGAAGTCCAAATAAATTATTTTAATAAGTATGTGGGTTTTGGTCAGGTTTTCTGTTGGTTATTTCAACGTTACTCTTAGAAACACTCGGCCAGGCACGACGGCTCACGCCTGTAATCCCAGCACTTTGGGAGGCTGAGACGGGTGGATCACCTGTGGTCAGCAGTTTGAAACCAGCCTGGCCAACATGGTGAAACCCCGTCTCTACTAAAAATACAAAATTAGCTGGGCATGGTGGCGCATGCCTGTAATTCCAGCTACTCGGGAGGCTGAGGCAGGGGAATCGCTTGAACCCAAGAGGCGGAGGTTGCAGTGAGCTAAGATCATGCCATTGCACTCCAGCCTGGGCAAGGAGAGTGAAACTCCGTCTCAAAAAAAAAAAAAAAAAACAACCAAAAAAAAAACCCCACAAAGAAAGAAACACTGTGGGACATAACTAGGTTTTCATTTTGTTCTGTATTTTACAGGCTATTTTCTGATCGGTTTCTGAAACCTGAAAATGGAATTAGCAGAAGAACTATCCTGAACGAATATGTGACCACAGAGTAGGTAAATATAACTGCTCTTTAATTATTAATAAATTTGGGGTAAGTATATCTAATAAAGAGCAGAAATCATGTTAAGTAAATACCTGCTCCTTAAATTCTGCCACTTTCTTGAAAGCATCTAGGCATATCTGGTTTTTTTAAAAAACATACTACAGCATTTTTCAGCTAAAGTTACACAATTAAAAATCAAATATTTTCTTCATTCTTGTATATTTAAGATATAAAGTTAATCCACTTATCCTCAAATGTAATTTTTGGGGTTTCATGGATTAGCAATAATTACTATAATTAGGTAGGTTCAGAAACTCAGAAGTGATTTCAAGTATATTCTTTGAACCTAAGATTTATCTAATACAACTGCATCATTACTTCCTAGAGTTATTTTTAAAGGAGTAAGATTTAACATGTGAAGAGATCTAATGGTTTATGAATTCTACTTTTAATTCACAACGTACCCTCAGCTTTAAATGCCAGTGGGGCCATACTGGGATAAAATAAAGGCATTAGAAAATTCCAAGCCTCTGAATAAGCAGTTGTCTACACTGCTTCAACATTAAGTGGAGGCAGGGTGGTGGTGGTACTCTCTCTCCACCCATTCATTTCTCCAAAGTAAATCAAGTACTAGTATGTGGTGAAAAATCTAAAAAGTATTGAAGGATAAATAACAAATCCTTACATAACAAATCTCATGCCTGAGATATGATATGCTTCTAACAAAGTCACCACAGGCACTATTTAGTGGGAGACAGTAAGGCAAGCATTACATTTCGAAAAGTTCTCCCAAATGTTTCCGCCATATCCCCCAGGTTTGAGAGTCACTGTACTACATGATTCAAATGTATTTTTGTTCCTAGGTCATTTTCTGTCTGGCTCACAAACCAGGTAGTATTAAATGTATATTAATATGCATATTTACATTAGTAAAAGAATATTGTTAAGTAGCTTTTTTGTCTGTCTTAAGTAGATAAAGCAGTTCTTAACTAGATGGGCCCATGAGAATTGCTTGTAAAATCAATAATAATAATATTAAAAATACATGCTGGGACCATATCCCCAGATTTTTGCAGTAGCTCAGGGCTCTAGCGGCTTGTTTTATATAAGTTCTGTAGGCAATTCTGATTCCAGCTTTTATTTATTTATTTTTTTTGAGACGGAGTCTTGCTCTGTCGCCCAGGCTGGAGTGCAGTGCCACAATCTCAGCTCACTGCAACCTCTGCCTCCTGGGCTCAAGCGATTCCCCTGCCTCAGCCTCCGGAGTAGCTGGGATTGCGGGCGCCCGCCACCACACCCAGCTAAGTTTTTGTATTTTTAGTAGAGACAGGGTTTCACCGTATTAGCCAGGATAGTCACGATCTCCTGACCTAGTGATCTGCCCTCCTCGGCCTCCCAAAGTGCTGGGATTACAGGTGTGAGCCACTGCACCTAGCCTCCAGCTTCTTGATAATCACTAGTTTAGGGAAGGGAGAGAATGAAGGGTAGCAAGAATGACTTATTTTTCTAATGGTAGGTAGTTCCATATTGGAACTGGGTAGCCATTGGCTGCATATGAAGTGTGAAAAAGTGGTTTGCATTTCATTACAACAATAACAAAGTAAACCTAACTCTCCACATTAAGATACTGATCATTTCACTGACATGAGAATTTAGGACTTACTGATTTACTGTATGCCTTGTATCAAGAAGTAATTAACAGACTTAGAAATCTGTATAAGATTTCTAAATGTGTAAGAGTGGGGCTGGAGAAGAACATAAGTAAGTAAACAAGATTTATACCAAAATAAAACATACCCAGAGGACTGTGAGACATGAAAACTTTAAAATAGCCATACCAAAATACTATACTAATTTATGCTCAATTTTACATTTCAATAAGGATAAGCTAGCATTTATGAGGCACTACACAAAGCAATGCTCCAGAACCTCTATAACAGAATATATAGCAATGTTTTTTTTTGTTTGTTTGTTTGTTTTAAAGATAGGGGCTCACTGTCACCCAGGCTGGAATGAAGTAGTGTTAGTGTGCTCACAGGTCACAGCAGCCTCGACTTCCCAGGCTCAGGCAATCCTCCTGCCTCAGCCTCCCAAAATACTGGGAATGCAGCAGGCCTGAGCCACTACACCCAGTGATAGCAACGAAATTTAATGTTCATTATAATTAGCATGTTATCAAACAGAAGATGAATCTAGTCTAATCTACACAGGCTATATAAATACTATACATATAAAAAAGCATGAGGGTGAGGGGAATTGAGAAACTGAGGTAAAGAAGGGTTCTCAGGGAAGATAAAGCGTTTCTGGTTAAAAAAGTATATTGAATACGTGCATTTATTTTCACTCCTTTCAAAATCACGTAAAAAATAAAGAAAACATAAACCTATAAGGGCCCCCAAAATGGAAGAAAATATGGGATAAGAAATCTCAGAAAAGTTTTGGGAAGCAGAAGTCAGATGGAACAGTAACTTTGTAAACTGGAGAAATATAAAACCAAGGTGTTTGTAGAAGGAGGTACCAATGGGTAACACCCTGATTCACTGTTCTAATCATCAAACTGAGGCACAGAAAACAGATAGACTACCTGAAAAAATTTAGTCCGCCCCAGCATCCCTTTCCTGTTCCATTACTGAATTAAACTCAGGTAACCTACTCCACAGACACACACCCTTTAGGATCCTTTACAAACAGAACCTGAATAGCCCTAGGGAAAAGATCTTTTAGATAGTGATGTTTGAAAAAGCTTGCTCAATATGTCTAAATACCTTACAGAGGGATGATGAGCTAAACTCCACCCAATATAGAGCTTCCTATTAGGTACTGATATTGCCCCAGGCCAGGCGCAGTGGCTCATGCCTGTAATCCTAGCACTTTGGGAGGCCGAGGCGGGCGGATCACGAAATCAGGAGATGGAGACCATCCTGACTAACGTGGTGAAACCCCGGTCTCTACTAAAAATACAAAAAAAAAAAAAAAAAAAAAAAAAATTAGCTGGGCGTTGTGGCGGGCGCCTGTAGTCCCAGCTACTCCGGAGGCTGAGGCAGGAGAATGGCTTGAACCCGGGAGGCGGAGCTTGCAGTGAGCCGAGATCGCGCCACTGCACTCCAGCCTAGGCGACAGAGCGAGACTCTGTCTCAAAAAAAAAAAAAAAAAAAAGCCCCAGCATTAAACATAGGAACAGCCAGCCAATGATTACTAGACACTTGAGAAAGGCTTCTGGGGTGGGCAGAATACTGAAGTTTAATATCCCTACCCATGGTTACACAAACACCAATCTAGGTACTGCTGTGAGGAGTTTTTGCAAATGAATTAAGATCACTTATCAAATGATTTTAGGGAGATTATCCTGGGTTATCTGGGTGAGCCCAACGTAATCACATGAGGCCTCCAGCACAGAAGAGGCAGGAAGAAGAGAGATGAGACAGAAGGAGTGGTCAGATAAATTCAGACAGAAGACCTTGACTTGCTGTTACTGGCTTTGAAGATAGAGGAAGGGGGCAACAAGCAATGTGGAGAGCCTCTAGGAGCTGAGAATGACCCCTAGCAGACAAGCCAGAGGGAATCTTAGTCTTACAATCACAAAGAACCAAATTCTACCAAGCAAAATTCATTCTCACAGCCTCCAGGAAGGAACGCAGCCCTGCTGACACCTTAACTTCAGCCACTTAAGAGTCTATAGAGGACACAGGTGAGCCACGTGTACACACCTTTAACCTACAGTGACTGTGAGATAAATTCGTGTTGTTTCAGGCTGCTAAATTTATGGTAATTTGTTATGGCAGCAATGCAACACCAACAAACCTTCTAACAGGAAAGACAGAGACCAAACAAAAAGAAAAATAACTTATGAGAAACAGACACAATGCAGACTACAGAGAACAAAACACAACGTGCTTAATGAAGAGGCTGAGAAAAAGACAATGACATCTAGAAGAGATAAACAGGATAATATAAAAAACAATGAGAGGCCGGGCACGGTGGCTTACGCCTGTAATCCCAGCACTTTGGGAGGCCGAGGTGGGTGGATCACTTGAGGTCAGGAATTCAAGATCAGCCTGGCCAACATGGTGAAACCCTGTCTCTACTAAAAATACAAAAATTAGCTGGGCATGATGGCGTGCATCTGTAGTCCCAGTTACTCAGGAGGCTGAGGCAGGAGAATTGCTTGAACCTAGGAGGCGGAGGTTGCAGTGAGCCGAGATTGCACCATTGCACTTCAGCTTGGGCGACAACAGCAAAACTCTGTCTCAAAACAAAAACAAAAAAAAAAGAGAGAGAGAGATTAAGAGACTTTAGATATTAACAACAGAGGGGGAAGGGTCCTTTCCATTATTTTCACTATTCTGTTGAAGTATAACTTATATAAAGTCCACAAATCTTAAATATATTTAAGAATACCTATATAACAAACATCCAGATAGAAATATAAAACACTGAAAACTGGCCAGACACAGTGTCTCATGCCTGTAATCCCAGCACTTTGGGAGGCCGAGGCGGGTGGATTACCCAAAGTCAGGAATTCGAGACCAGCCTGGGCAACATGGTGAAACCCCATCTCTACTAAAAATATAAAAATGAGCCAGGCATGGTTGTGAGTGCCTGTAATCCCAGCTACTTGGGAGGCTGAGGCAGGAGAATCACTTGAACCCAGGAGGTGGAGGCTGCAGTGAGCTGGGGTCACACCACTGTACTCCAGCCTGGGTGGCTGAGCAAGACTCCGTCTCAAAAAAAAAAAAAAAAAAAAAAACCCCAAAACACTGAAAATTAAAATGTGATAGCCACCAAAAAAAAAAAAAAAATCCAATATAAAGTCAAGCAAGTGGATCGATCCAAGAACAATGTCTGACTAACAGTAACAGCGAGAACAGAGAAAACAAAGAGGAGGAAATTACCAAGGAAATAATATTATGAAACAACTCTGCATAAATACAAGAAATATCCCCTGGTCAGAAGTCTCCATCACAATGAATGAAAATAAAACCCTAACCAGGCAGGGCACATTGTTACAAAATTTCAAAATGGCAGGGAAAAGAAAAGATCCTAAAAGTTTCCAGTGAGAAAAGGCAGTCTACAAAGAAGATTAAAAATAAAAATCAAGAACACTATTAGGAGGCCAGGCATGGTGACTCATGCCTGTAATCTCAGCACTTTGGGAGACGAAGGTGGGAGGGCTGCTTGAGGTCAGGAGCTCAAGACCAGTCTAGGCAACATAGTGATACCCCATCTCTACAAAAAATTTAAAAATTAGGCAGGCATGGTGGTGCACACCTGTAGTCTCAGCTACTGGAGAAGCTGAAGCAGGAAGATTACTTGAGGCCAGGAGTTAGAGATTAGAGTGAGCTGTGATTGTGTCACTGCAGTCCAGCCTGGGCAACAGAGCAAGACCCTGTCTCTTAAGAAAAGAAAATAAATAAAAGAAAAAAGAAAAAAAAAACACTACCAGGACTATTAATAGCAACATTGGAAGCCAAAAGATAATTTAACAATGACTTCCAAATTCTGAGAGAAAAATAATTTTTGATCCAACAATTCTATCAAAGGGCAGAATAAAGAGAAATATAGTATCTCAAAAATTTACATCCTATTCACCTTTTTCTTACTACCCTGATGGAGAATATATTCCACCAAAATAAGAGAGCAAATCAACACTGAGGAAAACTCAAAGATCAAATACAAGAGAGAAGATGATGCTGAAGGGAAATCCTAGGGCTGTGACTGTACACCTTGGCCAAGAAAATATTCACCCCAGAGTGCAAGAGGATGTCTAGGAAGAAAAAAAGAAAAGTGGGGAGATTGACTATAATCCAAAAATGTATTTGATCATGTTGAAAATTAAGGAGAATAACAGAAAGTAAACGAATCAGCAACAAATATATGTTGCAAAAGCAGCAAATGATAAAAAAGATATATGACACTTTGGAAAGCAAAGATGGGAAAACTGCTTGAGCCCCCAGGAGTTAGAAACCAGCCTGGCGCCTGTAATCCCAGCACTTTGGGAGGCCGAGGTGGGTGGATCACCTGCGGTCAGGAGTTTGAGACCAGCCTGGCCAACATAGTGAAACCTCATCTCTACTAAAAATACAAAAAGTAAGCTGGGCGCAGTGGCTCACGCCTGTAATCTCAGCACTTTGGGAGGCCAAGGTGGGCGGATCACCTGAGGTCAGGAGTTGGAGACCAGCCTGGCCAACGTGGTGAAACCACGCCTCCACTAAAAATTAAAAAATTAGCTGGGCATGGTGGCATGTACCTATAATCCCAGCTACTCAAGAGGCTGAGACAGGAGAATTGCTTGAACCTGGGAGGTGGAGGTTGCAGTGAGCCAAGGTCGCGCCATTGCACTCCAGCCTGGGTGACAGATAAAGACTCTGTCTCAGAAAAAACAAACAAAAACAACAAAAATTAGCCAGGCATGGTGGCATGTGCCTGTAATCCCAGCTACTCGGGAGGCTGAGGCATGAGAATCGCCTGAACCTGGGAGGTGGAGGTTGCATTGAGCCGAGATTGCACCACTGCACTCCAGCCTGGGTGAAAGAGCAAGACCCTTTCAAAAAAAAGAAACAAACAAACAAACAAACCAGCCTGGGAAATATGATGAGACCTAATCTCTAAAAGGAGGAGAAAAAAAAAAAAAGGCATACGAGACAGGAAAGGTAAAAATACACATTTTGGCTCAGGAAGTAAAAATGTCTGCTTTCTTAATGTAAACAATGACAGTGATTCGGCCAAAAATTATAATAGTTATAATAAAGAAGAAAGGGTTGAGGCCAGGTGAGGTGGCTCATGCCTGCAATTCCCAGCACCTTGGGAGGCTGGGGCAGGTGGATAACTTGAGGTCAGGTGTTCCAGACCAGCCTGACCAACATGGTGAAACCTCATCTCTACTAAAAATACAAAATTAGCTGGGTGTGGTGGTGTGCGCTTGTAATCCCAGCTACTCAGGAGGCTGAGGCAGGAGAATCGCTTGAACCGGGGAGGCAGAGGTTTCAGTGAGCCAAGATTGCGCCACTGCACTCCAGCCTGGGGAACAGAGCGAGACTCCATCTCAAAAAAAAAAAAAAAGAAAGAGTTGAGTGGAAAAACATCAACAGATACCTAAAATTGATAAATCAAGAAGTAACAGTATAAGCACATATTTAGAATTATGAAAATAAAAGCCAGAAACAGTAAACGAGTAGAAAGTGGTAGGGAATGCAAGCAGGCACTGGGGAGAAATTGGGCAGGAAAGTAGTCTCATGGTATAAGCCTTTTTTACTTTAATTCAGCATTTATTGCTTTGATTAAAAAATAATTTCAAAAATCTTTCTGCTTACTGAATAAAGAATGCATTGGAAAGAACAAGAATGGATAAAGGAGAGTGCTTAGGAGGCTCCTGGAGCAGGAAGAGGTGGTGGCGAATAGACTACCGGAGCAGTGGAGGGTGGAGATGGAGAGACGTGGAAAGACTGAAGACATATCCTCGAGACAAAATGAACATTTCGAGGTGATGAGATGTGTAGGTGAGGAAGAGGGCAATGCTAAGGATTTCTCCCGTGTGTCTGGTATGTGTACCTGGGATGGAAGAGCCTTTTACTACTATGGCGATTGCCTGGAGGAAGGGCAGAAAGGAGGGAAGAGGGAGCACAGAGATTTGGAAAGGAATGCCATGAGTTCAGCCTTGAGCATGTTCAGTTTAAAATTTTGGTTAAAGAAATGGTTTTGTTATTATATGTAATGCTTCAGTGAGCATATGATGGCTTTCTAAGATGCACGGCTAGAAGAAAATCTAGGAAAAATTAAGAATGGAGGATTTCAAGTAAGTTGGGGTAACAGGAACTTGATTTACTCTCCTGTTTTATTTAAACAATAAGAAATAAAGGAAAAGAAAAAGAAACACTTTCAGACATTAGGCAACAAGATGCACGAAATAAAGACCAGAAGGATGAGCTGAGTGCACCAGCTTACTGCCTATGGGCAGGGGAGGGGCGCATGGGGCCTGGTCTTGCAGAGTTGAGAGATCTGGGATGGCATTCAGGGATGACAAGGTGGCTAGAATGTGTGGGGCAGGGGACAGGAGAGAAGGGAGCTCCACAGAGAGTGCTCTGGAGGTCTGCAGAGGTGTTTCCTGGAGTCTAGCTACCAGAGACTGTGGAAAGAACCGACGGCTAAAAGAGTTAATGTTCCTGTCAAGGAGAACAGAAAGACAGAGTACTGAGAAGAATCCCCAGAAGACTATGACCTCAGTAATGAGGCTAAATTAGTGCTAAGGCTAATGTTGCCTCTGGTCTATCCTAATAAAGCTTCAAAGCAAAAGAATCCAACTAATTCCAAGTAATTTGGTGATCAGAAAAAAATTCAAGACTACTCAATACAAAAAAATCCAGCCACTATGACGCATAATGACACATAGTCAGGAGTAAAGGGTGGGGGTGGGGAAGCACAAATAACTCAGATGATAAAGAATATTGTAATAGCTATATAAAAATACTCCATATGTTTAAGAAACTAGAGGAAAACACACATAATAGAAAAATGAAAAATCTATATAAAAATGAAGCCAAAATCAAACTTCTAGTGATGAAAAAAACATCTTAAATGAAAAAGGCACTGGATGGGATTAACAGCAAATTAGCAGCAGAAAGATCAATGGACTTGAAGATATGAATAAATCTTAAAAAAACTATTTCAGGATACATCATAATCAAATTGCTGATAACCAAGGTAAAGATAAAATCTTCCAAGGCAGACAGAAAACATACAGAGGAACAATAACAGACTTCTCTGAAATTATGCAAACCAGAAGACAACTGAGGGACATCAATTATTGGGGGGGGGGGGGGAATTTAGAATTCTTCTCCCAGCTGCAGTGTCTTTCAAAAATGAAGGCAAAATTAAAAAAAAAATGTTTTTGAGACAGGGTCTCCCTCTGTTGCCCAAGTTGGGGTGCAGTCACACAATCTCAACTCACTACAACCTTTGCTTCCCAGGCTCAAGCGATCCTCCCCGCTTAACCTCCTGAGCAGCTGGAACTACAGGTGCATGCCACCATGCCCAGCTAATTTTTTGGTATTTTTTGGAGATGGGGTTTCGCCATGTTGCACAGGCTGGTCTTGAACCCCTGGGCTCAGGTGATCTTTGGCCTCCCAAAGTGCTGGGACTACATGTAGGCATGAACCACTGTGCCTGGACCAAATCAAAACTTCTATAAACAAACAAAAGGTCAAAACTTCATAACCAGTAGACTTGCACTATAAGAAGAGAGGCATATGAAGTTCTTCAGGTAGAAGAAAAAGGAGACTACATGGAAAGGATACTTATAAAGAGCACTGAAAAATGGTAAATACGTGATATGAAAAACCATTTTGCTCATTTTTAAATACTTCACTGCTTTAGGGCGAAAATAACGTACTGTGGGGTTTAGCATATATAGGAGTAAAATACATGACACAAAAAGGACAGGAAGGGAGAAATGAAACTAAACTGCTGTAAGGTTATTATACTATGTGTGAAGTAGTATATTATTTGAAGGTAGGCTGAATAAGTTAAAGTCATATACTGTAAACCCTAGAGCAACCATTAAAATAGCAAAACGAAGGTCGTAATAGCTAGTAATTCACAAGTGGAGATGAATATAATCAAAACAACCACCCCCCACCAAAAAAAAAACCCCACCAAAAACCCCTTAATCTACTAGAAAGGAGGGAAACAGAAAAGAAATGGGACAACAGAGTTCATAAATTGGTCTTCACCAAAATGAAAACTTTTGCTCTTAGAAAACACTGTTAATGAAATGGTAAGCCACAGATTGTGAGAAAATATTTGCAAAACATATCCAATAAAATGTCCATATCTGGGATATGCAAAGAATGCTTACAACACAATCAGATGACAGCCTAATTTAAAGACGGACAGGCGAAGGACTCAAACAGACACCTCACCATTATATGGGGTGGCAATTAAGCACATGAATAGATGCTCAACATCATTAGTCACTAGGGTAATGCGAATTAAAGCCACAAGGAGATAGGCTCTCACACCTGCTAGAATACCCCAAACTGAAAAATGTTTCAAGGACACAGAGCAACTGGAACTCTCAAGTACTGCCCGGCAGAATGCAAAATAGTACAGCCACTTTGGAAAAGAATTTGACTATTTATTACAAGCTGAAACATCCACTTATCATATGACCCAGAAACCTACCGTAGTTTTTATTGTTCTTGAGTAAATACCTATGTTCCCACAAAGACCTGTAAGTGAATGGTCATAGAAGCTTTTTTTTAAAATAATGAGCCCAGCCCTTCGACTGGTGAATGGATAAACAAATTATGGTATATCCATACAACAGAGTACTACTCAGTAATAAGATGGAGTTGATAACACACAACATGGATGAAGGTCAGACACATTATGCTAAGTGGAAGAAGCCATAAAGAAAAGACCAAATACTATAGGATTCCATTTATCTAACATTTTAGAAAAGGCAAGACTATAGTAGCAGAGGGCAGATAAATGGTTGGCAGAGGTCGGAAGGGTAAAGAGGACTGCCAGCAGAGGGGCATCAGGGAACTGTCCTACATCTTGCTGGTGGTCCACTGGTCAAAATGCACTGAATTTTGCCATTACGATTATTTTGCCTTAAATTATACCTTAACAAAGCTGATCAAAAGGATAAATAAAATTAAAGGACATGGCTTATAAGACGCCCCTTGGGTCCTCAATAAAAATTTCATTTTTTATTTCTTTAAACTCCTGGCTCTATTGCTCAGTTTGACTGACTAGATACTTAAAAAGGCATGTGGCATGTCTGCTGATGGGCTAACTGACCTGCCATTTCTCAGCCCTCTTGCTTGCGGCTAGCATAAGGAAACTGGAAAAGTCAAGTCATATTCATGTTTTCCCAGTCTCCCTTGCAGCTAAGGGCAGCCATATGACCCAAGGTGGGCCAGGAGGATGTGAGGGGGGCTTCTGGGATGTTCTGCTTTGCTGTTAGGACACAGGTGTGGAAGAGAGAGAGGTGAAAGAGAGAGAGGTGCCTCCTGAATGCAGCTCTAGGTTGAGCACCCCTAACCTTACTAAAATGCTCATTGGAGCATTTCCTTTGAATGTCACATTGGCAGTCAAAAAGTTTCGAATTTTGGAGCACTTCAAATTTCAGATGAGGGCTACTCAACCCACGTATGCCTGGAGCTCTAGGAAGCATCTTACAATCATGAGGCCAACCTGACATGCTGAGGGGTGAGGAACTGAGGGATGGAAAGAGCTTGTCCTTGAAGACACAACTGAACAACAAATCCAGTTCCAGCAACCACTTCATTTTCTCAAGTAACTTCTTATGTGAAAAAGAAGGCTCTTATTAGTTTAAGGCACTGTTAAATCTAGATTTCTGGCTGGGCATGGTGGCTAATGCGTGTAATCCCAGCACTTTGGGAGGCTGAGGCAGGTAGATCACTTGAGGTCAGGAGTCCAGGACCAGCCTGGCCAACATGGCGAAATTCCACCTCTGCTAAAAATACAAAAGTTAGCCAGGTGTGGTGGCGGGCACATGTAATCCCAGCTACTCAGGAGGCTGTGGCAGGAGAACTGCTTGAACCCGGGAGGTGGAGGCTGCAGTACAAAAAAGTAGTTTAAGTGATCCTTCATTTCCTTTTCATCTTTATTTAAAAATCCCTCATGCCTGTTATCCCAGCACTTTGGGAGGCCAGGGTGGGTGGATCACGAGGTCAAGGGATCGAGACCATCCTGGCAAACATGGTGAAACCCTGTCTCTACTAAAAATACAAAAATTAGCTGGGCGTGGTGGAGCGCACCTGTAGTCCCAGCTACTCGGGAGGCTGAGGCAGGAGAATCGCTTGAAGCCAGGAGGTAGAGGCTGCAGTGAGCTGAGATTGCGCCACTGCACTCCAGCCTGGCGACAGAGCGAGACTCCATCTCAAAAATAAATAAATTAATTAAAATAGAGTAAATAAAAATCCAATCTTTATTGTTACCACTAAAAGCTTTTGTACAGAGTCCTTATGTACAGCTTAATTTACCTAAATCACTTTTATAATTACAAAAATTTTTTAAACACAACTGAGCTTTAGTCAATCTGAGTTCTGTTCCACTAGCATTTTGTGCTTCTCCATCCCTATCAAATAGATTCTTCTTCATAAGGCTAGAACAGAAAGAGAAAAAATAGGAATGAATTAGCATGTATCTAAAGCCGAAAGACCCAAATGACATGTCCTATTGATAACACAGAATGGTAACAAGCTCTAAACACAAAATATGTTATTTTATAGTAGCTCTCTGTTGTCAGATTTTGGGAGAAAAAGTTTCCTTTCCTCTTAAGAAGGCTCTTCATTTGTGAAGCCTGTGTGCCAGAATACGTTACATTAAAAAAAAAAATGACGTTCTTTGACAACAGTCTTTCTGTCCAAAAGAAAAGGAAAATGCAACAAAAACTTCATTTAATTATTACACAGAAGCACTGATCTGAAAGTGCGTTTTTGGAAGAAAAAATTATTACACAGAAGCATTTTCTCAAGAGTTAAATTATAAAAGAAAGATAATTTTTACCAAATAAAAAGCTTGGAAATGATGTCAGTGTTCAGCAAAAGTAGGTTATTTCCCTTTAAATAGTGTTCTGCTGGTCTTGGATCACTGTCCTTTTTCAGTGTTTGGCACACCCTTCACATTTACTTGGTAACCTTAGGTAACAATATATTTTGGTAGCAATGGAAATGTCCTCATCTTTCTTAGTTTTAATTCTACTGCTCGTACAGTAAGTAAGCAAAAGCCACAAGAGTAGATACAAGAGAGTTAAATTAATTAAGGGGAAATATTTAATAACTTGGGTTGAAAATCAACTAATCCAAAATAATTAACAGAAAAAACCCTAATTATTCCTGGGAAGAGTTATATACTGTCACTTCAGTGTTCAGTTTCAGTGGTGAAAAAAGAAAAAAATAAACCACTAATGTTTCCCATAATGTAATTCCGGGGTTGGCAAACTTTTTCTGTAAAGATAGTAAATATTTTAGGGTATGCAGCTCTACTCAATACTGCTGCTATAACGCAAAAGCAACCACAGACAATACCTAAGCCAATGAATGTAGCCATATTCCAATACAACTTTATTTATGAACATGGGAATTTGAATTTTTATAATTTTCACAGCATAAAATATTATTTTAACTTTTCTTAACCATTAAAAAAATATAAGAGCCTAATTATAATTAGTTCTTGAGCTACACAAAAGCAGGCTGTGGGCTGGGCACAGTGGCTCACACCTGTAATCCCAGCACTTTGGGAGGCTGAGGCGGGCGGATCACAAGGTCAGGAGATTGATACCATCCTGGCTAACATGGTGAAAACCCGTCTCTACTAAATAAACAAAAAATTAGCTGGGCGTGGTGGCGAGCGCCTATAGTCCCAGCTACTAGGGAGGCTGAGGCAGGAGAATGGCGTGAACCCGGGAGGCAGAGCTTGCAGTGAGCCAAGATCGCGCCACTGCAGTCCAACCTGGGTGACAGAGTGAGATTCCATCTCAAAATAAAAAAAAAAAAAAAGCAGGCTGCAGGCCAGAGTTTGCCAACACAGTTTAATCACTTGGCAAATCAAATACCCTTCCCTCTTTTCTAACACACATATGAAAATTTTATAGACTTCTGAGGAATATTTATAGCAATAACAGTGTTAAATTATGTATTAAATATGCATTTATTAAATATATATTACATTATTATTTAAGACCAATTAGCTGTTTTCTTATTTACTTTTGTAGCCAAACCTCAATTGTGTAACTGTTTGACTGGATCTTTACACCCTAGTTTTTCTCCTGGTTTCCTCCAAATGGAGACCCCATCCTAGGAACCCTGCTCTGTGATATTGACCCCCACCCTACCCCCAGTTCTTCATGATGTTAAGTAGACTGCAGCACAGAGCCTGCTATCAGATACCCCCCTTCCCTGTCGTGCTGCCAGCATGAGAAGACATCTATCTATTCACACATGTCAAGTACTTGGACTCTCACCAAATACTGTGATCATCTAAATTTTATGTACCTCCTAGATTTCTGAAATCTGTGCCCTTGGTATCTGCTCCTTCATGTAAACACGACTAGTCTATAAAGCACAACCCCTTTTGTTTTCGACAATTTCATAATCAAGTGCCTTAGTTCTTGGAGTATTCTCTAATATATCTACAAATAAAATTACCACTCATTAAGACCCTCTCTTTTCTGCAGGAAAGACTTTAGTCTTATAATTTGTCAAAATATTATGTAAATTTCTACCCATTAATACTGACAGTTCACAGACCCTTAACAGCTGTTAAGACTGTTTAGAGGAAATATAATGTAACTACCCAGTGAAGCAGAAATTCCCTGAACATCCTGTAACAGATCACTACTTTTTTTTTTTTTTTTTGAGACAGAGTCTTACTCTGTTGCCCAGGCTGGAAAGCAGTGGTGTCATCATGGCTCACTGCGACCTCCACCTCCCGGTTCAAGCGATTCTCCTGCCTCAGCCTCTCAAACAGTTGGGACCACAGGTGTGTGCCACCATGCCCGGCTACTTTTTGTATTTTTAGTAGAGACAGTGTTTCACCATGTTGGCCAAGCTGGTCTTGAACTCCTGGCCTCAAGTGATCTGCCTGCCTTGGCCTCCCAAAGCGCTGGGATTACAGGTGTGAGCCACCATGCCTGGCCATAGATCATTACTTTCCATTCGATCCCAGTGATAGGATTAACTGATCCTTATTTCTTTATTCCATCATTTTTTTCCTCTTATTCATTCAATTAATGTTCTCTAAGGTCATGCCCTATGCTGAGAATACAAAGATGGAAAGGCATGTTTCTGACTTTAGAAGTTTACATTCTAGAGATAAACAAAAACATAAAAAGCTAAAAGTGATTTTGATCCTTGAATGAAAGATAGCTTTCTTTTCTTGTTTATACAAATATTACATATTAAATTGTTAAAAACAGCAACAACAAACGATTGCAAAAGTGTAAGAACACAACTGGGGATAAAAAGCACAAACTTGAAATATCACCCCGAGATAACCTCTGTCAACATTCTAGTGAAATACCTCTGAGTATATCTTTAGGTGGATATTTAAACATAAATGGGATAATGTAGACATGCTTACTACATAGTATCTTTTTGTAACCTAAATTTCTAACATTGCAAACACAAAATTCTAACACTATGAGATCCCTCGGGAGTAAATGGGCCAATATACTCAATGCATGGATGAGCGCTCTCACTGGATATGGCTTCTCTGTCCTTAGAAGCTAGATGTTGCTACCACTTCTGCCACTAGAATGAGGTATTTGTTATCCTGGCTTGAGTCACGAGTTCCTGATTCAAAGTTCTAGGAGACATTTTCTGATGTGCACGTAACCTAGACTTGGCCAACTGCCTGCACTCTATCTATGAGGAGGGTTGGGAAACAACTATCTGGACTTTATGGTTTCTGTAGGAGGGAGGTGGGCTTTGTCTCACATTTTGGAAATGTCATAAGATATGACATTTCCAAACACAGAGCCAGAAGTTCAATGCCATGCAGCCAAAAACAGTAGTAGTAGTAGTAGTAGTAGTAGTAGTAGTAATGAAAGACCAACCACCCACTACAGATATATTTAGGAAGGTGGAGCAGTGTTAGCGTAACAACCTGAAAATCTTCTCAACATCTAACTTCATTCTATACAGCAGAGTGTGGAATGAAGAATTAATGCATAAAACATTTTATAGGAAAAAAGTGACGAGATTTGATGACAGGATGCCAGTGAAGATAGGTATAAGGAAGTAAGGTATAAGGAGCTCCAGATTCTTGTCTCAGAGAGTGACAAGAACCACATAGGTAGGTTCTTGTCTGTCTCTGCGTGATCTTGGGCAAGTCACTCCCTAAGCTCCATTTGGTTAAAATTCCCATGCATTCTTGAGTTAAAGGCGCTAGCAATTAAAACAAAAAACAGGCTAGATGTGGTGGCTGCTGCCTGTAATCCTACTGCTTTGGGAGGCCGAGGCAGGTGGATTGCTTGAGCACAGAAGTTAAAGACCAGCCTGGGTAACATAGTAAGACCCTGTCTCTACAAAAAAAAAAATATATAAAAATTAGCCAGGCATGGTGGTGCATGCCTGTGGTCCCAGCTACTTGGGAGGCTGAGGCAGGAGGACTATTTGAGCCCAGGAGGTCAAGGATGCAACAAGCTGTGTTCACACCACTGCACTCCAGCCTGGGTGACAGAGCAAGATACTATCTCAAAAAGCAAAAAACAAAACAAAACAGGAAAAGATCTCCCCCCAAAACAACAACAAATATTAAACTGAATGTCAAATGTTAAAAGCATTTCCATTTAAGTCAGGAACAACACAACAACAGTCATCATTACCGCTATTATGCAATACTGTACTAGAGGTTTAATCCAATACCATAAGATAAAGAAATAAGATGTATAAAAATGGGAAAGGAAGAGAGAAAAGTTATTATTTAGAAGAGACATGATTGCTTACATAGAAAATCCAAGAGAAGGCCGGGCATGGTGGCTCATGCCTGCAATCCCAGAACTTTGGGAGGCCGAGGCAGGCGGATCCCCTGAGGTCAAGAGTTCCAGACCAGCCTGGCCCACATGGCAAAACCCCGTCTCTACTAAAAATACAAAAATTAGCCAAGTATGATGGTGCGCAACTGTAGTCCCAGCTGCTTGGGAGGCTGAGGCAGAAGAAGTACTTGAATCCAGGAGGTGGAGGTTGCAGTGAGCGAAGATACCACCACTGAACTCCAGACTGGGTGACAGAGGGAGACTCTGTCTCAAAATAAATACATAACAAAAAATAAATAAAAATTAAAAAAACAAGAAAATCCAAGAGAATCAATAAATTATCAGAATTTATCAAAGAGTTCAGTAAGGTATCAGATATTAGATTATAAGAAAAAAAATAAACAGCATTCCTAATAGCAGTATCCAATTAGAAAAAGTATAAAGCCCCTGGAAGAAAACTTTTTTTAAAAAGCACAATATCTTTCTAGACAAAATGTGATTTAAGGGCAAAAAAGATTACTTCAACAAAAGGAGACAGATTTTATTCATGAATGGTAAGATCTACATAACATTAATGCATGCATTTCCAATCAATTACTATGGAATTTTCCCTAGAAATTAACAAACTGTTTCAAATTTCATATAGAAACATACAATTCCAAAATCAACCCACGCAATTCTGAAAAACAGCAAAGAAGAGGTACTTGCTCTATCAGATATAGAGATTTATTATGAGGCTACAGACATTCAAATAGTGTACTATCCATGTAAGGACATATAAATGGATCAATGGAAAAGAAGAGAGCATACAAAAACAGATCCACACAACATGGAATTTTGGTTTATGACAGAGCTGACATTATGCTTATGTGGAGAAATAACAGACAATTCAATAAACAGTGTTGGCTAGCATTTTCTCCTAAAATATGCTATACTACATCTCTATTTCACCAAATGCACAAAAGTAAATTCTAAGTAGATAAAAGCAGTAAACATGAAAAACAAAACTCTAAGAGTACTAGCAGAAAATATAGATGATACCTGTAATTCAAAATAGGAATAGCTTTTTTAAACAATACCCCACAAACACAAACCAATGTTAACTTCTACATGACCAAAAAAGACAAAAATAAAAAGTACATAAAATCAATCACGAACAAAGGTTTATAATAGACCAGGAGAAATTATCTGCAGCACATATTAGAATTTATAAAGAACTACAAATCAATGGTGAACGATAAAACAAAAGAAGAATGGACGAACAGACATATGTCCACTTGAAAGCCTGCATACAGATGTTTACAGCAGCTTTATTCAAAATGAAGCAACCAAGATATCGTTTGGTGAGTGGATAAACAAGCTGTGACACATCCAGACGATGGAATACTATTTAGCACTAAAAAGAAATGAGCTGGCTGGGCTTGGTGGTTCACACCTGTAATCCCAGCACTTTGGGAGGCGGAGGTGGGTGGATCGCCTGAGGTCAGGAGTTCGAGACCAGCCTGGCCAACATGATGAAACCCCATCTATACTAAAAATACAAAAATTAGCCCGGTTTGGTGGCAGGTGCCTGTAATCCCAGCTACTTGGGAGGCTGAGGCAGAAGAATTGCTTGAACCCGGGAAGTGGAGGTTGCAGTGAGCCAAAATCACGCCATTGCATTCCAGCCTGGGCAACAGAGCGAGACTCGTCTCAAAAAAAAAAGAAGAAGAAAAGAAAAAAAAAAGAAATAAGCTATCAAGCCACAAAAAAACATGGAGGAAACTTAAATGCCTATTACGAGGTGAAAGAAACCAATATGAAAAGGCTACATACTGTATGAGTCCAAACATATGATATTCTGGAAAGGGCAAAACTAGGTAAAAGGATGAGTGGTGGTGATGAGGAGAGAGGGATGAATAGGCAGAGCACAGAAGATTTTTAGGACAGTCAAACTATTCTGTACAATACCACAACAGTAGATACACGAGTATATATTTTTCCAAGCCCACAGCATGTACAACACCAGAAGTGAACCCTAACATAAACTACTGTCACTGAGTGATAATGGTATGTCAAGGTAGGTTCACCAGTTACAATAAATGTACCATTCTGGTACAGACTTTGAGAGTAGGGAAGGTTGTGCATGTGTGAGGACAGAGGGTATGTGGGAATTCTCTGTACTTTTGCTCAACTTTGCTGTGAACCTACAACTCCTGTAAAAACTACAGTTTATTAATTTCTCAAAAATGGACAAATGATATAAACAATTAAAAAAAGGAACTTAGATGTCCAATAATGATTTAAAAACATATTTAGCTTTGTAAACTAAAACAAAATACTGTCTTTTTCTCTTGGAAACAAAAACAACAAAACAGACCATAATCAAGTGTTAGTGAGGATTTGTGGCAACGGGTTTTCATACATTGCTAGTTGGAATATAAACTGGTATAACCAACTGGGAGACAATTTGACAGTACTCTGAAATGAATTATGTATATATTTAAAACAGCAATTTTACTTCTACTTCTAGGTGGATACTCGAGAGAAATTCTTGCACACACGTACAAAACTTAGTAAGAAAATACCTACGTGGTAATGGCAATAACATATACAGTTTATGGATATATACACACAGAGATACGTGTGTGTGTGTGTGTGTGTGTGTATGTGTGTGTCTGTGTATTTTACAGTACTGGATACACACTGAACTTATGATAGTAGTTGCTTTGTAAAGGGAAGTTAGGATAATGAGACTCAAGAATTTTACCAGTATTACTTTGACTTCAAGTCATATTTGTCATTTGACAAAATGACAAAATATCAACAATTATTAATTCCAGATAATGGGAATTTGGTATTCTTTGTATTTTTCTCTATTTTAATAATAATAATAAAAACCCTGTTTCACTTTAAAAAAAATTTCAAGGGCATTAGATCAAAAAGGCAATGTGAATCTACCTGTATCTCCCCTCCTACATCCCGAATCCCCTGAAATGACAGCAAAAGATATTTAAAAATTGTAGGCGGGGAGGGAAGATGAACATCCATAACAGTGCTAGGAGACAGGAAACTACAGTAAGAGGGTAAATAATGAGTGATTCTTGAAGACAGAAAAAAGTTGGTATTGGTTTAAGGGAAGCCACAGCCCAAACTAAACACAAGAAATGGGTGAGGATTCAGACTCCTCCAAGCTCCAAGCCTACAGGCATAAGCAGCAGGCAGGGCTCTGGGTTAAGAGGTAGGTAGTCTCAGCACCTCCATACTGTCCACAGGTCAGTGCTTGAGGCATTGTACAGGAGCAGCATTTGCCCACAGGCTCTAGCAGTGAGTGTGGGTGCTGACACCAGCAAGGAAGATTGGGTACTCTGGCGCTAGCCCAACTAAAATATTTTCAAATGTTTTCAGCAATATTTAAAACATTTGAAAATGTTGCAGCATTTGCTCTAAGAGTGAAGCAACCTAACTGATCATTAACAGGGAAATGTGGTTATAAATTATACTTGATCTTAGCCAAAAAGGCCAAGAAGTAATTGGATGTAAATTAATAGTACGTCTATACTCTGAATTACAGCTTAAAAGAATGTATAACACATAGAAAGATCTCTAAGACATTACTAAGTTTAAAAAATACATATAAAATGCTCCTATTTATTAAAAAAAATCCGATATGTATGGACAAATAAATGCATAGAAAATCACCAAACTGTCAAGAATGATTACTTAGGGGAAGGGGGAGCTTACTATGTATGTCTATATTCATTGATTCTTTTACAACAGAGTGTATTTATAAATTACTAGTATAATTTAAAAATTTAACATGAATAAAAAACTGCAGTACTTTATTTGGAATTAAAATATGAGAAGTCACTAAATGTATCTTTAACCAAGAATTTCTCAAATAGGAAAAAATACAGCAGAGTTCTGCACTAGTGGTAGTGACAGCAGTTCACATTTTCTCAGATGGTTGAATACTTCCTGTCATATGACATAACTGGGTCAGCCAAAGTAACCCACATCTCATTTCAGAATGCATAAATAGAAATACTACAGAGATGTTCAAATTGTAGACTGGTGAAGGAAGACAACACTCATAGTCATTTCCTTAGGAGCTGTGTCAGGCCTTCAATGGAGGAAGTGACACAATCTGCCTGAATCACTAAAATCAAATAGTGACTTATGTGAAGGAAACATTGCAAAGCCATGTATGTTCCCCTGAAAATAGTGCCTGTTCCTTTAACCTCTCCATAAAAATAAAGTATTAAATATCAGATACAATTCTAGTAAGGAAAGAATCTCTACTAGGTTCTTCCTGTTCCACCTTAACCCAGCATTTATCTTAATATAAAAACTTTAATGAAGTAGAAATTTCACACACATACATATATACAGATAGTTCAGCCCATGCCCCATCCCTTGGGATAAGCTATGTCAGTCATCGGTCATCTGTACATCACATAACTCGTATTTTAAGAAGAATTTATGTAATACTTACTAAAAGTCTTACAGATGTCAGAAACAGCTTTGAAGACTCTATCAGAGAAATTCACTTTCACCTTCACATACTTCATGTTGGGAAGCTGCAGGCGGAGCAGTTTGTGCTGAGGGGTGAACTGAAGCTTAGCATCTGCCTGAATACCATACTTATCTAAGGTCCAATGTGTCTTCAGAAGCCAAGTTCTCTTCTTTTCCCACCAGAGAGCATGGTCAGACCAATCTTTTTTTACATCTATAAAAAACAAACAATAAACAAATCACTTAAAAATCACCAAGGTGATTTTGAGAAATTAAAAGCAGAAAACTAGATAATTGGGTATTTAACAGCAATAATTAACTACTAAGTTACTGTTATGTGACAGGTACAAAAGAAACATTAACAGCTGAGAAAACACGCTCTGTCCTGAAAAGCCAGTACACAAGGCAGCTGAGGCAGAATATATAGGGCAACTAAGAATGTTTGAGTCAACTACAAAATGGGACACATGGATGACAGAGAAAGTACCCTCTTATTCTCAGAAAACAGAATCCTGAGGGCTAGAATAGGAAGGATTAATAAAGACAAGGAGTTGGTGGGCTTGGAACTCGTCCTATAGGAATGGACAATAACATTCTGATGAGAAACTGAACAGACTGTGGTTTATGAAGTTGCAGAAATGTGTGAAGGTGAATAATGGGTGGTGAAAAGATGGGGAACCAAAGTGAACAGAGACCAATATCCTAGGTGAAGAGGAGGAACAGGGAAAACACCCATGAGAAACACTATAACTTAAGAGAAAGCTCTAAAAATAAAAAAATAAAAAACTACATTCTGGCCACATGTGCTCTCCCAAATAGATCCCCGAAAATGGATCTAAAGTCACACTGCCCAACATTTTTCTCTGAGCACGTTTTGGTACAAGTATAACAGGAAACATTAATATCTGTTCAACTATTTAACAGCCTTATGCAACTAAATGAAACCAAATAAAGAAAAGAATGTAATTTACACAAGATTTAGCTACCCCCAGATAAGGCAGGTCGTAACAATAAACTTGTAGCAGTAAAATCCAACTTCAACTAGTTATTTATTTACTTATGACTAGGATAGGAAGTTGGTTTTTAAAGCTGCAATCAAAGTAAAGACTGCTGGGATCAACTGTATGTTAAACTTACTAAGTGCCAAAAAAAGGGAAAGTGATGTTTCAAAAAACAAAACAAAACAAAACACACACAAAAAGAACAGGCCCAGCGTGGTGGCTCATGCCTGTAATCCCAGAACTTTGGTAGGCTGAGGCTGGAGGATCGCTTGAGCCCATGAGTTCGAGACCAGGCAAGGCAACATGGTGAAGTCCCATCTCTATAATTTTTTTTTTTTTAATTAGCCAGGCATGGTGGCATGTGCCTGTAGTCCCAGCTACTCAGGATGCTGAGGTAGGAGGATCACTTGAGCCCATAAGGTCAAGGTTGCAGCGAGCTGTGATGTGAAACTACATTCCAGCCTGGGCAAGGGAGCGAGACTCTGTCTCAAGGAAAACAACTTCCAGGGGAAGGAAAAACATGTGAATGCTGGGCACAGTGGCTCACGCCTATAATCCCAAAACTTTGGGAGGCTGAGGCGGGCAGATCACTTGAGCCCAGGAATTCAAGACCAGCCTGGACAATGTGGTGAAACCCCATCTCTACAAAAAATTAGCTGGGCATGGTACATGTGCCTGTAGTCCCTGCTACTCAGGTGGCTGAGGTGGGAAGATGGACTGAACCTGGGAGGTAGATCAAGGTTGCAGTGAGCTGTGATTGCACCACCGTACTCCAGCCTGGGTGACAGAGCGAGATCCTACCTCAAGAAAAAAAAAAGTGAATAATTTTTTGCAAATAAAAATTAAAACTATCATGCTTCTGAGATAAAGCTCATTTTAATATAGTCGTACCTTTAAAAAGAGTTTATCAACTTTAAGACATTTAAAAGTATGTATTAATCTAGAAATTGAAACACACACACACATAACTAGTCTATCCCTAAATAAAAAATCAGATTTCCACATTGATTATATGGCTGAAACACCTTCTACAATGGTGAAATTTACTTGATACGACTGAAGTTCTCATTATGGAAGAAACATGCCACAGGTAGAAAAAGACTTTCAATTCTCCAGACATTAAAAACCTATTTTAATCAATAAGTATTTTAATGGGAGAATTACGGCTACAGCTACTTGTGATCGTATTACCATTTTGAAATTTCAACATCTGTGGTTTTGGCAAAGTCCTGCCAATCATGTTATTTGAAGTTTGGCAAAAGAATGCATGTAACTGCTATTTTATAACTACTTGCTTAACAGTGATACTTAATTGTATATAGTACCCTACACCCTACTTTCTAGCACAGAATTTGCCAACTAACTTTTGGAAACAGAAAATTCTGATCTACCTTATAGAAGACAACCAAGGTTAGATGACTGATCACATATTACTTTTCTTTCCAGGAACAGAAAACTAAGGGCAGAAAAAGATAACCTGCAAAGAATGCTGGTAATCAAGTAGAGTTACTGTTGAGCTGAACTGAATGATCGGTAGGTAGTATATATAGGCTGAGCCTCCCTAATGTGAAACTCTGAAATCCAAAATGCTCAGAAAACAGGGGAAAAAAAAAAGTTTTAGACTTTAGAACATTTCAGATTTCAGATTTTTGGATTACGAATGCTCAACCGGTTAAGTACAATACAAATATTTCAAAATTCAAGATCAGAAACACTCTGGTCTCAAGCTTTCAGATAAGGAATATTCAACCTGTAATACTTTCTTTCTCACATCTAGTGTCAATGTCACCCACTAAGGAAGCTCCATCATATACTCCCCGTGGGGAGGCAAGGAGAAAAAGAGCTGTAAGAGCACTATGAGTCCACCAGCACATGTCACTTGGGTTCCTCCAGAAGGCATCCCTGACCTAAGAACTTGGGTGCAAGCAGCTTATTTGTGGGAAGGAAATCCCAGGAAGCACACTTGAGGGGATCAGTGAAAGTGAGATGGGGAGAAAAGCCAACTGGAGGTTCCTCACTGCTGTGAGCACCTGCAGTTCAGTCCTTCAGGGCATGCCTCAGAACTCTCCCACAGAGGAGAAAGATGAGGTATCTCTCCACTTCCTTGTTAAGGGTTACTCCTGGGGCCATTACATTAAAAACTCTTAACACTTCTTGGCTGCCAGCATGGGGCTGGCTGCCCTGCACTCAGGCAGAGCAAGCTCAGAGATCCCTGCACCTAAGGAAAAGAGCTTGTCAGCATGTTGGGGATCTGCCCACCAGGAGTGCAGGTGAACTACAGTGAAAGAGGGGGGCCTCCATAGCACCTGTTACAGCCTGAAAGGAATGTTTATTAAATTAAAAAAAAAAAACAGCTGTTTTATTGTAGAAGCAGGGCGCTGCAAAGACATAATAAAAGACAGGCTCAAACAATGTGGCCCAGGAGTAGGTGCTAAAACATAGAGGGCAAAGACACTAACGTGATAAGGAGCTTTTGGGTACAAAATTTACATATGGACACTAATAAAGAGGTAATGTGCCACCAACCACAAAATCTAAAGAATTTTTATAATGTGAGGTATGAAAAGGACTACTGGTCAAGAACTCGACTTTCCAAGTCAAAACTACATAAATGTGAAGCTGGAGGTTAGCAAACTATGAATGGCCCAAGGACCAAATCCTGCCTTCTGCCTTTTTATGGCTCACTAGCTAAGAACAGTTTTTGTACAGTCATGAGTCACTTAACAAGGGGGATAAGATCTGAGAAATGCGATGTTTGGCAAGTTCACTGTTGTGTGAACATCAACGAGCGTATTCACAAACCTAGACAGTATAGCCTACTACACACCTAGGTTATATGGTATGGCCTCTTGATTCTAGGATACAAACCTGTACATATGTTACTGTACTGAATGCTGTAGGCAACTGCAACACAGTGATAAATATTTGTGTAGCTAAGCATAGAAAAGGTATAGTAAAATTAAGGTATTATTAATCTTATGGGACCACGGTTGTATAGTCTGCTGTAGTTGACTGAAACACTGTTACATGGCTCCTGACTGTATTTTTAACTGGTGGGGGTTGGGGGGGGAATCCAAAGAACAGTATTTTACATAATTTTATATAAAGTTCAAATTTCAATGCCCATAAACAGTTTTATGAAACACAGCCACACTACTCTGTTCACACATTGTCTATGTCTACTTCTGCACCACAACATTAGACACAGACTGCATGGCGGCCCACAAAGCCCAAAAGCCCAAAATACCTACTATCCATACTTAAGAAAAAAGAAAGAAAAGAAAAGAAAACTTTGCAGGCCCCTGTTGTAAGCAGTGTTATCTTGCACTTAGATAATGGTACAATAAAATCTCAATTTTCCATCAATTAGGCTTCCAACTGTGACCTCAGAAACATATATCTCCCCTGATACTCATCCTTCCCTTTAAAACCTGTCCCTCCCCCATGAATTCCACCTCAGTTTCTCATCAAAGGAGCTATCAACCTGCACCCACCAAGAGAAGGGGATAGGATCCAAAGATTACATACTGGACATCCTATGAGTGGTCCGTTTACCCACAGAAAAAAAATAAGCTCTCTTACTGACTGGCAACGCTGGTAAAACTAGTCTTTTTTACCCAGAGAAACTAGTGGATGAGTAACAATATAGAAAAAAAATTACACAAAATAAAAGCAGAAATAGGAGACCAGAAAAAAATCAGAAGTGTCAATACCACTCATGGCAAAAGATAAAAACAGAAAAGTAGGTGTTCTGACAGCGAAGTAGAAGACAGTGTTAGAAGATGGGTAAGCTGGACTGTGGGGGCTTGTGACTTATGTTCAAATACTGGGCTTTTCAGTAGCATTCCTGAAGACTCAACACACTACCAACCTAGTCAGCACTACTTGCAGAGTAATCACTACCACAGAATAAGAACATCAGACGTGCTGAATTCGTGAATTCAACAAATACCTGTTGAACATGTACTGTGTGCAAGAAGGCACTGTTCTAGTGCTAGAGATATGATGATGAACAAAACAAAGTTCCAGCACCATTGAGGGAGACCAAGGTGGCTAGAGGAGAGGAAATGGAGATCAGCAGGAGGTGGCATCAGAGAGCCAGGCAGGAGCCTTGTAGGTCACAGTGCATGGTTTAGGTGTTACTATGTATGAGATAAGGCCCTAGAGCAGTAGTTTTCTGCCTGATTGGCATTAGAATCATCTGAGCAGCTTTTAAAAAATACTGATGCCTGGCCCCACCCTAAACTAGGGCTATTTTGGTTTGTGAACAGCTGTCTGTATTTTTTTTATGGGCAGATACTCCACCACCTTGGTGACATCTCTCAAACCAAATATATCAGAATCTCTGTGGGTCTAGGAAATGGTTTTAAGCAGTAGTCACTTGTTTCAAAATCATTACTGATAATTTTGAAGAAGTGTGGTGATGGGGGTATGCAAGAGTTCACTCTTGCAAGAGAGTGTGCAAGAAGTTAATGTGAGAGTGGAAATGACAACCATTTCAGTTATAATGGTTGGGAGGTGAGGAAGTACAAATAAGAAATACAGAAAACTTTTCCTGGATATTTTACTGCAGCAAGGAGAATAATAGCGATCAATAGATAGAATAATAGCTGGTAAATACACAGAATAATAGCTGGTAGATAGAAAGGAAATGGCAGACCCAAGGAGTATTTTTAGCTTCATTTTTAAAAAGGGAAAGCTATTACAGCATTATTTTAAAAGTGGCTGAAATGATTTCGTATTTCAGATCATTTATAATTATTTATAATTATCATTCACTAATTTGCCCTTCAGCAGAGTATCACTTCAAAACTTCCTAAAGACCCGACTGAGCCCCCTCAAACAGGCAAAGCAATGTTTTCCCAACTTCCAGAAAATTAGCTCTTTCTTTGGTGCTGGCTTTATATCACACTACCTATCTTATTTTGAAACTAACAGTATCTCCATATCAAGTCACACAATTGGCTCTGCTCAGACTATCACAAGAACATACCTATTCTATTCATTAGTAGCAAAAACAAATTGTATACACTGATGAAAATCCTGAGAAAAATGATGGTACACCAACTGAGAAGCATTTGCCCAGGCAAGCATAAAAACTAACTGCACATCAAAAAGTACTTAAAGGCCAGGAGCGGTGGCTCACACCTGTAATCCCAGTATGTTGGGAGGCCAAGGTGGGCAAATCACTTGAGGTCAGAAGTTGGAGTTTGAGACCAGCCTGGCCAATATGGTGAAACCCCATCTCTACTAAAAATACAAAAATTAGCTGGGCCTGTTGGTGCACACCTGCAATCCCAGCTACTTGGGAAGGCTGAGGCAGGAGAATGGCTTGCACCCAGGAGGCAGAGGTTGCAGTGAACCAAGACTGTGCCATTGCACTCCAGCCTGGGCAACACAGCAAGACTCTGTCTCAAAAAAAAAAAAAAAAAAAAGCACTTAACTGCACAAATTGTGTATATAGGTGTGTGTGTGAGGTAGTTTATCTCGATGCAGCAACTCTTTTTTCGTTTGAGATGGAGTCTTGCTCTGTTGCCCAGGCTGGAGAGCAGTGATGTGATCTCAACTCATTGCAACCTCCACTTCCCGGGTTCAAGTGATTCTCCTGCCTCAGCCTCTGGAGTAGCTGGGACTACAGACAGGCACCACCACACCCAGTCCAGCTAATTTTTGTATTTTTAGTAGAGGCTGGGTTTCACTCTGTTGGCCAGGCTGGTCTTGAATTCCTGACCTCAAGTGATCCAACCCCCTTGGCCTCCCAAAGTGCTGGGATTACAGGCATGAGCCACCGCGCCCGGCACAGATGCGGTAACTCTTGAAAGCACTTAGTTATCTAGTGTATTACAGCACAGCTTGTCTCTAAAGTGGCAAGTTAAATCATAACAGACTATGCAACTGTAACTTGAAAAACCCACTATGTGCAGAACAGATTTCAGACATCCACACATTGAAGCTTTCCTCTAGCTAAAGACTGAGTAGAAGCATGAACACATTATGATGACTTTAAAATACTTACGAATAATGGCAAGCAAATGAAAATACTACTGTATCACTAAAGTAGTGGTTTAGTTTTCCATGTGGCATCAAAATCCATAATGAAATAACTGTTGATATTCCCTGAATTTGCATAAACTAAAGCTTTGGAAAACTTTCCATACAGGAACTCCCTTACATGTTCTAATCTAGACTCTGGACTATGTTCTAAATAAACATTTCTGATTTCCAGAATGGCAGGCTTGGTATTTCAAACATTAGATGACCAAGTGCAACACACACACACACACACACACACACACACACACACACACACACTCAGCCTGGCACTTGGCCAGAAGTTAGCAAACATCACCGGAGTAGATTCATTCATCTGCATTATAAAACCATTCAAGGCATAGACTACGCTCAAAAACTTGCTCTGAGAGTCCATTTCTCCAAGGTCATGATTTTCAGTTATCCTCCAGGTACAGGCCAACTTTTATTCAGTATATCTTATATTTTAAATTTTGATGTTAAACTTTCAGAAGTAACCCATCACAAATACAAGCTTTCTCAAAAAGGCTCGGGGGTGGGGCGTGGGGGGTAAAAAGCTGTACTATTATGAAGCCATCACTTGTTTTCCTTCTCTGGGGAAGAAAAGGGATTTTATGATTTACTTATAAATTTGGCTTGTTTAGTAATTCTTTTAAGACAAGAACTACTTATAGTTTACTATACCTAGCAAAATTCTAACTTCTATAATAAATTTTAGTAAAATATCTTAATTCTTCAAAACATTTTGCCAGCATTCTGGAAAGAATTATTTCTGTGTCCCTCCTCCCTTATTTAACAGATCCCATCACACCGTATCACGTGCACATAACAGTATCTGACAGACACTCAAACTCCTATCATTAACATTGCAAATTGCTACAACATTGACTGAATCAACAAAAATATCCTCCCTCAACTGTAACAGAATGCTCCTCAAATTCAGAAAGTGGTCGTACACTTGCTTTACAAATAAACATCTGTGTATTCTAAGGAACAGAAGGCTTGGGTTTCTCATCATTAGAGGCTGAGTAAATATTGCTTAGTCTACCAAACAGCTTTTGGTATCACAGTGCTCTCCCACTCCATGAGTCACCAAAAAGAAAAAAAAGAAAAAAATACATATTTCAAAGCTTTTTGCTAGAGAAAATATTATGCCCCACTTTATGCAATTCCAGCTTGCTTACACTTAGAAAATATGAGCACAGAGAAGGGAGACATTATTGAAAACATCCTATTTAATGTTTTCCTAATAAGATTACCAATTCCTACTTGACTGTTTGGATACAGGCTACTAAGACGCAATTATTGGCCAGGCTCACGTCTGTAATCCCAACACTTTGGGAGGTTTGAGGTGGGTGGGTGGCTTGAGCCGAAGCGTTCAAGGCCAGCCTGGGCAACATAGCAAAACCTCATCCCTATA
This sequence comes from Homo sapiens, assembly GCF_000001405.40. NCBI lineage: Eukaryota > Metazoa > Chordata > Mammalia > Primates > Hominidae > Homo > Homo sapiens. Next base: position 52,927,594 of record NC_000014.9, read on the forward strand.
AAAAAAAAAAAAAAAAAAAAAAAAAAAAAATCCAGGCATGGTGGCCTGTGCCTGTGGTCCTAGCTACCTGGAGGCTGAGGTGGGAGGACCCCTTGACTCTGGGTGGTCAAGGTTGCATAGAAAGTTGATCAAATCCCACTCCTGTTGTTTCTGCACGAGAGCTGGAGCCTATGCCTTACCACACATCCATGGATATGCCCCAGATTTGACTTGGGCCTTCAAACTTTGCACAGTGGCTGCTACTAACTTTTTGAGATAATATTCAGATTCCTGGAGACTCAGTTCTGCCTCATCTAAACCACCAGAGACCAAACAAAGACCAGCCCAATACCTCTTGGACTTTATTTAATGCCATAATGTTGTCAGACTAAAGAGAAAAATGAAGTAATTCTTTTTTAAAAAAAGAAAGTTGATCAAATAACTTACTTTTTCTTACCTTAAGTAACCACATCTTAAAAATAAGTAAGCAACTTAGAGTTTGGAATGAAGAGGAGGTTAAAATATTACTTTTAGGGAGGATAAATTTCTAGTTGCATATTTTTAAAGTACTAATTCAGGAAAGAAATGCAAAATTTGTTTAGTATTCTCACACGTCCATAAACTAGAAGCAAAGTTTACATTAGATAATCTTTGCTAAGGCAACATGTCATTGTGACTTATAAGCACAGATAACTTTTCTGGGCACGTGACTTATTTCTGATAAATATATACTTTTGTACTCTGCTAATATTGTAATTCTCTGTACCATTTACTTTTGTTTTAGGATCCTCTTGAGCCCCAAATGAGATATAACTATTACCATAATCAAGAGTTGACTGGAGGTAAAGAACACTACAATCCCAGTGTTCTAGTGACAAAGCCACTAAAGAAGCTGGTTCTGACCTACTGTAAGCAAGCCATGCAGACTCAGCAGACCAGAAAACGTCTTTCTCCTGCTTTTCAGGCTACTTGCTCATACCATTTACCTATACCACTTAGTTGCTCATCTATTAAACTTAGAGGACTTTTCCCTCTTTCATTTCATAGCCAGGCAGACTGCCCAAGACACCCTTGGGGAAACCTACTATTTTTTTCTGTCTACCACGGTGTTTCGAACTTCTCACACTTCTGAGAATCCTCCTCCTTCTCAGTAGACAACCATGGATTCTACTGCAGAAAACACAGAAGCCATCAGATTCAAACTCTTTCACCTTCACGCCAACCCATCTATAAGCCTTCTTAAATTTGTACCCAGATGGGCCTCCTGTCTTTGTGTTAACATGAAAAAGTGTCTCTTCCTGTCTATCTAAAGCCAATCCCACCTCCTACGCTCTGCTGCCCTTCCCATCTTCTAGGAACCGTGTGCTTCTTTCCTTACATTGGCTCTCCAGGTGTCTCATCCATTCTCATAGCTTTAAAAGACACTTATTTTCGTCACTGGTGTCAGCAGCCCAACCTTCTACTCAGACGCCAGCCTATACACCCTACTGCCTATCTCACATCTCTTCTTGATGTCCCACAGATAACTCAATTTATCTAAAATGTAACCCAATTTTTTTTCTTATCCCTACTCTTATTATACTAACTAGCACCAACCGTCAACCCAGTTGCTCAAGCTAGGAATCTGAAAGTCATTGATTTTCGCTTTCCCTCATTCCTTACATTTATCAGCAAACTGTCAAATCCACTTCCAAAAATCTCCACTCCAGTCTCCACTGGCACCACCCTATTTCAAGCTGCCATCATCTCTTGCACTGACTACTGCCACAGCCTCCTAACTGGTCTCCTTCATTCCATTCAGCACTTTGCATACAACAGCCAGAGTCATCTTTTCAGCGCTTTCATGCCATTCCCCTGCTGAAAATCCTTTGCAACTGCTTCTAACTGCACTTAAATAAAATCCAAATGCCGTATCAGGTCTACAAAGCCCCACACAATACAGCCTATCTACTCCTCCAAATTTATCCTGTGCTACTCTTCCTTTGCTCCAGCCACACTGGCCTTTTTTAGTTCTAAGAATCATATAACTAAGCTCTTTCCTGCCGCAGTGCCCTTGTACATGCTACTCCACTCCTGGAATGTCTAACTCTCTCTCATCTTTCAGGTTTTAGCATTAATTCCATATTCTCAGAGAAGCCTTTTTTAGCTACCCTAGCCCTCCAATGTCCTATGTCCCCCCATACTGTTGTATTTCAGTATCCTGTGATATCACTGATCAAAATTTATATTCATTTTGTTTGTTGTTGGTGGGTGGGGGAGGAGGGTGCTATCTTTCTTTCCTAATAGATTATAAACTGTCTAAGAAGACAAAGGCAATGTCTATTTTGATCACCATTGTATTTTCAGCACCTAGCACAGTGCTGGGCAGGCAAGAAATATTTAACAAATGAATTAATCCTCCTTTTGAAAATTTTAAAGATCTCTCATTACTCAAAACAATCTCAACAAGAAACTTATTTTTAAACCATCAATAAAAGCAAATACAAGTTTTACTAATTTATAATTAGTAAAATTATAATTTACTAATACAAGTTGTATGTCTGAAGAATCCATTTTATCTTCAACTTCAGAATTAAAATATACTTCAATACTAACTAGAAGAGTGGCAGAGATTCCCCTAGAAAAAGGAAATAAAACTGAACAGACATCCTGTTCTCTCTCACATCTTCTAAAAAGAATGAATTTCTTTGCTCAAGACAATCTCTATTGTGCAAAGTGTTTATGTTCTAAAAGTCCACTTGTAAGTCTGAGAATTCAGATTCATCACAGAAAAACACTACATAGTTAGGTTCCAAATCATACAATAAATTACCCAACCAAAAATAACCTGACCTATATGACTAGCAACACTCTACCTTACCAACTGTATCATAAAGCCTTTTGCAGAATGTTTCAACTTGAGAAGTAAGAAAAACTGCAAGCAATGGCACCTGCAGAGAGTGAGTTGGATGGGGTAAGAAAGGGAATGCTGCTGCCAAGTTGTGAGGGAGACAATGGCTTCCTGAGGAATATCAAATTGTAGGGCACCTGGCTACTCCCTAGTCATCTTTCCCAGAATACCAAGAATTAACCTATTTCCAGTTTCCCAGATACAATTTGTTGTTGTCTTAGGCCTGGGTTTCTTTTCTTTACTAAACGATGACAATAGAAGAGTTTTTAACTTGCTTTCCTTTCCAATGCCTGAAACTCTTCTGATGTTTCTACTGAGACTCTATTGCCAATAATGTGTAAAGACAGGGCCTACAAGTAAAATTAATGCTTAAGTTTGTAAAAACGATGTTTATAATATTATCCTTAATATTGATTGAAATGTAAAGGACACTAGACATTAATCTCAATATTCAATCATACATTGTCTTTACTCTTGACCCCTTTAGGTCTTTCTCCTCCCAAACTTCTCTTTCGATTTTAGAGTTGGGGATCATGGGGCATCCTGCTTTTAGGATGTGCCCTCCTGTTCTGATCTCTTTAGTCACTCAGACCTTTAAAAAGCGAAAGAGGAGGCAAACAGATGAAGAGTGTGGCTCTTCAGGTGTATAATCAATGCACTAATTAATAAATACTTTCCAAGTAACTATCATATGCCAGGCACTAAGTTGGGCAATGGAATATAAAAATTAATAAGAATTACCATCCCAGTGGCACTTACAGTCCAAGTGAGAGACACAGACAAGTAAAATGAGCTAAAAATATAAAAGAACAAAATGTCACAGAGGCAACCAACATTAAACGTGAAAGATTAATTAGGTTAACATGGCATTTTTACCTGGGTCTTAAAAGATGTGGGAGTTCAAATGTGCTAAGAGAAACCATCCTGTAGACAATGGAGGCTCTCAGATTGTTTTATTAACATAATTTTGATTTGATTATGAAGCACAAATTAGAGTCTGGCAGAAAATTTACCACAACATTCTAGAGAGCAGGGCCTGACATAAGGCAGAAGGTGAAGAGAAGGAGGCAAATATGAGGGAGTTGTCTAAGCTAGAATCATGGGTCTCAAGGACACTGATTTCAGATGAGAGAGGACAGCTGGAAGGTGAAGAGGGGAAGCTAGAAAGTTCCTAGCTTGATAATTAAATAGATGATAATAGCACTAAGATTTGTTTACTGAACATTTAGTATGTACCAAGCACTTAACACATTCTCATTTAATTCCAACAAAAAATGTTAAAAGGGGCGGGCGCGGTGGCTCACGCCTGTAATCCCAGCAACTCCGGGAGGATGAAACAGGCGGATCACCAGGTCAGGAGATAGAGACCATTCTGGCTAACATGGTGAAACCCTGTCTCTACTAAAAATACAAAAAATTAGCTGGGTGTGGTAGCACACGCCTGTAGTCCCAGCTACTCGGGGGGCTAAGGCAGGAGAATCACCTGAACCTGGGAGGCAGAGGTTGCAGTGAGCCCAGATCGTGCCACTGCACTCCAGCCTAGGCGACAGAGCGAGACTCCGTCTCAAAAAAGAAAAAGAAAAAAATGTTAAAAGGTAAATACTATTATAATCTCTTTGTTTTATAGATGAGAAAACGGGGGGTGGAGCCAAAGGACAGAGAAGTTACATAACTTGGCTAAAGTTCATAAAGTTAGCATATGTAGGAATTAGGATTTGACTCTAGATGAGTGTGATTTCAGAGGTGGCACTCTTAAATTACATGCCATTAGCCAAGATAAAGTTACGCAGAAGAGAAGCAAGTCTGGGTATGTTGAATATGAGGCCAAAAGACTAATGTTAGGACTCATTTACATTTCACAGTAAAATCCTGATGATTATCCTGCACATCTCTTAAGGAAATAGGTATTTAGGAGAAAGAAGATAGAACATCCACAAGGAGGCAAAGAGATTATTAAATAAAGGAATATTTTTATTATGCATGTCTTTCTCTGATTTAATAATGGCAACCACAGACAAACTCAAAGAGGTTATGGTTAGCAGCCATATAACTACTTGAAGAATGCATATACTAATATGCAAAATTAAACAGACTTTGAAACAACCAAAGAACACAAATGGCTATGAATGCAAAGAAGCAATTAAGAAAAATAATAACAATAATGTACTCACTTTTGGTTTTATACTAGAAATTAAGACTTCTACTGTCCAAAAATAATTGGAATAACTTCTGAGTCATTCCTCTCTTCCTTAAGACTGTTCATTGGTAATTAGATTATTCTAGAAAGACCAGAAGTGAATTCCTAAATTACTCTTAATCTATTTCTAGAGGGACAACCCTCCCTTCTAGAACTACTCTGTATTCTAGAGGAAAAGAATTCTCAACAGTGCAATCTACAACACTATCATCCAGGACCTAACTGAAGTTTTTATAATATGAGTTTCCACAACCATGAAAAACAGGAAAAGAATACCCAACATATACTTTTGAACTCTGCTGAATCTTATTCTCTCATATAGCGTTATTATTAATCAACAAAATGTAAAACAACAAAGAAATGAACAAAAAAAAACACTGGCGATGAAGCATACAAATATTTCCTCCCTATACTTCTGCCCCCACCCCATCCAGCAAAGTAAGGAAAGGCCTACACCAAGATCACAGAACAGTCATTATAGTAATCTAATCCTTATATCTTTGAAATTAGATAATATGTATCTCTACAAGTTATATTTTACTTTTTCCTCTCCCTCAGCTTTTCTTTCCATCCAAGTATTACGGAGTCTATCCCTTAAGCAGCTGTTAATTTGTTCCTTCCTTTCCTTTTACATTGCCTTAGTTCAGGTCCCCAACATCTCTACCCTGAATTACTATAACACCATTTTTTACAACACTATCCAGAGTTGTCTCTTAAAATGCAAACTTGATCAGTTTATTTGTCCACTTAAAAACTTTCCAAGTCTGGGCCAGGCACGGTGGCTCACGCTTGTAATCCCAGCACTTTGGGAGGCTGAGGTGGGGGGGAATCACCTAAGGTCGGGAGTTCGAGACCAGCCTGACCAACATGGAGAAACCTCGTCTCTACTAAAAATACAAAATTAGCCGGGCATGGTGGCACATGCCTGTAATCCCAGCTACTTGGGAGGCTGAAGCAGGAGAATTGCTTGAACACTGGAGGTGGAGGTTGTGGTGAGCCGAGATCACGCCATTGCACTCCAGCCTGGGCAACAAGAGCAAAACTCCGTCTCAAAAAAAAAAAAAAAAAAAAAAAAAAAGGGAAAAGAAAAAAACCCCAAAACTTTCCGAGTCTGTTACTGAAGTATCTTATAATCCGTTAACAGGTTCCACAAATCTGTGCCCCACATTGCCTTTTTCTAGTAGCTCTTACCACACCCAGATGCAGCTTTTGTTCTGGCCTAGTTTGTGGAACAAGCTGGTGTTTCAGATCTCCTTGATAGGCACCTTTTCCTTTCCCCCTTTATCAAACTGGCAAAATCATGCACCAGTACCAGCTCAAATATTACCACCTCTGAATCTTCACTGACCCACCTGTCAAAGCAGCAAAGTATACCTTAGCACTTTGAATGATATAATTCATTTATGTAACTAATTTCCCCACTAGATTAAGTCTTTATCCTGTGTCTCAAAAGCAGAGACCAGAACTAATAAATATTTATAAACTACTACTTGTAATATACAAATATTTGTAATATACAGGCAGCATGTAAAGCAATCTTAATAATCAATTGAAAAATTATAATTATTCCAAGATAAAAGTTCATGTTAAAAACATTAAAAACTCTTACTGTTGATTATAAATGTACATATGGAAATGGAAAAAATAGCAAAACTAGTGTTTATTTAGTGTACTGTAATTAAAACATTAAAAACATTGAGAAGTGTTACTTTTCTTTGTGAAAACTTAACAAGAATAGCTTAAATAGTGCTTGTCTTCTAATCATATAATTTATGATGTGGAGCAAGTATCTTTTATGCCTTGGCAAGCTGTCACACTCCTTCCTAAGTCTGGATCAACTTAAAACATTTTGTCCTTTGCTCTTTCAGTATCATGAAATATCTCTGACAGCTCCTTCAGTATGCAAAGTTTTTGCTAGTGTCACTTCCTCTGGGACATCTTCATCCTTTTTGTCATACCACTTGTATCATGTATGTAAGTTTACCTTCACTAAATTCCTTTGGCTGTATATCTATAGTCTTTCAAATGGTGAAAGCATCCACATTTCCATGGTGAGCTATTTCTTCTTTAACTCCATTTATATTTGATTCAACTATCACTTCTAGTATTTCATGAACACTTTTTGTTAATTCATTGCAGTTTTATCTCTGTTGGTCAACTCTTTCAATTATCCATTTTTTTAAAACATCATGAGTTTCTCATGGGGGACAGAGAGGCAACACTAACACTTCTGTGTGTGAACTGTATGCACAGTGGCCAATCACAGATAGACTTTGAAATAAGTGACATGACTTGTCACTGACTGTGATGAGCTTCTGTTATTTACATAGTGCTTTGTGGACTGAAGAGTTAGCCAGCAAGTTTTGTACTTTATGCAGTTACATCTTAGTTAATGTATAAAGTTAAAAGATAAAGTATGGTGGCAACTAAAATGTGAGCCATGTTGTTAGACAATTAGTGTTATTTAATAAGTAAACGTGCAAATTGCAACGTCCAAAGTGCTGTTTTCAAAAATGTCTGATGTCATATTAAAAAAAAAGTTTTTAATCTGCTAGCAGAAGCTGTAAACTTCAAAGTTTACATATCATTCAAACTGCAAACATATTTCAATTAAGGTACCCCATTCCATTTTAGGTTAAGGAAATTATTTTACATTAAGGCTCCAATGGCTAACTGAGGCAGTGTCAAATTATGGGAAACTGCTATGGACTAAATGTTTGTGTCCCCCCAAATTCATATGTTGAAATCCTAATCCCCAATATGATGGTATCTGAAGATGGGGCCTTGGGGAGGTAAATCAAGTCATGGAGGTGGAGTGCTTCTGGTGGAACTGGTATCCTTAGAAGAAGAGACAGAAGACAGCTGGTTTCCTATCTCTCCTTCTTTCCCTCCTCCATGTGAGGAAACCAGGAATAGGGTCCTCACTGGAAACCAACCATGCTGACATCCTGATCTTAGATCTGGCAGCCTCCAGAACTGTGAGAAATAAGTGCTTACTGTTTAAGCCACCCAGGATATGTTATTTGTTATGGCAGCCCAAGCAGACTAAGACAGAAACTAAACCTCTAACGAAAAGTGACAAATTGCAATTTCTTCTACATAGCTAGTTGAAAACTGGGGAATTCACTCTTCAAAATAAAGAGATCAACTAAGTTTACAAATAGCCTTTTGAAGTTACGAATCTGAGATAATGTCTATCAATTTCAATCTATTATCCGATACTATAAGACATACTAACTCAAAGCAGTTAAGAAGTTTTTTTCAGATCACATAAGCCATGCAAGCAGTTACAGAATGCATAAACAGAAAGTATGCCAATTATTAATTTCCAGAGGGTGGGTAACTTTCTATCCAATCCTGAAGGCTGGCTTATTGCTAATTTGGTTCAACCTGGCTTCATTCCTAGAAGACAGGGCTCGGAGTCCATGCAATGAAAAGGTCTGACAAATTCTAAGAGAGTAACATCAGGACAAAATTCACCAGTTAGTATTGGACTTAGAGAAGTATTAGTTGTGTTTGTGTTTTAAATGTGATCAATGACACTAGCTATTCTAAAGTTCAAAAGAAAAGCAATTTAGTAAGAATATTTAATTGGCTTTTATGTTGTAAGCTTATCTCAGAAAATATTAACAAATTCTAATATAAAACTTCAATGTATACTGGAAAAATTATTTCTTGAAATCCAAGAGGATTATCATTGCTTACACCTTATCTGCAAGTTATTTTATATGAAACTGATGAATTTCCAATGTGTAAAAATCTGATGTCTCCCCCTATTTAAAGTCTTTTATGGGCATCTCACAGCTCTGGGGATAATGCTAAATCTTTTAAACCTGGTTCAGAAAGCACTTTAGCATTATTTCTTCTTGAGCCTCACGTCAAGCCACTGGTTCCCTAGGATTGCTCCCCCATCATCACCAGACTTCTTTCAGTTCTTCAACTGGCCACACTCCCTTGCTCCACTTCCCATGCTGGGAATTCTCATCCTCTTCCCAGCCTGTTGTTCTGTCATCCTATCCCTTACCCACATCTCCTCCCATTTTTTGCCTGGCTAATTCCTACTCTCAGATCTCAGCTTAAAAGTCATTTCCCTCCCTCCACAAATCCTATCCTATATGCTAGGTTCCAGTTGCCCAGTACAGAATCCTATAACTATTTCAATTACCATAATACTCACTACATTATAGTAATTACTATTTAAGGATTGTCTTTAGGTCGGGAGCAGTGGCTCATGCTTGTAATCCCAACACTCTGGGAGGCTGAGGTGGGCGGATCACCTGAGGTCAGGAGTTGGAGACCAGCCTGGCCAACATGGTGAAACCCCATCTCTACTAAAAAAAAAATACAAAAAAATTAGCCAGGCATGGTGGTGCGTGCCTGTAATCCCAGCTACTCAGGAGGCTGAGGCACGAGAATTGCTTGAACCCTGGAGGTGGAGGTTGCAGTGAGCTTAGATCGTGCCACTGCACTCTAACCTGGGCAACAAAGCAAGACTCTGTCTTAAAATAATAATAATAATAATGATAATAATAATAAAGACTGTCTTTACCTTACGACTGCAAATAGAGTGAGGGTTAAGGAATGAGTTAATTTTGTTCACCCCAGTTTGTAGTATAGTCTCTGGCATCCAATAGGCTCTCATTTATAAATATTAAGTGGATAAGTTAAGGAATAACAGAATATCGTTTCACAGTTACCTATGTCTTTCTTCTCTATAAGCTTTTCTTCTATTTCTCTAAGCTAGTCTATAATACACCATGAACACTGCAATCCCCAACCTGGAATGCCTTTCTTCCTAACTTTCCACCCTGTCTCTCTTTAAATAAGGCCAGTTATTACTCACGACTCTAAACCTCTGTCTTCCTGTATTCAAGGGCTACTTATTTGGCACTTCTCAATCAGATCATTGACTCAAAGTAATTTTCTTGTTTCACTTTGTTACTAGCAAGCTGCTCATATTGAGAGCCGGGACTATGCCTCACCATATAATAGTTGGCTCTCCGTAAATGTTTGTTGCTGCTACTACAGTCCAGTTCATGTACCTTATATTCCCACACGTCTCATGTTATACCTCTATAACCTACCAAAAATAGAGCATGAATGTATAGAATTATCTCTATGCAGGAATGTTTACACATCAATGTCCCATCTCACCTAAGGGCCTTCTTTGCTATTTTAAGTTCTGTAAGGAATTTACTGCCCAAACTCATTAAGGATCCTCAATAAATTTACTGCCCAAACTCCAAAAGGATCCTCAATAAAACAATTATTAGTCTAACTACTACTTACTATGTGCCAAGAACTGCTCTAAGTGCTTTACACATGTGTCTGCATTTAATCCTTACGACAACCCTAAGTGGTAAGATTACTACACTTATTTTGTTTATAAGGACACTAAGTTGCGAAGATGTTAAATAACGTGGCACAGGGTCACAAAGCTTGTAAGTACTGAAGCTGGTATTCAAACCCAGTCAGTGACTTCAAGGAATGTATTCAGACACTTCACAACCACTAAACAGAATTTACAAAGGCAAGAAAATCTTTTAAAATGGTTTCAGCAAGAGATTAAATAAGAAGGGGTTTATGGTTAAATACTACATAAATAAAATGAAAACAAAGCAATCAGAATACTGAAAATCACAGTTGAAATTTATATTTTAAGTTTACATGGTATTTGAAGGATAACTGTAGATTACATTTTATTGAGCTCTTAGTATAGTCATTCTACTAATTATCAAGAATTGTTAATCCTTTAAATACCATATTTAGTCAATACATTAGCCCCCAAAACAAGTAAACTAAAGCTAAGTGAGACTAAATAATCAGAAGTTAAAATAACTTGCCCAAGGTCATATGTAACCAATAAGTTGGCCACATCTTAGAGTAAGTTCTTAGTCGCTAACAAAGTTCACTTAGTTTTTTTTTGAGACACAGTCTCACTCTGTCAACCAGGCTGGAGTACAGTGGTGCGATCTCGGCTCAGTGCAACCTCCACCTCCCAGGTTCAAGTGATTCTCCTGCCTCAGCCTCCCAAGTAACTGAGACCATAGGCATGAACCACCACACCCAGCTAATTTTTGTATTTTTAGTAGAGTCAGGGTTTCGCCATGTTGGCTGGGCTGGTCTCCAACTCTGGCCTCAAGTGATCTGCCCATCTTGGCCTCCCTAAGTGCTGTAAAATTCACCTTTTAAAGAAGGTATTTGTCTAACCAGAATATTGAATTTATGGAAACACTCCCTATCTTAGCATAGTGAGTCTATAATTTTGTATATGTGGAAGCATAAAATCTGCTTCTAGATGATCTTCATACTTTAATTCTTTATAGTATTACTAATAATGATGCAAAGTAGCACAATAAACTTAAAATCAATTCCTAATATGGTAAAGAGTATGTCAGACCTATTTGGCTTCTGGCTGGGTGTGGTGGCTCACGTCTGTAATCCCAGCATTTTGGGAGGCAGAGGTGGGTGGATCACTTGAGGTTAGGAATTCAAGACCAGCCTGGCCAACATGGTGAAATCCCATCTCTACTAAAAAAAAAAAAAAAAAAAAAAATACAACAAATAGCAGGGCATGGTGGTGCGTGCCTGTAATCCCAGCTACTCAGGAGGCTGGGGCACTAGAATCGCTTGAACCTGGGAGGTGAAGGTTGCAGTGAGCTGACAGCACATCACTGCACTCCAGCCTGGGCGACAGAGTGAGACTACGGTCTCAAAAAAAAAAAAAAAAACAAAGAACTATTTGGCTTCCTTTTAAAAGGCACATTCTCAATCTTTTATAATACTGGTATTTATCTGGCTCAGCACAGGGAGAAAATCTACAAACACTAAAATAGCTGGAACTGTAATTATCATCATAGCTACATTTACAAAAACTATTCTAAACACTTCATGTGTATTAACTAACATAATCCTTATAATAATCCAAAGATACTGTTATTATCCCCATTTTCCAGATGAGGAACCAGAGGCACAGACAGGTCACACAGCCCAAGGTCATACAGCTAGTATATGGTCAAGTCAGGATTCTGACGTGGGTGGGCTGCCTCTCAGTCTATGCTCCATACCAAGGGCATTCCATCTTGGCAACAGAAATCATTGCCACCTTGCATAAGACTTTTAACATTGATACAGGAATCATCTGCTTTTTTCAAGTTATTTTTAATTTCAAAGGTTATAAAATTCTTAGATCTGAACCCAGGAACTACATTAAGGAACATTAAGCTGGGAAGCACTTACCCAGTAGACAACTTCATCTACAATCAATAATGCTAGCACTTTATTGGTGTTTTATTCATAACCCTGAGTATTCCATTAAGAAAAAGATATCAAAAACATCATTACACTGATGCTTTGAAATTATAATTGATTTTTTAAATACCTAATGTATTTTTTAGTTACAACATGATGTAAAAATAAGACAGTTAAATATCTGAGAAAAGACTCCCTTCCGATTCTAAAGTAGATGTCACCTTCTCTGGGCTGGAGGTTATCAGCCCAATAACCTTGATATGTGTAGAAAGGTCACCCCAAGGATGCACTGACACTGGCTGGTCCTTATGTATCTAAATGACAGATAATTAAGTCTGAAACCTGAAACCTGAATCATGGAAGGAAATCAAAACGTAAACCTCAAATTTTAATCATTTACTGCTTATCTCTTTTTCTCATATACACGAATTCACTTCCAAGCAGCATTAATGAAGTTGAGAGAAAATACCATAAGACATCATTTTCAATTAACTTTCAAAATGTTTTACTATGTAACTCTAGGTGAGTTACTATGAACAATTAATTATTCATAATATTCTCAAAGAAGGGAAATAGATCAGGATTTGTATACTGACCCTTTAATCCACAAGAGTATGGCTGTAGATATATTTAAAGACATTCAGATATCTTCAGATACTGTTTATGTATCTTCTACTTTAGAGTTACCACATTTGAAGAACTATTTTCAAAGAATCCTAATACATTACACATTCCAAAGAGACAGGAACAAACTTAAATGATAGTTTATTCTGTGTTATCTATACTGAGATTCTAGAAATTGAAAAACTGACTTAGCCAGTAGGTTAGTCATTATGGAAATGCAAATTAAAATCACAATGAGATAGTACTACTTACTTATTAGAATGGCTAAAATTAAAACAAACGACACTAAATTCTGACAGTAACAAGGGTAGGGTAGACCTGACAGCAACTGGAACTCTCATACAATACTGACAGGAAAGTAAAGTGACGTGGCCACTATGAAAAAGTTTGGCAGTTTCTTCTAACTTCAAGCATATACTTACTATACCACCCAGCAATCCCACACCTAGGTAGTTACCCCAGAAAAATGAAAATATGCATTCACACGGATGTTTACAGCAGCCTTATTCATCATCTCCTAAAACTGGGAGTAACCCAAATGCCCTTCAATTGCTAAATGGACAAACTGTGAAATAATCCATTCAATGGACTACTACTCAGTGATAAAAAACTATTGATACAAACACATGAACGAAGCTAACATGTATTATGCTAAGTGAAAGAAACCAGATTCAAAGAGCTAGAACTGAATGGTTCCATTTGCAGGCCATTCTAGAAAAGGCAAATTATCACTGGTTTTTAGGATCTGGGTTTGAGGCGATGAGACGGTTACAAAGGAAACTTTTGGGAGTACTGTAAAAGTTTTCTATCTTGACTGTGGTAGTTTTACATGTCAAAACTCAGAATATTATACTAAGAAGGATAAATTTTACTATATGTCAATCAGACCTCAATGAGCCTGACACTAAGAAAAAAAATTAACAGGAAAAACAATTATATAGTAATTATGCAACTAATTTGTTAAAGAATGAATTATAACGAATATGAATTTGTAACCACAAACCCAAGTGCAGAAGTCACACTTCTTAATTACAAAATAAAAGAATTATTTAAAAATACACTTTCAGATGTATTTGTTTACTTCTCACTGGGCATATATACCAATTTTAAATGTTCCATGGCATAAGCATTAATTTGTCAGTAAAATAATTATTTAAATAGGAATACTGCATACATTAGCTTTTTTCTGAAACTACTTTCATTAGTTTCTAAATAGGCCCAATGTTTTCATGTGCCTTTGCTATAAATGAACTAAAAACACTGCTCTTATAGAATATATTAAGTAGAGAATTAATTTACTACTGATGCTTTCATGGTTTTAGATTTTTCAAATACCTGGAATACCATCATCCACTTATTGGTCCCCTGCATTTCAGAAATCTTATTAAAATGGTACTTAAATAGCTCTCTTACACTGCAGAGGCAGGTGTGTGTTTGGAAGTTGGCGGGAAAGTAAAATGACAGCTATTTTTTCTTGTTGTTTAGAGGGTGGGAACAGAAAGCAATCCTAAACTAAGCTTTTTTTGAGGAGTGCAATTCCCCACCAGTAAAGCTGGAACTTATTAAATATACTAGATTATATTTTAACCTACTTTTCCTTTTTTTCCTTCCTACTTTCATATACTCAGAGACTCAATGCCACAGAGAAGTATCCACTCTCATTTGCATAACACAAATAGTTTATATAAAGTATATATACATGTAGTATCAATATATATGTATTATCTCATTTAATTCTCACCAAAACCTGTGAGAAAATGTTTTTCTTTTTCTTTTTTTTTTTTTTGAGATGGAGTCTTGCTCTGTCACCCAGGCTGGAGTGCAGTGGCGCGATCCCGGCTCACTGCAAGCTCCCCCTTCTGGGTTCACACCATTCTCCAGCCTCAGCCTCCCGAGTAGCTGCAACTACAGGCGCCCACCACCACGCCCAGCTAATTTTTTGTATTTTCAGTAGAGACGGGGTTTCATCGTGTTAGCCAGGATGGTCTTGATCTCCTGACCTCGTGAGCCACCTGCCTCGGCCTCCCAAAGTGCTAGGATTACAGGCGTGAGCCACCCCGCCCGCCCCAAGAAAATTTTTTTCAATTTCTATTTTATAGAAGTCAAAACCCACTCAGGTTGGATTCATTGTCCAAAGGTCATACTAACCAGTAAAGTAGCAGACAGAGCCAGAAGTTGAATCCAGATCTTCTGACACACTAGGCAACCTGTTATTTCTTAATAATCTGTGCCTCCATCAGCACCTACTACAGTCTGAGAACAGCTGACATTATGGGAAACCTACATCCAATGATGTCTAAAACTATTATTAACAGCTTATTTAATAGTAAGCTAAGAAGTAAACTAAATTTTAAAAATAAAGTATGTGAAAAAGAACCTATAAAAATATCACTCTTGGCCAGGCGTGGTGGCTGATGCCTGTAATCCCAGCACCTTGGGAGGCCGAGGTGGGCGGATCGCCTAAGGTCAGGAGTTCAAGACCAGCCTCGCCAACATGGTGAAATCCCATCTCTATTAAAAATACAAAAATTAGCGTGGTGGCGGGTGCCTGTAATCCCAGCTACTTGGGAGGCTGAGGCAGGAGAATCACTTGAACTTGGGAGGCGGAGGTTGCAGTGGACTGAAATCGTGCCACTGCACTCCAGCCTGGGTGACAAGAGCAAAACTCTGTCTCAAAAGAAAAAAAAATCACTCTGAAGTGAAATTTGCACTGATACTAAGAACCTTATTTTAAAAAGGTTAAACAATGTCTTAAAAGACCAAGGCTGAGGAACTGTTCTACAGGGTGGCCATAAAGTTTACAAACAGATACTATCATTTTACATGTATCTTAATGTAATGTCAATAAGCCATTTATTATATAATCTCCTGTAGCTCCACACTTGGTGGCTGTTCTGTATATCAAAGGAGATTAAGAGGCCCTTTCAACTAAATGCGAAATGAGATTCTGGATGGGAAAAAAACAAAGGCCATTATTGGGACAACTGGCAAATTTTGAAAATGGATGCATATTAGATGACAGAAGTGAATCAATGTTGAATTTCCTGAATGTGATCACTATACTGTAATTATGCAAGAGAAGTTTCTTGTTCTTAGGTGATACATATTTAAATATTTAGGAATCAAAGGTTATGAGTAAGTCTGAAACTTCATCCAACTGCTCCCCAACATGTGTATGTTTGTGTGTATAGAAAATTCAAATGGCAAAATACTAACTGGTGTCTAGATGAAGATTACGCAGTGTTCACTCAATTACTCTTGAACTTAGATGTTTGAAACTTTTAAAAATTAAGAGCCAAAGATAACAGGTAAAATTTTACATATTTTCTTTCCATTCTCTTCAATAGCGAGCGATTAGACATTTCCAACAAGGCCTTTTATAAGTAATTGAATAAACATATTTTTAGCATCTCTATAAATAAGTTAACTCTAGTTGGAAACAAACAGTTTTTTACTTTAAAAAACTGGGTATAAAACATAGCAGCAAAACAAAAACAAAAGGCAGCAAATAGCACATACTCTAAGGAATAGCTCATACTTTATTAGCTGTCACAGGATTACAGTAAAACTTGAGTACTGTCCTCCACTTTTAAAGAACTTAAAATTTGCTAAGAAACTGATACAATTTAATTCACTTCCTATGGATCATGAACAGTGTTTTAAACACTGAGTAAACTTACTATCAGATTTAACCAAAACTTAATTCACTTTAATAAGATTTTAACATTGTTTCCTACTCCACCCCCAAGATTTAAAAAAATTTCTTATAATGTTAATGTATTTCACTATGAATGCAATGAGGATGCATCATGTAGGCATTAATTTCCATGAATTCAGTTGTGAGCCCTCAAGGGGAAAAACTAAGGATTTCAACTGCATAGGCACCATTCCACCAAATAAGCACACACCTTCCCCAGGGAGCACTAAGCCAGGGTATAAGGGAGCTGTCCAGTTACGTATGCCTCTTTCCCAGTGTGCATCTTGCCAAGCTCTAATCCTAGTGTTTAAAGTATTTTTTTGTGTAACGAAGCCCCTCATGTAAGCCAGTTTCTTCATCTGGTGCTCAATTAATGAAACTTATTTTTGGAGTTCCTAGAGGAAAAACTAGCTATTTTCCACTTCTGTGAGATGCAATGAACGTATACCATACTTAATGATCACGTTAAGGGATTTTTAGTGGTAACTTTATTAAAATCTATTTCTTTTTTTGGTCACATGTGCTAAGTTCACAATCTAACTTGATCCTAACATGCAACTCCAACATAAATGAACTTTTTTCATTATTATATGGCAAGAACATGACACACTTTTAAAGCAAGGACTTCTTTCTAAAGGCCACGTTCAGAAATATAATCCTCAGATTTTCTTTTTCTTTTTTTTTTGGAGACAGAGTCTTGCTCTGTTGCCCAGGAATGGAGTGCTGGGGTGTAATCACAGCTCACTGCAGCTGCAAACTCCCAGCTTCAGGCAATCCTCCTGTCTCAGCCTCCCGAGTAGCTGGGACTACAGGTG